>NC_000012.12:101096491-101399521 GCF_000001405.40 Homo sapiens | reverse complement strand
TTTTTTTTTTTTAGACAGAGTCTTGCTCTGTCGCCCAGGCTGGAGTGAGTGGCGTGATCTCCACTCACTACAATTTTCGCCTCCTGGGTTCAAGCGATTCTTCTGTTTCAGCCTTCTGAGTAGCTGGGACTATAGGCTTCTGCCACCACACCCGGCTTATTTTTGTATTTGTAGCAGAGATGGGGTTTCACCATGTTGGCCAGGCTGGTCTCGAACTCCTGACCTCAGCAGTTTGCCCGCCTCCTGATCTGCCAGCCTTGGCCTCCCAAAGTACTGGGATTACAGGCATGAGCCACCGCGCTCAGCCCAGGACTTTTGATTTCTTGAACTACTGACTTAATGGCTTCCAAGTTATAAATTGCAGACTTAATAGTTTTAAACATTTGGTTAATTTTTTTTTTTTTACATCATAGCATTATATTTATTATAAGAGCTTCTTAGACCAAATTTAAATGTAAGGATAAGGTTTAATTGCCTTGGGTATAATAGGTTTTTTAAAGAACAGTTTTATTTAGGTATAATTCACATGATATAGTGTATTTTTATCATATAAAGTATTGCTTAAAAGGAATGGATTATTGACTTCAGTTTACAATTTTTGAGTTGTGCAGGATTGTTGTTACTTGCAGTGTTAGGATTTGACTTATAAAGTCTTACAGAGAAAGAAGTAAAAGTTGGATTCTTTCTTTAGGAAGTCACTTTTAATTCATCAATAAATATCATGTTATGTTAAGTATGGGCCAAGTACGAGTCAGGACTGTTAATGTTAAAACATATAGACACAGGCCAGGTGTGGTGGCTCACGCCTGTAATCCCAGCACTTTGGGAGGCCGAGGCAGGTGGATCACTTCAGGTCAGGAGTTTGAGACCAGCCTGGCCACCCATATCTACTAAAAATACAAAAATGAGCCGGGTGTAGTAGCGCACGCCTGTAATCCCAGCTACACGGGAGGCTGAGGCAGGAGAGTCACTTGAACCCAGGAGGCGGAGGTTGCAGTGAGCTGAGATAGTGCCACTGCACTCCAACCTGAGTGATGGAGTGAGACTCCATCTCAAAACAAACAAACAAAAAATATATAGTATAGACACAAAAGCAGTTTAGGTTTCAACTTTTTTTTTTTTTTTGAGACGGAGTTTCACTATTGTTGCCCAGGCTGGAGTGCAGTGGTGCAATCTCGGCTCACTGCAGCCTCCACCTGCCAGGTTCAAGCAATTCTCCTGCCTCAGCCTCCTGAGTAGCTGGGATTGCAAGCGCACACCACCACACCCGGCTAATTTTTGTAATTTTAGTAGAGACGGGGTTTCACCATGTTGGTCAGGCTGGTCTTGAACTCCTGACCTGGTGATCCACCCACCTCAGCCTCCCAAAGTGCTGGGATTACAGATGTGAGCCACCGTGCCTGGCCTTTCAACTTTCCTATACACAAAAATGAATTCTAAATGGGTAAATAATTAAATGTAAAAAATGAAAATTATAAGAACATATAAGGAATTCAAAAGATGAGATTTAATTATATTAATGTAAACAAAACTCCCCCAAAGCTCAGATATGGCAAATATAAACAAGATTAAGATAAGAAACCAGGCCTAACCAGAAGCCAATGACTAAGGATTAGTGATCTGAATCATAGCAAGATCTTTTGCAAAATGAGCAAAAGGCAATTCGTAGGGGAAAAACATTGCTAATAACATTTGCATTTGTTTTTAAAGAGACAGGGTCAGCAGGGCGCGGTGGCTTATGCCTGTAATCCCAGCACTTTGGGAGGCCGAGGCGGGTGGATCATGAGGTCAGGAGTTCGAGACCAGTCTGAGTGACCAACATGGTGAAACCTCATCTCTACTAAAAATACAAAAATTAGCTGGGCGTGGCAGCGGGCACCTGTAGTCCCAGCTACTCAGGAGGCTGAGGCAGGAGAATCACTTGAACCCAGGATGCAGAGGCTGCAGTGAGCCAAGATTGCACGACTGCAACTTCAGCCTGAGCAACAGAGCGAGACACTGTCTTAAAAAAAGAAAAAAAAAAAAGAGACAGGGTCTCCCTCTGTCCCCTAGGCTGGAGTGCAGTGGCACAACCAAAGCTTGTTATAACCTTGAGCTCCTCTCTCTGCTTCCTTTTTTGTTTGTTTTTTAAAAAAATTTTTGTAGAGACCCCTGTGTTGCTCAGGCTGGTCTCCAACTCCTGGACTTAAGCGATCCTCCTGCCTCAGCCCATGTGCATTTCGAATACCCTAGTAATATATAATGAGATGCTATGTTTGGAAAAGTAAATAATTCCCAACTCTACAAAGGCTGCATTGAAGATGGAGACTTTTATACACTGTTGGTAGGGTAACCTTTCTGGAAAGCTGTTCATGCATGTATTCAGTTTATCAAAGCCTGAAAAAAACTGTTCATACTTTGACTCCATTTTTAGAATATTGTGTTAAGGAAACAGATTTAAACAGAAATTTTTGTATAAAGACCCTGTCACTTGGGTTTATCTAATAGTCTAGTGGAAAGACTCTAATAAGAGTCAGATACTAGAAAATAGTTAACACAGTTTATGGTGCATGCATCCATAGTGTAGAGCATATTTAGCCATTTTTTTATTTTGAAAAAGTTGTTGTAGTTTGGAGAAACATGATTTTAATTTTTAGGCAGGGTATGGAACTATATATAAATGTGATCTTAAATGTGTAAATGTATTTACTAAATAAACTCTGAAGTATCTGCAAAACAAAGTACTAGTAGAAAACACCTAAAATGTTAACAGTGATCATATTTGGGAGGTAGGATTATGAGTGAAGCTTCTTTTCTTTATACTTCTCTATATAATTTCTATATAATTTCATAATGTGTAATATATTAATTATAAAATACACGTTTAAAATGTATTTTTGGACATTTTCTAAACTCGAGAGAGCACATTAGTTAAAAGAAATTAAATATTTTCAATTTCATTTAGGAAGAAGAGCTGAGAAAAGCCATTTTAGTGGTGTTTGCAAATAAACAGGACATGGAACAGGCCATGACTTCCTCAGAGATGGCAAATTCACTTGGGTTACCTGCCTTGAAGGACCGAAAATGGCAGATATTCAAAACGTCAGCAACCAAAGGCACCGGCCTTGATGAGGCAATGGAATGGCAAGTATCATGCTTCCAGAAGCCATCTGTGCATTTGTGTGTGCTTGCAGCTATGCACGTCCACGTGTAATTTTTCTCCCGTGTTGAGGATGAAACTTTGATTTACTTAGCAGCTTATTTCATAAGTTCCTCAAGCGTTTTCTCTCACTGGTCTTCAGGTGCATCTGTCTTCTCAACCACACCTACCTGATTACAGTTACTTAGATAAGCAAATTCTTTGCCAATTTTTAGCCTTTTCCCTGCCTCACCTCACCCTCCAATTCCTTATCCTTCAGGAATTAGCTTAAGACTCTCTTCTGAAGAGCTTTTCCTAATGTATCTCTATTCCTACTGCCTAATCACTCACTTAAAGTTAGATGCCCTTGTCACAGATTAGTGACATAGTACTTGTTTTGCTGTCTTGTAAGTTTGATTTGTTCATCTACTCATTAGATAATCACCTCCTTGAGGATTGAGACTAGTTTCACCTCTGAGTCATCCATATGTAGCCCAGAAGTAGTAGTAGCCTGGAAAATAGGTATTTGGTCTTTTTTGAATTTTTCATTCAAATCATAGACAAATTCAAAGCTTAGAGGAACCTTATGGATATCTAGTGCATAACCTCATCTGTGTTAGCTGTCATCATTTTAAGTACTTTGGAATCCACCTCCAATACAAAGTTTATTATAGATGATCATGCTTTATACCTGAAAATTAATTTTATAAAACAGTTCATTTTCTCTTTACAGGTTAGTTGAAACATTAAAAAGCAGACAGTAATTCAGTCCATTCTTCTCCCCTGAAATGAAGACTACATCACCTCTCTCCCTTTGGAAACAGTCAAGTGTACTTCACACTACTAGATGTTAAAACTATATGATTATTGGCATATACTGACTGACTGCAATATTTGTAGTAAATAGGGAAAATAAGTATTTAGTTGGAGGGATAATTTGATCGAATCACCTGAATGTTCTATGTAATGTAAAATATTCTTTTCTTGCTTTCTTGTGTTAAGGTATATATTCTATTTGTATGGAATTCTTATTCAAATACAGTTCTATTAAAGAGTATACTCCTATTGGATGAAAAAAACCTATTTTTGAATAGTAGTTGCAGCTTGTTTGTATAAATACTAAAAAATATCTTAACAGATTTTTTTCCCCTTAAAATGAATTATCTTTCCAAAGATTAGACTCAGTATGAGAGTAGGTGAGGAACATAGTTTGTGTAATATAATCTTTATTTGCTTACCTGACCACTTTTTATTAAGCTGTTTTGTTTAAAAGCTTTTGGTTATAGGCATGAATATTGTTTTGATGGTTAACTTCACTGACTTATCTGTAAGTGTCATTTTATAGTACTTTACAGTTGTCAAAAAAAATCTTACATATATTGATCTAGTTGATCGGTAGAGGAAGCTTGTGAAGTAGGTAGGACAGGTTATGATGTCTTCACTGTATGGACGTGAACCCAGGGTTCTAATAGGTTGGCTTGCCCAAGGTCACCTGCTAGCTTGTAAGGTAGGAATAGGGCTCAAAGTAAAACTTTTGGTTCAGAAGCTTGACTCATAAACTATACTATATATTCCCAAAAATGTCAGTATTGACAACACAGTCTAACTCTTAAATAAAATTATGCTAATTAGTTACATTCAAAATAATGTTTATAAATTTATTTGTCTATACTAGTAGAAGTGATCAGTGACATACTATAAATAATCCTAAATGGTTATATTTGATAGAATTCATAACACATTAAAGAGAAAATTTCACATTAAAGGAAGGTTTAAAAATCTATTTTCAGATTATAAAAGGTGTCTTTACTGGTTTTCATTCCTTTTATCTACATGTAATTGGACATGTAAACTTGTTAAAAATCAAAATCTTACTGATTGTACAGGGAGAAATTAAGCATTCTGTTTTAAAAATTAGGCTTATTGCTAGACTGTAAGTTTAAAAACAATTCATGTTCAAAGGAGCTTTTCAAATTACCCAGTCCACCACAGAATCAGCTAATGTGACAGAAGTAAATATAGTGCGTCATAATTGCTAAAAACAGGGTGAATTTCTTTCACTTAAGTTGGAAAACCAGCCTCTAAAAAATTAGGTGCTGGTAATGAGAGCTTAATACCATGGTTCCCTGCAGGTCTCAGAAACATTAGTAGTTCCTTTCTTGGCCCTCACTGTCCTTCCAGTGTTGGCCTCTGGCCTCTTCCCCTCACATTTATGTTCATTCTCCGGGCTTATATTCATTCTCTGCTGCTTTCTCCCTTCACCCGTGGGACTCTCACCCTTCTTGCTCATTCTCCAGCACCCATTCCTACTTTAGTCTCTTTGAAATCTTTTTTGGAGATTTTCCTTCAGCTACAAATGTTCCAGTACAACCAATATTACTCCTGAGGGGCAAAGACTTTTTCATATTTATGTCCCTAGTATCTGGTATGGCGCCTGGCATATGGCATTTCAGAATATGTTCATAGTTGAAACAGTAGGATAGATATTTGTCATCTTGACAAGTAGCCCTTTGCAATTTATACTTGAGTTCACTCCTGGTCAATGGCACATGGCTGGAAAATGCAGAAAGCAAGTTCACTTACAGCCTGAGGCTTATAAAGCTTGTACAGCTGCCTCCCGGCAGTCCAGGAAAACTGCAAAAAATGGGAAGTAAGGTCCTGGCAGGCAGACCCGGCATGTAGCCGCTGGCCATCTTGAATCCTAGGGCATGAAGTTGCCCCAAAGTTCAGCACTTGGTTAAGCCTGATCCCTCTGGTTTATCACAAAGAATAGGATGGGATAAAGAAAGTGGACACTTAAATAAGCTATAAATTATATGGTCCTTGTCTAGCAGGAGACAACTGCACAGGTATACTACCAGCGTTTGGATATTGATATATACATGGCAAATCTGAATATTGTTTTATGAGAGGCCTGGCAATGGGTAAAACACCAAACTTGAAATCAGAACATAGGTGCAAATGGCCACTCCTGTAGTTTCTTTTCTGTAAAATGGGATCTGGACGAATGATACCAAACGTTTCTTTCTAACATTGTATTTTATAACTCTGGCCTATGATTGTGTTGTGTCTTGCATTAAAAAAAAAAATTTGAGAGTGGTAGAATTACTTCTGTTATCTGAAATACCTGAGATGCACTTTAAACTGTTGAAATGTAAGCTCTGAGGGCAGGGACCGTATCTTATTTACTGTTAGTATCCGTTGCATCTAGTGTGGTGCACCTGGCACACAGTAGGCACTCAATAAATATGTATTGATTAAAAACAAAGACGTCTTCAATATGCCAGATATATTTGTCCTTTCTGATCTTTGCCTTAGTATTTTATTTTTAAAAATTTTATGAAAGCAATACATGCACTTAAGTCACTTAGAATTAATTAAAATCAGTCTTCTAAGATGGCCTCCTTTTGATAAATTACAAAGCCCTTAGAAGCGTGAGAATTCCCGTTTGAGATACACACTACATCAAAGCACAGATGCTGAAGTGAATGAACATTTGATTTCTGTGCCACATACTGTCATATTCTAAGCCCGTAATTACAAATTATAAAGCATGGACTTTTGTTTTTTTTTTTTTTTTTTTTTTTTGAGATGGAGTCTCACTGTCACCCAGGCTGGAGTGCATTGGCACGATCTCGGCTCACTGTAACCTCTGCCTCCCAGGCGCAAGCGATTCTCCTGGCTCAGCCTCCTGAGTAGCTGGGACTACAGGTGCCGTGCCACCACGCCCGGCTAATTTTTGTATTTTTAGTAGAGACAGGGTTTCATCATGTTGGCCAGGCTGGTCTCGAACTCCTGACCTCAAGTGATCCACCTGCCTTGGCCTCCCAAAGTGCTGGGATTACAGGTGTGAGCCACCACGCTCAGCTCAAAGCATGGACTTTGAATCTTGATTGTAGCACCTACATCCTGTATCACCCTTAGGCAAGTTATTTACTCTGAGTCTCAGTTTCTTCATCTGTAAAATAGGAACCAATTGTAGAAATCTCTCAGGAGTACTAGGATTAAACAAAATGTATCCAAAGTGCCTGGCACATAGGGTGGATTTCCCACCCCATATGTCCCCAAATATATGGGGCACTAAAGAATATTTCTTCCACATCAAGTATAGGGTGAGGCAAAAGATGCTATGTGGTTGAACAACAGAAACAACTTGAGCCACCTCTAAATAAGTGTGACTTATTACAGTTTTAGTTTGTTTTTATTTTTTTATTATACTTTAAGTTTTAGGGTATATGTGCACAACGTGCAGGTTAGTTACATATGTATACATGTGACATGCTGGTGTACTACACCCACTAACTCGTCATCTAGCATTAGGTATATCTCCCAATGCTATCCCTCCCCCCTTCCCCCACCTCACAACAGTCCCCAGAGTGTGATGTTCCCCTTCCTGAGTCCATGTGTTCTCATTGTTCAGTTCCCACCTATGAGTGAGAATATGCGGTGTTTGGTTTTTTGTTCTTGGCGATAGTTTACTGATAATGATGATTTCCAATTTCATCCATGTCCCTACAAAGGACATGAACTCATCATTTTTTATGGCTGCATAGTATTCCATGGTGTATATGTGCCACATTTTCTTAATCCAGTCTATCATTGTTGGACATTTAGTTTGGTTCCAAGTCTTTGCTATTGTGAATAGTGCCGCAATAAACATACGTGTGCATGTGTCTTTATAGCAGCATGATTTATAGTGCTTTGGGTATATACCCAGTAATGGGATGGCTGGGTCAAATGGTATTTCTAGTTCTAGATCCCTGAGGAATCGCCACACTGACTTCCACAGTGGTTGAACTAGTTTACAGTCCCACCAACAGTGTAAAAGTGTTCCTATTTCTCCACATCCTCTCCAGCACCTGTTGTTTCCTGACTTTTTAATGATTGCCATTCTAACTGGTGTGAGATGGTATCTCATTGTGGTTTTGATTTGCATTTCTCTGATGGCCAGTGATGGTGAGCATTTTTTCATGTGTTTTTTGGCTGCATAAATGCCTTCTTTTGAGAAGTGTCTGTTCATGTCCTTCGCCCACTTGTTGATGGGGTTGTTTGTTTTTTTTCTTGTAAATTTGTTTGAGTTCATTGTAGATTCTGGATATTAGCCCTTTGTCAGATGAGTAGGTTGCGAAAATTTTCTCCCGTTTTGTGGGTTGCCTGTTCACTCTGATGGTAGTTTCTTTTGCTGTGCAGAAGCTCTTTAGTTTAATTAGATCCCATTTGTCAATTTTGGCTTTTGATGCCATTGCTTTTGGTGTTTTAGACATGAAGTCCTTGCCCATGCCTATGTCCTGAATGGTATTGCCTAGGTTTTCTTCTAGGATTTTTATGGTTTTAGGTCTAACGTTTAAGTCTTTAATCCATCTTGAATTGATTTTTGTATAAGGTGTAAGGAAGGGATCCAGTTTCAGCTTTCTACATATGGCTAGCCAGTTTTCCCAGCACCATTTATTAAATAGGGAATCCTCTCCCCATTGCTTGTTTTTCTCAGGTTTGTCAAAGATCAGATGGTTGTAGATATGCAGCATTATTTCTGAGAGCGCTGTTCTGTTCCATTGATCTATGTCTCTGTTTTGGTACCAGTACCATGCTGTTTTGGTTACTGTAGCCTTGTAGTATAGTTTAAAGTCAGGTAGCGTGATGCCTCCAGCTTTGTTCTTTTGGCTTAGGATTGACTTGGCGATGCGGGCTCTTTTTTGGTTCCATATGAACTTTAAAGTAGTTTTTTCCAATTCTGTGAAGAAAGTCATTGGTAGCTTGATGGGGATGGCATTGAATCTATAAATTACCTTGGGCAGTATGGCCATTTTCACGATATTGATTCTTCCTATCCCTAAGCATGGAATGTTCTTCCACTGGTTTGTATCCTCTTTTATTTCATTGAGCAGTGGTTTGTAGTTCTCCTTGAAGAGGTACTTCACGTCCCTTGTAAGGTGGATTCCTAGGTATTTTATTCTCTTTGAAGCAATTGTGAATGGGAGTTCACTCATGATTTGGCTCTCTCTTTGTCTGTTATTGGTGTATAAGAATGCTTGTGATTTTTGTACATTGATTTTGTATCCTGAGACTTTGCTGAAGTTGCTTATCAGCTTAAGGAGATTTTGGGCTGAGACAATGGGGTTTTCTAGATATACAATCATGTCGTCTGCAAACAGGGACAATTTGACTTCCTCTTTTCCTAACTGGATACCCTTTATTTCCTTCTCCTGCCTAATTGCCCTGGCCAGAACTTCCAACACTGTGTTGAATAGGAGTGGTGAGAGAGGGCATCCCTGTCTTGTGCCAGTTTTCAAAGGGAATGCTTCCAGTTTTTGCCCATTCAGTATGATATTGGCTGTGGGTTTGTCATAGATAGCTCTTATTATTTTGAGATACATCCCATCAATACCTAATTTATTGAGAGTTTTTAGCATGAAGGGTTGTTGAATTTTGTCAAAGGCCTTTTCTGCATCTATTGAGATAATCATGTGGTTTTTGTCTTTGGTTCTGTTTATATGCTGGATTACGTTTATTGATTTGCGTATATTGAACCAGCCTTGCATCCCAGGGATGAAGCCCACTTGATCATGGTGGATAAGCTTTTTGATGTGCTGCTGGATTCGTTTTGCCAGTATTTTATTGAGGATTTTTTCATCAATGTTCATCAAGGATATTGGTCTAAAATTCTCTTTTTTTGGTTGTGTCTCTGCCCAGCTTTGGTATCAGGATGATGCTGGCCTCATAAAATGAGTTAGGGAGGATTCCCTCTTTTTCTATTGATTGGAATAGTTTCAGAAGGAATGGTACCAGTTCCTCCTTGTACCTCTGGTAGAATTCGGCTGTCAATCCATCTGGTCCTGGACTCTTTTTGGTTGGTAAGCTATTGATTATTGCCACAATTTCAGCTCCTGTTATTGGTCTGTTCAGAGATTCAACTTCTTCCTGGTTTAGTCTTGGGAGAGTGTATGTGTCGAGGAATGTATCCATTTCTTCTAGATTTTCTAGTTTATTTGCATAGAGGTGTTTGTAGTATTCTCTGATGGTAGTTTGTATTTCTGTGGGATCGGTGGTGATATCCCCTTTATCATTTTTTATTGCGTCTATTTGATTCTTCTCTCTTTTTTTCTTTATTAGTCTTGCTAGCGGTCTATCAATTTTGTTGATCCTTTCAAAAAACCAACTCCTGGATTCATGAATTTTTTGAAGGGTTTTTTGTGTCTCTATTTCCTTCAGTTCTGCTCTGATTTTAGTTATTTCTTGCCTTCTAGCTTTTGAATGTGTTTGCTCTTGCTTTTCTAGTTCTTTTAATTGTGATGTTAGGGTGTCAATTTTGGATCTTTCCTGCTTTCTCTTGTGGGCATTTAGTGCTATAAATTTCCCTCTACACACTGCTTTGAATGCATCCCAGAGATTCTGGTATGTTGTGTCTTTGTTCTCGTTGGTTTCAAAGAACATCTTTATTTCTGCCTTCGTTATGTACCCAGTAGTCATTCAGGAGCAGGTTGTTCAGTTTCCATGTAGTTGAGCAGTTTTGAGTGAGTTTCTTAATCCTGAGTTCTAATTTGATTGCACTGTGGTCTGAGAGATAGTTTGTTATAATTTGTGTTCTTTTACATTTGCTGAGGAGAGCTTTACTTCCAACTGTGTGGTCAATTTTGGAATAGGTGTGGTGTGGTGCTGAAAAAAATGAATATTCTGTTGATTTGGGGTGGAGAGTTCTGTAGATGTCTATTAGGTCCGCTTGGTGCAGAGCTGAATTCAATTCCTGGGTATGCTTGTTGACTTTCTGTCTCGTTGATCTGTCTAATGTTGACAGTGGGGTGTTAAAGTCTCCCATTATTAATGTGTGGGAGTCTAAGTCTCTTTGTAGGTCACTCAGGACTTGCTTTATGAATCTGGGTGCTCCTGTATTGGGTGCATGTATATTTAGGATAGTTAGCTCTTCTTGTTGAATTGATCCCTTTACCATTATGTAATGGCCTTCTTTGTCTTTTTTGATTTAAAGTCTGTTTAATCAGAGACTAGGATTGCAACCCCTGCCTTTTTTTGTTTTCCATTTGCTTAGTAGATCTTCCTCCATCCTTTTATTTTGAGCCTATGTGTGTCTCTGCATGTGAGGTGGGTTTCCTGAATACAACACACTGATGGGTCTTGACTCTTTATCCAATTTGCCTTCAAAGTAAAGTTTCAAAGAAACCACCTGTTTTCTTTGTACTAATAACTTTGTATTAATGTGGTTTTGGCCGAACGTTAGAAAATGTTATCAGGAAATATATTATGTACAGAAAGTAATGTAATGAAGCATTATGAACTTGGAAATCTGGCACCAAATGTAAGACACTGAACAGTTTGAGGACAGTTTAAGTCCCCCAACCCCACCATGTTCTTCTCCCTTGATCCTATTCCTTCTCAGAAGTACCTTCTATCCTGAAAACTTTGAAATCGTTAATTTTTTTCTACAGATTTATATATGTACACAAAATTTTATTACAGTGGTATTCAACTCTAATTTTTCTTTTCCCCCCACTCAACATTGTTTCTAGAATATCATCTATATTTATATATATATATATAATTAGCTGATTTCCGCTACTTTATTTCAGTATATGAATAAACCATTTTATTTATTCTCTTGTGGAAGGACATTTGGATTGCTTCTAGTTCTTGACTTTTAGTAATGGTTCAAGAACATTCTTCAGATCCATGGTTCATGGTTTCTCTAGGAGTGGAATTTGGGATCAGGGAGTATACCTGTCTTCAGGTTTACAAGATAATGTCAAACTGCTTTCCAAAGTGGTTTATAAGATTTCCTATGGCTCCACCATGCTTGCCAGCACTTGGTATTGTCAGCTTTATCAATCTGATGATTTCAAAATGGAATCTAATTCTGGTGATAACTGGCATTTTCCTAATTACTAATGAGGCTAAATACAGGAGTGACTCAAACAATTTAACAACTAGACATAGCTAGTACAGTAGGACTCCGACTAATCCAGGTATTCTTTAACTTCTGGTGTGAGAAGGTATGTAATCTAAGAACCTCATGTAGCCAGGGTGGCACTTGGGGGTCTCAATGTAATGACTTACCAAGCAGTGCATAATACTTAAAAAAAAAAAGTTATAGCCATATCAGCTAACAATGTTTAAGGACCATTTACGTTTCTCCTTTTGTGCAATGCTCATTTCTCTCTTTTGCCACTTTTTCCACTAGATTATCTGTGTTGATTCATCAGTATTCATTATATGTCCTGGTACTACTAATTGTTTAACAGTATGTGTTGTATGCCATGTCCCAGTTTGTGTTTTTTCCTAAGCAGAAGTTCTTAATGAAGTAGGATTTATTACACGTTCTCTCTATAGATAGTTTTTGTGTCTTACTTTTGATATCCAATAGGGCAAGCCCCTCATCCTGTTCTACTTTTGTGAGAGTGTCATGGTTATTCTTGGCTTAATATCATCTTCCATATACATTTTAGAATTAGCTTGTTGGGTTAACGTGAAGAACTCTTGGGATTTTGCTCAGATACACATTTAACCAAAGGATCAACTTGGGAAAAAGAAGTAGCGTTTTATGATCCTGAATCTTCCTAGCCAAGAACATGGTTATAGTTCCGTTTGTGCAGATCTTTCTTACTGCCTTTTCCTAAAATTTTAGCAAGTACTATAGAGCAGTATTTGCAAATCTTTTGTTTGATTAATTGCTAACTTCTACATTTTTTCTTGCTATTTAAAAATGTATCCTTTTATTTACAAATTATATTTTAAACTCTGACTAGTGTCACATGCTTTTTAAACAGTGAAGACCCAGCAGTAGTATAGTGTTTTATTTATTTAAAAAATATGAGCATGATTACATTAAACTATATATTATACAATCTATCCAAAGTTTAACTAACTTAAATAATAAAACCTGGTTGAGCAGGGTGGCTCACACCTGTAATCCCAGCACTTTGGGAGGCCGAGGCAGGCGGATCAGTTGAGCCCAGGTGTTCGAGACCAGCCTGGCCAACATGGCGAAATCCTGTTTCTACAAAAAATACAAAATACAAAAAATTTGCCGGGCATAGTGTTGTGTGCCTAGGAGGCACAACTACTTGGGAGGCTGAGGTGAGAGGATCACTTGAACCCAGGTTGAGGCTGCAGTGAGCTGTGATGTCGTCACTGCACTCCACCTTGGGTGACAGAGTGAGACCTTGTCTCAAAAAAAAAAAAAAACGCCTCCCCCCTACCCCAGACAACCTACTGTAATTTCAGACTAGCAGAATATTCCAGAAAGTTCATGCTTGTATCAGCACAGGGAGACATTACTCCACCATTGCTAAATCTTTCAGGCTATGGCTTTTTTGTCTCTTGGCCTTATATCCTGGACGCAGGAACTCTATCTTTCTCTTCTTTGCTTCACTTTTATTTTTGTGTTTCTTCATTTTTTTCTTGGCAGCAATATCAGGATTAGTTACAAACTGGAAAAGAGAATAGAAATTTTATATTACTTTTAAAGTAAATGTTAAACCAATAAGAATCAAATACAGAAATAAATGTAAAAAACACATGCTCATTAAAGAAAATCTGAAGTCCCAGCTATAAAGTCCCCAACCGCTCAAACCCTTGATCCTCCCTAAGTGTAAGTGTGACACAAACATGCACACTTAGTAGTTATCAAGTCCAGTGAACATGCCATATTTTCAAAGAGCAAACTTACCTCCAGGGCCTTCCTCTTTTTCCGGAGTGCCCTTTTCTCATTAGCCTGTTTCTGTACAGAGGCAAAGGCTAATGAGAAGCTCTCAAGCCCAACCAGCTTTTTGAGTAATTCTATGATTTCCTGGGATAGATTCTTCAGCAAAGGATCTAATCACACACAAAGAGTAATGATCAGAGACAGGTAGGAAAGGACACATTTGAACATCAACAAAATCAACAATATGTACAACATTTATATCCAGCTACTGATCTGGCAAGAAACCCCAAATAAAACAAAACAAAATTTCAACTCTTGCAGCATTATCACTGTTACTTCAACATTAAACACTGATATAAAACTAGCCTCTATGTTCCTGGGATGGGGAAACCAGCAATGCTAGACATAGCACTCCAGCCACCACCTCACCCAGGATGCAATAAGAAATCAGAGAACATGAGGCCCACTTCCCAGCGGAAACCTGGCCCTGAAGACATTAAAGTAACTTGGGACCTTGACAGAAACGTTTTGAATTACCTCTGTTTACCTGTTGAGCTCTTGCAGATGGGGGGAAAAGTAAGAGATTCCCTCTCTAATCCATGATGGGTCACAGAGGCTTAGCTCTGCCCACAGTAACTTTTTTTTTTTTTTTTTTGGCGGGGGAGTGTCAAAAGCCTCCTTTGTGAAGTTGACAAAAAAGCCATTTCTCCCACCCTTCTCTGCCACTCACCCCTATATACAAATAACCCCCAATTTCAATTTCACAGGAGCTCAGGACATCTGTTCTAGATCACAAGCTTCTTGAAAACTTTCCTGCTGTTGAATCCCTAGTGCCTGGCAGATATTAGATGCTCATTAAATGTTGACTGGGTTGAACCAAAGCACACCTGAACCTGCTTTTGTCAGCAGCCTCAACCTTTACCATTGCTTTTTCCTTTGTAAGAGTGAGGAAACTTTCTCCCAAGGTTGTAGGACTGTAAAAGCTCTTGCTTTGACATTTGCTTCATTTGTTTTATTTTCAAACTCTGAACATTCACTTTACCTCCTTTCCTTCCTGCCCCCAGTTCCCTCTTTACCTGTTATTACCAACAATTAGAATAAGTGAGGGAAATGTATCAGGCAAGGAAAAAGAAGAAATGTTAAAATGATATTTTAAAACTATTTCATATAAAAATGATAATACTTATATTTTTGCCATATAATCTTTCTTTTGAGACAGTATCTCACTCTGTTGCCCAAGCAGGAGTGCAGTGGTGCAATCACGGCTCACTGAAGCCTCGACCTCACAGCCTCAAGAGATCCCCCCACCTCAGCCTCCTAAGTAGCTGCAATTATAGTTGTGCACCACCACACCCAGCTAATTTTTGTATCTTTTGTAGAGATGGGGTTTTGCCATGTTGCCCAGGCTGGTCTTGAACTTCTGGGCTCAAGTGATCCTCCCAACTTGGCTTCCCAAAGTGTGGGATTACAGGCGTGAGCCACTACGCCCAGCCTATAATTTTTAAGATGAGAATGTAATGACATTTTATTATTCATTATTATTCATTGTGCTATGAGGTTTAAAACTACCCTGAACCATAGTTTTCTTTGACTATTTAATCTATGTTGAGGATAAAGCATCATCTTTTATGTGAGAAACATTCTTTCTGGGACAGCAGAAAGCATACAGAAGAGGGCAATCAAATATAATACAAATATGCCTATTTGTTAATTATCTTGATATAAGTTTTCTTTTTAAAAATAAACTCTGGCTGGGTACAGTAGCTCACTTCTATAGTCTCAACACTTTGGGAGGCTGAGGTTGGAAGACTGCTTGAAGCCAGGAGTTTGAGACCAAGACCAGCCTGGCATAACATAGACCACTATTCATCTCTCTCTCTTTTTTAAATGTATGTGTGTGTGTGTGTGTGTATATATATAAATATAAACATATATAAGTATATAATATATAATTAAAATATATATATAAATAAAAATAAATCTCAGGCAGGGAGGGAGGACAGAAAGGAAGAAGGAAACATTCAGGAGAGAAGTTAGAAATCCTCATGTGCAAAAGGCAGGAGAACAGACGAGGCAGGGTTACCTTGCTCTGAATAGGTGCTGTTGAGTTCCCGAAACAAAGGAGCTATGATCATTGGGAGATACGGCTTTACCTTGTCTATCCCAAGATCCATTGCTACGGCGCCGAGGAACTTAAAGATGCATGTTCTCTGAAAGTACAGATCATTTTTTTCATTTGAAAGACTTCTCTTTAGCACTCAATCATAGACACAGCATTAATTGAGAAAACAGGGCTCAGTCTATTTTGGGACGGATGTTATTGCTGCAGTTTGGGGTTCAAAGATAAAGTTTCTAGGGACTTAGGAGGATCACTAATATCATTAAAATACTTTTTAAAGAGAAATGACTACTGTCAGTCATTCTGTGCATTCATCGCACCTTTAAGGGGTTTCTCGGCGAATAAGCAGCTTCCAGTTTTGCAATCCGGGACAGCTTCTGGATCAACCACAGCAGCGTGGCCGGCCTGCCGAGCTCTTCCTTCACCTCTTCCTTCTCTTCTCCGTCAGACTCCGCCTTCTCATCTGCACAGGCCACACCATCTTCTAAAGCTTCTTGTTCTTCCAGGTCTTCTTTTATCTTACTTTGCTTATCCTCACAATAAAGTTCCAGTAAATACAAGACTTTGGCTGCGAACAACAAATTCTTAACAACCTTTAAAAAAAAACGGGGTGGGGGAAGAAATTGGACATTGATTTTGAAATAAATAAGGCTTAGTAGAGCATAAGCTAAAATAGGTATTCTACAATTAGAAAACAAAAACAAACTAGGTATTACAACTATTTAACAACTATTAAATGATGAAGGCTCCATTTTTAGATATTCCTTTTTTTTTTTTTTTTAAAGACAGAGCCTCACTCTGTTACCCAGGCTGAGGGCAGTGGTGCAATCTCGGCTCACTGTGACATCCCCCTCCCAGGTTTAAATGATTCTCATGCCTCAGCCTCCTGAGAAGCTGGGATTACAGGCGTGCACCACCATGCCTGGCTAATTTTTATACTTTTAGTAGAGACGGGGTTTCGCCATGTTGGCCAGGCTGGTCTCAAACTCCTGACCTCAGGTGATCTGCCTGCTTCAGCTTCCCAAAGTGATGCGATTACAGGTGTGAGCCACCGTGCCTGGCCTAGATCATTCTTAAGTTCTTCCTCATAGGGCATCCAAACCCATTTCCATGTAACTTTGATCTATCTGGACTAGTTCTACCCTTTAAAGTCACACAGAATAAGGAAACAATTTCCTTCTAGGCCCTCCATTTACATTTTTTGTTTTGTTTTGTTTTGTTTTTTGGGTATTTTTTGAGACAGAGTCTCACTTTGTTACCCAGGCTGGAGTGCAGTGGTGCGATCTCGGCTCAGTGAAACCTCTGCCTCTGGGTTCAAGCAATTCTTATGCCTCAGCCACCCCAGCAACTGGGACTACAGGCTACCGTGCTCAGCTAATTTTTGTATTTTTAGTAGAGACAGGGTTTCGCCATGTTGGCCAGGCTGGTCTTGAACTCCTGGCCTCGAGAGATCTGCTCATCTCGGCCTCCTGAAGTGCTGATGTTACAGGTGAGAGTCACCACACCAGCCCCATTTTACATTTTTAACAACAGCTTTCATCTCTACCTCCATTAAATTCCTTCCGCCATTCTACATAGAAATAACTATTTCTCTCTCTTTTTTTTTTTTTTTTTTGATACAGAGTCTAGCTCTGTTGCCCAGGCTGGAGTGCAGTGTGGTGATTTTGGCTTAGTGCAACCTCTGCCTCCCCAGTTCAAGTGAGTCTCTTGCCTCAGCCTCCTGTGTAGCTGGGACTACAGGCATGCGCCACCATGCCCAGCTAATTTTTGTCTTTTTAGTAGAGATGAAGTTTCACCATATTGGCCAAGATGGTCTTGAACTCCTGGCCTCAAGTGATGCACCTGCCTCGGCCTCCCAAAGTGCTGGGATTATAGGCGTGAGTCACCGCACCCAGACCCTTATTGGGAATTTTAAATGGAGCAAAGAGTAATCCCAATACAGACCCAGTGTTGACAAGACATATGTGTATTTGAACATATATTTGAGTGTATGTCTGTATTTCATCTAATCCCCCAAGCATTAAGATAGGTTCAAAACAAAACAAAATAACAAATGTAAGCTTAGACTGTTGATAGAATAGGCCCCTTCTTTATTTCTGAGACGGAGTCTCGCTCTGTCACCTAGGATGGAGTGCAGTGGCGTGATTTCGGCTTACTGCATCCTCCGCCTCCCACGTTCAAGCAATTCTCCCTGCCTCAGCCTCCCAAGTAGCTCGGATTACAGGCACCCGCAACCATGCCCTGCTAATTTTTTTGTATTTTTAGTAGAGATGGGGTTTCGCCATGTTGGCCAGGCTCATCTCGAACTCCTGACCTCGGGGTGATCTGGCCGCCTCGGCCTCTCAAAGTGCTGGGATTACAGGCGCGAGCCACCATGCCCAGCCGGCCCCTTCTTTTAAACTGGGAGAACTACAATTCTTACCTGTTCTCCTAGAGACTGATCCAAGAATTTGGAATGCAATTGATGGCAAGAGGCGAGAGAGATACTTTTCATCTGTGAAAAGAAAATGGACATTGGTAGACAAAACACAGGACATTTCTGATTGTTTTTAAAAAGCTAAACATAATAACTGTAATACAACTAACGTACTGGATTTTGCTCTGAATGACCACCTGTATAGATTTGGAGAGGAAAGGTTCATGACCAGAAGTGGTGTACTGCTCCCTTCTACCTGCCCTAAGCATTTCATCCCAAATAAATGGGATACTTTCACATTTTGGGGAGAAACAGGTAATAATACTCTACATTTTTTTTTTTTTTTTTTTTTTTAAGACAGAGTCTCACTCTGTGGCCCGGGCTGGACTGCACTGGAGTGATCTCGGCTCACTGCAACCTCTGCTTCCTGGGGTCAAGCAATTCTCCTGCCTTAGCCTCCCAAGTAGCTGGGATTACAGGCACCTACCACCACACCCAGCTAATTTTTTGTATTTTTAGTAGTGATGGGGTTTCGCCATGTTGGCCAGGCTGGTCTCGAACTCCTGACCTCAGGTGATCCACCCACCTCGGCCTCCCAATGTGTTGGGATTACAGGCATGAGCCACCACACCCGGCCAATCCTCTACATTACTAGTAGAGCACTTTACTACAGTCCAATATTTTTTTCTTCCTCTTTTCTTCCCTTCTACCCTCCACTCATTCAATATTTATGGGGTTCCACTATGAGTGAGACATTGTGCTAGGACCTAGGAAACCAGAGACACATATATCATGGTCCCTAACATTTTCTTTTCTTTTCTTTCTTTCTTTTTGTTTTTTTGAGATAAGATCTCGGTCTTGCCCAGACTGGAGTGCAGTGGCATGATCACAGCCCACTGTAACCTTGACCTCCCCAGGCTCAGGTGATCCCCCTATGTAAGTCTCCCAAGTAGCTAGGACTACAGGTGTACACCACCATGCCCAGCTAATTTCTGTACTTTTTGTAGAGATAGGTTTTCGCCATGTTGCCCAGGCTAGTCTCGAACTCCTGAGCTCAAGTGATCTGCTTGCCTCAGCCTCCTAAAGTGCTGGGATGACAGATGTGAATCACCATGCCTGGCCTGGACCCTGACATTTTCATGAACGTGATCTCATTTACATCATCAACAAGGTTATTAGGAGGCAAGACAGACAGTATTTATCTTATTTTCCAATGCCGATAAAGAACTTATTAGCTGGGTGTGGTGGCGTGTGCCTGTAATCCCAGGTACCCGGGAGGCTGAGGCAGAAGAATCCCTTGAATTCGGGAGGCAGAGGTTGCAGTGACCCGAGATCACACCACTGCACGCCAGCCTGGGTGACAGAGTGAGACTCCATCTCAGAAAAGAAAAAAAAAACTTAAACATATAATGGAAGATGGGCATGCTAAATAAGCAAATTAGAAGTCTGACTACACTAATGGTCTAAAAATTATCTTTGAAAAAACCCTGGCCTTGAGAGTGACCCCTCTCCAGTGACTAATATTCCTATTGATTCACCTGTACAACAAATTGTTGGTTGGAAGAGTTTCTCCCAAGGGCTGGCCCGAAGATAGTTACATGAACCAGAAGGAACATCTTACAGTCACGAGGGAAGGAAAAGGTTTGAGAGAAAGCTTACCTTTTGGTCAAGGTCACTGGCTAGGAACTTGATTGCTACAGGTTCTGGGAGGTGTTTTTTGGTCTTTTTGGTATTCCATTTTTGAATAAGCTCCTCTGGCTGGCAAGAGGCAAAGAGTAATCCAAAAATCTGGGCTGCTGTGAGCCACACCCAGTTGTGTGGATGTCTCAGGTGAGAATGCACATGACCTAAGGGAACCAAAAAGCATTTGTGGATGTCACATGGCCTTCCTGATTAGAGGTAAATATGACTAAGTTAAGCATTTACAGAGTATTATGTGTTTGGAGTGGGGAACCAAAGATGAACAAAATAAGCCAATGGCTGGGAAGTGGGGGCAGGGGATGAAAAGAGATTGGTTAATGTGTACAAAAATAGAATTAGATAGAAGGAATAAGTTTAGTGTTGGACAGCACAGTAGGATGACTATAGTTAACAACGATGTACTGTACATTTCAAAATAGCTGGAAGATTTGAAATGTTCCCAACACAAAGAGAGAATAAATGTTCAAGGGGAAGGATATTCTCATTACCCCAATTGGATCATTGGACATTGTATGCATGTATCAAAATATCATAGATACCCCATAAGTAGGCATAATTATGTATCAATTTAGAAAAAGACAAATAGTCCTTGCTTCTTAGAAGCTCACAGGAGCTAGAGAGAAGTGAGGTGGGAGAGGCACTGGAAACGACTAGAAAACCAACTCCTAGAGTGGTTAAATGACTCTAATGGGGTATAAACAGCCCTCAAACAGACCAGTTCCATAAGAACTAGTTTCAGATTCAAGGGAGATAAGGTGACATTAACAGTTACATTTTCTTTTTTTTCTTTTTTTTTTGCGACAGGGTTTCATTCCCATTGCCCAGGCTGGAGTGCAGTGGTGTACTCTCAGCTCACTACAACCTCTGCCTCCTGGGTTCAAGCAATCCCCCTGCCTCAGCCTCCTGAGTAACTGTTACTACAGGTACTCACCACCACACCCAGCTAATTTTTGTATTTTTAGTAGAGACAGGGTTTCATCATGTTGGTCAGGCTGGTCTCAAACTCCTTAAGTGATCCACTTGCCTCAGCCTTCCAAAGTGCTGGGATTACAGGTGTGAGCCACTGTGCCTGGCCAACAGTTACATTTTCTAAAGTGAGTAATGTAAGTATGTATATAGGTACAGGCTTGTTTCTAATCAGTAGAATTGGTGGCTCCAAGTAGCTGCCTGTAAAGCTATCATTTACTTACTGAAGGTTTTCTATATGCCAGGGACAGGGCTAATTGTGTTACATGTATTATCTCATTTAGACCTCATAACAATTCTGTGACGTTGGAATTATAATTTCCATCTTACAGATGAAGAAACAAGTGTTCCAGAAAGGCTGTGTGACATGCTAAGCTATAACAGGCAGAGCCAGTCCTGGGCCCTAGCTTGATCTGACCTTCAAACTCTTAATTCTTCAGCATTTGGCTACGTGGCCATTCTCCATACACCACACTCAGGAAGTTATTTTTTATAGAGATGGGGTTTCACCATGTTGCCCACGCTGGTCTCGAACTCCTGAGCTTAAGCAATCTGCAAGCCTCAGCCTCCCAAAGTGCTGGGATGACAGGCATGAGCCTCCATGCCCAGCTGAGACCCTAACATTTTCATGAACATGATCTCATTTAACCATCAACAAAGTTCTTAGGAGGCAGCACAGACAGTATTAATCTTATTTCCCAATGCTGGTAAAGGACTTAAACATATAATGGAAGATGGGCATGCTAAATACGCAAATTAAAAGTCTGACTACACTAATGGTCTAAAAATTATCTTTGAAGAAACCTTGGCCTTGAGTGTGACCCCTCTCCAGTGACCACCACTCCATTGAGACCCAAACTTCCCCTTCCCTGCTGTATCTCCCCTCCGTGTAAAGGAAAAAGAAAAGAAAAAAAAGTTTTAGGCTGGGTGCAGTGCCTCATGCCTGTAATCCCAGCACTTTGGGAGGCCGAGGCAGGCGGATCATGAGGTCAAGAGATGGAGACCATCCTGGCCAACACGGTGAAAACCTGTCTCTACTAAAAAATACAAAAATTAGCTGGGCATGGTGGCACACGCCTGTAGTCCCAGCTACTCAGGAGGCTGAGGCAGAAGAATCACTTGAACCCGGGAGGCAAAGGTTGCAGTGAGCTGAGATCGCACAACTACACTCCAGCCTGGCGACAGAGTGAGACTCCATCTCAAAAAAAAAAGTTTTATAATGTGGGTTTTGGGGAACAGGATGGATTAACCGTGTCATATCTCAGTTTTAGTCTTGCTGCTATATTTCATAGACATGTTTTTACTTTTGATCTACATGAATCTTTGTAATAATCTGGCCATGTTGCAATGAAGCCACACCTGAGAAGGTCATACAGTAACCTTGTTATTTCTCACAAATCTGAGTTCTGGCTCTTAAACCAGGTGAATACTTTATTTCAGTTAACAACAGACCACATAAGATGTGGTCCCGGCTGGGCACAGTGGCTCATGCCTGTAATCCCAGCACTTTGGGAGGCTGAGGCAGGTGGATCACCTGAGGTCAGGAGTTCAAGACCAGCCTGGCTAACATGGTGAAACCTGTCTCTACAGAAATACAAAAATTGGCCGGGTGTGGTGGCTCACACCTGTAATCCCAGCACTTTGGGAGGTCGAGGCGGGTAGATCACCTGAGGTCAGGAGTTCAAGACCAGCCTGGCCAACATGGTGAAACCCCATCTCTACAAAAATACAAAAATTAGCTGGTGTGGTAGCATGTGCCTGTAATCCCAGCTACTTGGGAGGCTGAGGCGGAAGAATCACTTGAATCCGGAAGGCGGAGGAGGTTGCAGTGTGCTGAGATCGTGCCATTTAACTCCAGTCTGGGTGACAGAGCGAGACACTGTCTCAAAACAAAACAAAACAAAAAAAAAGTGGTTCCATAAGATTATAAAACAGTTTGGCACTACTCATTAAAAAAAAATACACACTGTATTTTTACTGTACCCTTTCTATTTTTGGCTGTGTTTAGATTCACAATGACCCTGTTACGAATGCCTACAGTATTCAGTACAGTACATGCTGTAAAGGTTTTTAGCAACAGGCTGGACCATATAGTCTAGGGGTGTAATAGGCTATACCATCTAGATTTGTCTAAGTATACTGTTATGAAGTTCAAACAACAAAATCGCATAACAATATATTTCTCAGAATGTTTCTCTATTGTTAGGTGATGCGCAACTGTGTGACAACTTGTGAAATCATTTAGTAAATACTGGCATATGTACATAATGGACTACTATATAGCTATTTAAAAGGATATCTACTAGGTGTCTTATAGATAGTAATATGCTTACTTAGGTACAAACAGGATATCAAAGTTTATATGGAACTAAGCAACCTCTCAAAAAAACCCTATGCCTACTGAACAAAAAGAAAGACTGGATGGAAATATAGACCACAAGTACATACATCAAAACAATACATTGTACACCATAAATATATACAGTTTTCACTTGTCAGTTGTACCTGAGGGAAAATAAATAAATAGGAAAAAAAGAGATACATATCTGAAATTATTAAGTACCAAACAGGACTTTGAAAGGTATTACTTATGAAATCATAGATACGTTTTTTTTTCAGAAGGGAACATTTTCACTGTGTTCAATCTGATAGAACCTTTTAGGTTTTTTCTCATGGACTCTTTTCCTGACATTGTATACTTTCTGAAGTATTCATATTCGAATTTCTCAAATCTACTTTCAGTAATTCTATGACAACAAATGTGTTTGATTTAAATAAAAAAGGAAATACTTACTCCAGATTTTACTCAAAGTCTCAGCGGGTTTGGTAAACTGAATAATATTACATTCCTTGATAAGTTTAGTTATCAGTGTAAGAAAACTAAACAGAAGGCGATCTGCAGCTTTTTCTTCAGTTTCTTCCATGATCTAAAAACAAGACGGATGTAAATCAATGAAAACAACAATCTGAAAGTATCTGATGGACAATTTTACTCCAGCACATCAATCCACCCGTTTCTGAACCTCCCTCGGCACTCCTGACATTGTGGGCCAGATGATCCTTTCCTGTGGGGGCTGCCATGTGCACTGTAGGATGTTACCAGCATCCCTGCTCCTCTATGCTCTAGATCCCAGTAGCACCTCCACCCTCCAGTTGTGACAATCAAAAATGTTTCCAGACATTGCCAAATGTCACCTGGGGGGGTAAAATCGCCTGAGTTGAGAACCTTTGATCTTCATATACCATGAAGATACTTTAACTTGAATCCCCCAACCCCCCATTTTTTTTTTGAGTCAGGGTCTTGCTCTGTTAGCCAGGCTGGAGTACAGTGGCACGGTCCTCCTGCCTCAGCCTCCTGAAAAGGTGGAAATACAGGCATGCGCTACCATGCCTGGCTATAATGCTCATTTTAAAAAGTTCCAATTACACTGAATTTTTGCTTTTATGATAAAGGACACTGTTTGAACACAAATATTTAATTGATTAGCTATAAATAGCTATAGCTATAAATATAAATATTTAACCTATAAGCTGATATCTAATCTGTTAGCTACATCACCTCAAGTAAAACTATAAGTTAGAAAAGTTTTATTCCCTAGCAAATTACTTACATCTTTAAAGTTTTCAGGATCAATTTCCTTTTCAATCACAGGAAGGACAGTTCCAAGTCTTTTCTCAAAATCAACTCCTTCACTTTCCACAAACAAGCCACAGATCAGGGCAGCAAGTTGTCTATTTAAGCGCTACCAAAAATAAACCACAAGACAATGTCAAGAGAACTTGGGAGGCCTTTACTGAAACTGTAAAATAAAGGTGGGCATTATTTTGTCCTCAACATTCAGAGAAAATAAACATTTCTTTCTGATGCCAGAAATCAGTAAATTATGGAGCTTTGATGGCCAATATACAAAATGTGGGGAAATTTTTACACTCAAGAATAACATTTTAAAAAGAGGCATTATTATTATCCAGTGAATACTTTAATTTTTTTTTCCATTTTTAATTAAAAGGAAATGGAAAGAAGTCTCATGCCCACCCCACATTAAGTGGGTATGCAACAAGTTACTCATTAACACAGGGCACATGTTGTTTATGTTTCACAAAGATGGGCCAACAATGATGGTGGCAGAGGTACCAAGTGGATAAAAATTACATTTCAGTAATCGAATATGCAAAATTGGAAACAAAGGTATTCATCATTAGGAGCTGGTTAAGTAAATTATGTTACATTCATGTAGTGGAATACTTTCCTAACAATAACATAGTAGGAATACGGGTGATTTTTATATTACTTTTTATTTATTTTTTTTTTTTTTGAGACGGAGTCTCGCTCTGTCGCCCAGGCTGGAGTGCAGTGGCGGGACCTCGGCTCACTGCAAGCTCCGCCTCCCGGGTTCACGCCATTCTCCTGCCTCAGCCTCCCAAGTAGCTGGGACTACAGGCGCCCGCCACTACGCCCGGCTAATTTTTTGTATTTTTAGTAGAGACGGGGTTTCACCGTTTTAGCCGGGATGGTCTCGATCTCCTGACCTCGTGATCCGCCCGCCTCGGCCTCCCAAAGTGCTGGGATTACAGGCGTGAGCCACCGCGCCCGGCCTATATTACTTTTTATAACTTCTTACACTTTGGAAAACTTTAAGAATATACTATTTGCATAATCAGACAAAAATAACACTATTTGGGAAAAAAACCAATTCAACAGTGTATGACATATATTCTTACTTAAACTATGATCCCCAAAGCTAAGACTTGTCACTGAACTGTGACTAAAAGCAACGCACACCTTTTTTGCTCCAAACCAAGTGGTAACCATATCAAACAGCCAATCTTTTTTCTCGAGGCTGATTTTACCAAGTAGGGACTTGATTGTCATGGATGCCATCTTTTTGCACGTGGCAGAGTCATCATTGATCGTCATTAGACAAAGAGGGATAAAGAACATTCCGCAGTTCTCATGGAGCAGCCCCTAAAAGAAAAGAGGCACGTGTGAGCACTCAGAGTGGAATTCCTACAGATGCTCTAGCAAAGGGGGACTGAGGACTTCCAGGAGTCACGGGGCTTATCTCTGGGGTCACAGTACCTGAGGGAACGTGTCAAAGAGATAGGCGATCATTTCCAAGGTGGACTCTCTCCCGGTCTCATGTTCGTAACTAGGGGAAGGACATTAGGTGGATTTGTTAGTATCTTCTAAATTTACAAATAATTATTTAAAAAATGAAAATATTGTATCAAGGTGTCAGTTTACTTCTTAAAAAAATGGAAAATGCTCTGTTTTCCTAATTTTAATGCTTGTATGTATCCATTAAGCTATCACTGTACAATTTTAAATGTAAGTGTGTCAGATTTCAACATTCTCCTAAGTGGACTCTTATGACAATCAACGGTTAAATTAGATTGAAAAGCAACTCAGAGAACGGCTATATGAAGCCAAGCACAATGTCTGATTATCAAGTCAATGAGTCATATAACAGTATGCTCAGAGAATGTACCATTATACTTAGGCCCCATCCTTTTTAAGACAGCCGCCATGTTAAAGGGAAAGAAGAAACTACCCTCCGCCCCTGTGTAGTTAATAGCTTAAGCTTACTTCAGTTGAGCGAGCATGAATTCCAAGTTTGGTCTCAATTTGTCACCCAGGGGATAGTCAAGAATATATTTCAGAAAAACCTAGGAACAAAAGTCACACAGATGATTATTTGGATCTCACCTCTAGTATTCCTGTTTCCTAAGCTGCTTTCTGGAACTCACTGGTAGGTTATAAAAACTTTACAGAATGGCAATCAATCAGGCTTTCCAATGCACTCCAGCTAAATCTGCCTATGAAGTCAATAGCAACTGTGACCCTTCATTTCTCCCACCATTCATCTGGTCCTGCCCTATGTGCCTGACAGAGGCAAGCCCTGGCCTGCCACTGGCACTGTGGTTTAAGACTACAAATCTAAGCCCACAGGTTGGAAGCTGATCTCTCTGTGACAGGTGGTGACAGGTGTACCACAGTATGGACTGTGGTCCAATCTGGTATCTCCCCTTCAACAAGAATAACAACACAGTGATAATATCAATACTGATAATAATAACTAATGCATTTACTAAAAACCCTCTATGTGCCAAGCACTGCGTTAAGTGTTTCTCAGTTAAATCTCATCATTCCCTTAAGAAGTTCGTGATAATAGCCCATTTTCTAGTTGAAGGGAATGAAGTTGGCCGAGACAATAAGAAACTTGTTCATGTGACACTGCCAGAATTCCATGCCTAGTCTGTGTCCAAAGGCTGCACTTTCAAACCACTATGGTATCTAGCCTCCTTTATTAATAAACTGTGAGAACTAGGCGACATCATTCAAGTTTCCAAGCCTGCCTTTCCCTCGCGGTAAAATGGGGATACCGTTTCTTCTGAAGGGTACCTGTAAACAGAGGTCATGCATTTAAAGTGCTAGGCACACAGCTAGTGCTTAATAGCAGCTGACCCTTCTTCTTCCTAATAGTGGCCAAGCAATTATTTCCAGAGACATGCATCTTGCCTTCCACCCTGGCCTCCTCAGCAGCCCAAACCCACCTGCAACCCTGAGTTCCTATTTCCAACTTAGACCTTTCCACCTCTTTGGGCACAGTATGTGTTCATAAAATTAGAGATTGACAGATGTATAGATATAAACCTGATCCTGTCACTCCTCTCCCTAAGGATTTAAATAGCTCCTTGCTATTCTTAGAACAAAGCCCCACCAGGCACCATGGCTCACGCCTGTAATCCCAGCACTTTGGGAGGCCAAGGTGGGTGGATCACAAGGTCAAGAGATCAAGACCATCCTGGCCAACATGGTGAAACCTCATCTCTACTAAAAATACAAAAATTAGCTGGGTGTGGTGGTGCATGCCTGTAGTCCCAGCTACTCAGGAGGCTGAGGCAGGAGAATCACTTGAACCTGGGAGGTGGAGGTGGCAGTGAGCCGAGATCGCGCCACTGCACCACTCCAGCCTGGTGACAGAGTGAGACTCCGTCTCAAAAAAAAAAAAAAAAAAAAAAAAAAGAACAAAGCCCCAAATCTTTAACAAGACCACAAGGTCCTGCCCAACCTGGCTCCCCACCCCTCAATTCACTTACCTGTGTTGAGCTCCTCAACCAAGCTAAGCTCTCACTCACCTCAAGCCTCTACTGCCCCCTCACCTTGAAAGCTAAGCCTTTTTCTTCCTTCAAATTTTGGCCTGCCTGTCAGTCCCCAGAAAAAGCCTCCCCTGACCACCTGCACCAGGACGCCCAAGTCTCAGCATAAAGCAACAATACGACACAAGGTGGTCTTCAGAATTCAGCCAGTGTTGACACCTCTGCCACAAAGATGCGGCAGGGCCCAGCCCTTGCTATGGGGATAAGTGCTCTCTACAAACCTGTCTACACTGGACCCTGGCAGGTTCGCTTTGTGCAGAGACTGCCAACTTGGATACTTTCCGCATGACCTCATCGATTTCTGGGACCAACAGCTTTCTTGATAAAATTGCCTAAGATACAAAAGGAAAAGACATACTCATTTCATGTGTTTTGCTGCAGATGCGTGGAAGCAGATTTGACGCTAAAGCAACCACAGGACATTTTCAAACACAAGAAAGTATCTTCAAAAGAAAAAGGATAGACACTTAAGCACAAAGAACACACAACCCTTAAACATAACACTTCAAATGGGTAAAAATGGTGAATTTTTTAAAATGGTGAGTTTTATGTTATGTACATTTTACTAAGAAGAAAAACATATAAATAAAAACAGAATACCTGTATTTGTACAGAATTCCCCGGAAATGTTAATACAGAGCTCACATTTAAACATTTTTCATAAGCAAATGTTCACCTGTAATTGACCCACCAAAATCATAATAATCTTTACAAATTACTCAATTTCAGAAGTCTATGACTAGTCAAAACACTATGATCTATGTGTTCAAAATATCTGCTGTGAAACTCATAAACCGTAACAGTCAACATTCTGGCGACAGCATACCTTCAGAAGACCAAAGGCAGTGGCTTGTCTTGAAGTATCATAAATGTCCTCCTCAGCATAGGCCAGTAGAACTTGGAGCTGTTTTTCAGTTATCTGGTAAGACTTGACTTTCTTGACAAGTATGGTCACACACTGCAAGTTACAATAGTGATGTTAACAGCCAGCACATCCCACAGTTGGGATCCAGTGAAATGACAAGGACTTAACACAACACACAAGTATGCTTTTCCAAACAGGGTGCCAGCCCTCTAGCCTTGGCAAATTACTCTGGAAAAAATTTTGGCCATAACCACAAAGGGCAATGGGGAAAACTAACTTTGATGTTAATCCTGGTTCTAGCTTTTTATGAGTCAGGGTCTCGCTCTGTCACCAAGGCTGGAGTGCAGTGATGTGATCATAGCTCACTGCAGCCTCTAACTCCTGTCAAGTGATCCTCCTGCCTCAGCATCCCAAGTAGCTGGGACTACAGGTACACATCACCATGCCCAGCTAATTTTTTTTTTTTTTTTTTATGTAGACACGGGGTCTCGTTATGCTGACCCAGCTGGTCTTGAACTCTTAGGCTCAAGTAATCCTCCCACCTCAGCCTCCCAAAGTGCTGGGATTATAGGTACGAGCTATTGCATCCAGCTCCATCCTGGCTTTTTCCAAGGGCAAGTGAAGACATCTCACCTTGAAACAATTGACCACAAGGTGGAAGTTCTGGCCCCTGGCGGCCCCGAGCTTTGCATAGTCCTTCAGCAGAAGGAAGAGGTGTTTTGTCAGCTGCTCTGCTTTTGTTTCTATGGAAGGTAGCGGGAACCTCAAGACCCAGATGAGGCACTGTAAAGCACCTGTGATCACCTGAAAAAAACAAAACAAAACACCACCAACTTGTGATGTGACCGAATCCAACTATGCAGCACCTGAGGCTATGCAGACTCTTTAAATGATTGTGCTGAATAAATAAGATGCTAAGCGCAGCCCACTCTGGAAGAACTGTGCCCAAAATGTAAGAAGATAAAGACATTTACAATTCCTGGTTGTAGAAGAATTTATTGCTTATCCGTAACAATGGATCCTTATGATGGTAGATCATGAGGAAATAAGAAAAGGCACCATATTCTTTTTACAATTTAATCTTTGTTTAAACATTTTTGGGCTGGTCTTGAACTCCTGGGCTCAAGCAATCCTCCTGCCTCAGCCTCCCAAGTGCTGGGGTCATAGGCCTGAGCCACCATGCCCAGCCATATTTTTAACCTACTTATAGGGGTTTATGGAGGTTATATGATTTGGATAGGTTGGTCAATTTTACAATTTTTTTGGAAAAATACATCTTAAATGACTTTTCTGTTTTCTAGAATGGTACTTTAATGTAATCTACTCTTACTAAGCTTGAATTAGGTATACAAGGCACTCTACTGGGTATTATAAATACAAAGATAAAAAGGATACCATCTCTGCATTTATGCAGCAGACAGTTAACTCAGAAATCAGGCACGGGAACAATTGACTATCATTTAATATAGTTAAGTGCTATGGCAAAAGACATGGAAAAAGTGTGCTGAGATCCCTGAACCTCTAAGGCCAAACCTTTGAAAGCACCGGGATCAGCTAGTTCAGCTCCATCTAATAACACCCGTGCTGCTCTGGCTGCTGAGAACTCTTCAGTGGGCTGGATTAAGACACAGAAGAGCGAGCTTGGGAGTCGGAAAGACCTTGGCTTACATCCCAGCTCTGCAACTGATTACCTGTTTGACTCTAGAGATGTTACTTAACCTCTCGGCACCTAGGTTCATAGCCTAGATCTGTACCTAGGCCCTCGCCCTAATTTTCTCATTTATAAAACATAAATAGTAAGAATATATGCCTCAGGGGTGGTTGTGAGGATCAGAAATAATGTTCTTGGGATTCATAGCATGGAGCAGTAATAGTGACAAAGGTGATGATGATGATGATTGGTAAGGGGACAAAATCATTCACCCTCATGAAGTTGTGAGGATCCAGTGACATACTTAAGGTACCTAGGAGGGCTTTTAGAACTGTTAAAGGCTATCCAAATTTATAGAATTAGTAAATTGAGAAGTGATTTAATGTAGCAAATAGTGGTGGTTCACGATGTCATAAATCTCTTTAAAAACTCAATAATCTCGGCCGGGCACGGTGGCTCATGCCCGTAATCCCAGCATTTTAGGAGGCCAAGGAGGGTGGATCATCTGAGGTCAGGGGTTCGAGACCAGTCTGGCCAACAAGATGAAACCCCGTGTCTACTAAAAATACAAAAGTTAGCCGGGCGTGGTGGTGTGCGTCTGTAGTCCCTGCTACTTGGGAGGCTGAGGCAAGACTGAGGCAAGAGAATCCTTTGAACCTAGGAGGTGGAGGTTGCAATGAGTCAAGATTGCACCACTGCACTCCAGCCTAGGTGACAAAGTGAGACTCTGTCTCAAAAAAAAAAAAACCCAAAAACCCCAAAAAACCCACCAACCAAACAAAAACACCTCAATCATCTCATAAAGCTTGAGCCCAAATACAACCATTAGGTATTCTGCAAAACATAGTTCTTCTGAAGAAATAAATGCTCCAATGCAGAGTGCAAACCGATGCTTACCTTCACATCCATGGAGCCCAGGCAGTCTATGAGGAGAGACACAAAAGGATCCAGCATTTCCAGGACACATTCACCTGAAGACTTGATCTTGGAAGTCTTCAGACTCAGATGCAGCAGCTAAGAGAGTTCAAACAGGTATTTCACATTAGTTGCCCATTAGACCAGATGAGTTAGGTAAATGTGAAATGATGTTCAGAGAAAAGCAAGAAATGTTAAGATACTTCTATTAGAAATGATAAAACATTTTTAAGGAATGACAAACTGCCTGGGAGGGTCTCAGTAAGTCAAAGTGAGAGCTCGCTGTGCAGCTGAGATGCTACCACTGTTTACCAGTCAATTTTCTCAGCATCTACTGTGATTCCAGGCACTGGCTCAGTACGCAGGATATGGCAATAACCAGGATGGACATGGTCTCTGTCTTGATGGATCTTAGCTAGACTCTAAGGAAATGATGATGTGTACAGGTAGGGTGCTTTGAGAGTTCTGTGGGAATCTTTGTAGAGCAAAGAGTGGGTGGTGAGTTCCTAGGGCAGGAAAGAGTATGGTGACTTTCTAGATGGGAAGGGAAGCCAGGGTGGCTGGAACGTGTGTTAGAAAAATGCGAGTCAATGAAGGGTTTTAAAAAGGAAATGATTAGATTTATGCTTTTAAAAGCTCACCGTCTTTTATTTTATTTTTATTTTTATTTTTTAGAGACAGGGTCTCACTATATTGTCCATATTGGAGTGCAGTGGTGCGTTAATAGCTCACTGCAGCCTCAAACTCCTGGGCTCAAGTGATTCTCCCACCTTAGCCTCCTGAGTAACTAAGACTACAGGTACGTGCCATCATGCCTGGCTAATTAAAAAAAATTTTTTTTTGTAGAGATAGAGTCTTGCTATGTTGCCCAGGCTGGTTTCAGACTCCTCTCCTCAAGTGATCCTCCTGCCTTAGCCTCCCAAAGTGCTGGGATTATGGGTGTGAGCCACCATGTCTGGCCACTCACCATCTCTTAAAAAAATTCAAAGTAGTTCAGAGGGACTCATGGGCAAAGCATCAGTAAGACCTTAATACATATTAGAGCAGAATCATTAATTCTGGGACAGTTACATCTTCAATGTAAGTGCTGCAAGAGATAAATAGTAAATGGACCAATGCACCTGTAAAAAAAAAAAATCTAAAATGTATTTACAGTAAGGCATTTCCAATGGAAGTGAGCAGTACTAGAAATTCAACAGAAGACTAAAAGGTGCAGACTCCCTGAAAGTAGCAAGTCTCATTTTAAGGTTAATTCTTACCCGAAGCCCGGACTCAATAAATATGTGCATGTTGGTTTTCCTGCTCACAACAGCTTTCTGTCCACCTCGAACTGGAGTTGGGGGAAGCAGAAGGCAGCTCTGGGGTGGTAGACGTGGATCTGGTGCTGGGGCTACTGGATTTCTGTCAATCACGTGGCATGAGAAGAGGGTAAAGAACACTGTCAGCTGCATTCCAAGAAGTTAGAGTGGCCCTTCTAAAGTGACGAGAGCCCAGCACTAAATAATGTGCCATTTGCTTGGGTTTTGCCCCTCCCCAAACCCCCAAACCATGAGATACAGAAGAGATTATTAGGCTGTTGATTAAGGTTACTAGGACAACATATTTATATTAGGATCAACAGCAGGATACTCCCTTGTTTGATTTCTGAAAATAAATGCCAACGAGTCTCTCTTAGACCATAGAAGCAAGACCAAAATGAAGTTTACTAATATATAAGATTTTGTTTTTTGAGACAGTCTTGCTCTGTTGCCCAGCCTGGAGTACAGTGGCGCGATCTCGGCTCACTCCAACCTCCGCCTCCCGGGTTCAAGTGATTCTCCTGCCTCAGCCTCCTGTGTAGCTGGGATTACAGGTGCCCAGCACCATGCCTGGCTAATTTTTGTGTTTTTAGTAGAGAATGGGGTTTCACCAAGTTGGCCAGGCTGGTCTTGAACTCCTGACCTCAGGTGATCTGCCCTCCTTAGCTTCCCAAAGTGCTGGGATTACAGGCATGAGCCACTGTGCCCAGCCTGTAAGATATTTTAAAATCTTTTAAGGTCTCAATCTCTGTTTAATCAAAATACAAGATACAGATTTAAAATCTATCCTATCTTTGAATCAATAAATCTTTTTAAAAAATGGTATCAGAGAAATGCCAAAATAATTGGCTGTTGTCACTGCTACCTCATTTATGAGAAAATCTCATGTTGAAATGTATCACACCATAAAGTACCATCTGAGAACTCAGGTGGATATAATTTTATTTTTTACTAAAGCAAATTATTAAAACAACCCACAGAATGGCTTATCAGACGCAGAGACCTAAATGACAGTTTGTTTTTTTTCCAACTTACTTTTCTTTCTCTGTTAACAGGGGAAGATTTTCACTGATCAAACCATAACTGAGTAATAGAATGGATTCAGCTGTCATTTCCTGATTTACAATTAATCCCACTGTGATTCGGCGTAAAGTTTCATGAACTTTCCGGGCCAGTTTCAAACTCGTGGTATTTTGTAAGATCTAAAGGCAAAACATAAATGTCATGCTGAGATGACACAGAAATGCATTTTGATTTGTCATAATGGCAGTTTTCTTTTATATATTAGCTTTCTAATATACGTTTGGCTTTCTCCTAATTAAAAAGCATTCTTAATATAATTTCAAACACAGATATAACATATAAGGTGAAAGTTAACTATAATCTCAATCCCAGGAAGAACCACTGTGCAGGCTTGTGAGCCTCGGGGTTTCCTCCACTCCCTCCCTGTTCTCTGCTGGTGAGGCCTCAGGGCACAATGCCAGAGATATGAGACTTCTAAGTTAACATCAACTCTCCTGGTACATTAACAGGGGTGACTTAGAGGCAAACACACACACACACACACACACACACACACACACACACAATCAACAAAATGTATTCACTCCTCATAGAAAACCACGAGAATGAAGTGCTACTATGGCCAAGCCTCAGGGTCTGATATCAATTATTGGGCCAAATCAGAGGAACCTAATGGGAACCAGGATCAGCAACCTCAGGAAATACTTGGTGCTTCAGAGCTATTATCTTGCATGAGACATGGTATTAACTCTCAATACCTTGGAGGGACTTTTTAATATACATCACGGATATATGTGCTCTGTTGACTCTTTTTCATCCTGAAAATGCATCTAACATTCTTAGATAAGGCTCACATAAAACTAAATGCATTCTAGGAGTAATTATGGAGTTCATCTAGCACCAGAACATTTAGACCTAATGTAATTCATGTCAATAGATAGTGCTCTTTGCTCTAGTTTTAATACACAAAACTAATAAATTAATAACATTTACTGGATGTTCACCTCTGCAACAGGCACAGAAATCAATAGGAAGGTGGGTAAATTACATTCCCTGATCTTCAGGAGGCAGAATGAAACCATGGTAGGAATGTGAACTTGGATCAGAAAGATCTGGAACTAAACCCTATACCCTGACTTTTCTCTTTAACCATGTTCCTTTCTACCTTTCCAAGCCTGAATTTTCTTATTTGTAAAATGGAAGTACCATCAATCTCACAGGGTGTGCAGATTAGGAGAGATAATGTAGCAGTGCTTAGAATATAATATGTCAATAAATGCCAGTTTTCTTCCTCTTGGCAACCTGGAAGTGGCAATTTGTCCAAAGGCTTTCTAATATATATTTACTCCTAACTAAAATGAATTTCTTTGTAAATGTAAATATACATTTTTAAATAGAGACAGGGTCTTGCTATGTTACCCAGGCTGGTCTCAAACTCCTGGGCTCAAGCAATTCCTCCCGCCTTGGCTTTCCAAATTGCTGGAATTACAGGTGTGAGCCACCATGCTTGGCCTAAAACAAATTCTTAATAAAATTTCAAACATGGACATAACATATAAGGAAATGTTACTCACAACCTCAACCTCAAAGATAAGCACTATGCGGCTTGTGTGCCTCTGGATTTCTTCATGTTCTTAGCTGCTGACTTGACCCAGCTATAATATTCACCTGCACTCAATTCTTGTTGCCTTTCTTTCTCATCTCATGGTTTACATAGGGGACTATGATTTTTGAATCAAAGCATTCACTCACTGGCCATATGGTCCTGGGGCCCTATCACCAAAGGAAATCATGGGTGATCAAGAACAGTGTTTCAGTTTGCCCCGCATGGTTCCTTTTAGGAACTCATGAGATTGTAATGCTGTGATCTCCAGAATTGCATTTACGTCCTTACCTCTTTTAATGGAAGGATGAGTTTTGTAACCTGATCTTTTCCTACAAACTTGCCGAGGATTTCATAAGAGTCGTAACTTTTGCTTCTTCGTGCTTCCATGACTTTGGAGAGGATCTGCTTTACTTCCTTCTCTTCAGCAACAGCACCAAACAACTCATGGTTAAAAATCTTTGGAAGAAAAAGGACAAATGGCAATTATATGCACTCAGCAAGATATGCCAACATAAGCAGTCACTGAAAAAAGGCCCTGGTATGTCCAAATCAAAGAAATGCAAGTTGGACTGGACTCAAATTAGATGGAAGAAATTTCTTTTAGAATGCACTTGTTTTCAATGCAATTTAGGGACCAATTACTAAAAAAACAAACACATAAGAAACACTTAAAGGTGATACTAACGGGAAACAAAGAAAAATCCTTCACAGATGTACATATATAATTGTATGACTTTACAGACAGTTACTTCTTTTTTGATGTACCAAAGAGTAGCTTAATTTCCCTTCAAGAAGTTCTCAGAATATTTGCAATCTAATTAATTATTTACATTCTAATTATAAATTACAAATATTTGCAATCTAATTAATTATTAGTCTAATTAATTACCTTATTTTTTGATACAGAGTCCCACTCTGGCACCCAGGCTGGAGTGCAGTGGCATGATCTCAGCTCATTGCAACCTCCAGCTCCTGGGTTCAAGCAATTCTCGTGTCTCAGCCTCCTAAGTAGCTGGGATCACAGGCATGTGCCACCCCACCTGACTAAGTTTTGTATTTTTAGCAGAGATGGGGTTTCACCATGTAGCACAGGCTGGTCTCAAACTCCTGGTCTCAAGTCATCCACCCACTTCAGCATCCCAAAGTGCTGGGATTACAGGTGTGAGCCATTGTGCCTGGCCTAACGTAAATATTTAAATTGAGATTCAAAATGTTAGTGTCTACATTTTAAAACAAATGAACAAAAGGTTATGTGGCAAATTTATTATCTTCACAATGGTAGCCTCCAAATTAGTATACTATCCAATTTTGTTTTGTTTTGTTTTTTTGAGACAGAGTCTCACTCTGTCGCCCAGGCTGAAGTGCAGTGGCGCGGTCTGCGCTCACTGCAACCTCCACAGCCCAGGTTCAGGGGATTTTCCTGCTTCAGCCTCCTGGGTAGCTGGGATTACAGGTGCGCATCACCATGCCTGGCTAGTTTTTGTATTTTTCTTAGAGACGGGGTTTCACCATGTTGGCCAGGCTGGTCTCAAACTCCTGGACTCAAGTGATCTGCCCACCTCAGCCTCCCAAAGTGCTGGGTTTACAGGCATGAGCCACAGTGCCTGGCCCAATTTTAAAAGTTATTATTAATTTCCGACTGTATTATAAATAAAGCTCCTGTGAACATAACTTATTTCTTAAAAATAGATTCTTAGATGTGACTGAAAATCTTTTCTCATTTCAAAAGCTCTTGATACAAAATGGCAACTTACTTTCCGGAAAGATCATATCAATTTATGACCTCCTTGCAGTGACAGAGTGCCCATCTCGCTTTAGTCTTAGCTCTTTAAACCTCTGCTAATCTAAAAGATGAGGTGTTACATTATTTTCATTTTTATGGGCTATTATTATTTCTTATTTGGTGAATTGATTTTTTTGTGTCGTTGGCCCACTTAAAAAAAAATTAGAATTCGTTTCTGTAAGTCTTACCTCAATCATTATATCTAAACAAGAGTCCAAATCTCCGACCTGCAGCTTATTGGTGAGGCCTTGCAGCAGCATGTGAACGGTGAAAGTCAGCACATGGACCTAACATGAGACACACAGCAACAACATGAATATTAACAATGTCACACTAGGAAAACATAAGATCTAGGAAGCACTGCAAAGAGAACACTCAGAGTTTATATGTCTTTTATTGCCAGGAGAAGCTTCGACAAATGACACATAGTTATTTCACTATCTAAAATCCTGTAACCAAATGATCACTTTGTACCAAAGGTGTTCAGAAACCCACTACCATTCTTAGGATCTATTGTTGTGACTAAACCAGGCCAGTGATTTATAAAGAAAGGCACAAGAGTCTTGAACTTTATTTATTTATTTATTTATTTATTTATTTATTTATTTATTTATTTATTTTTGAGACAGAGTGTTGCTCTTGTAGCGCAGGCTGGAGTGCAATGGTGCGATCTTGGCTCACTGCAACCTCCGTCTCCCGAGTTTAAGAGATTCTTCTGTCTCAGCCTCCCGAGTAGCTAGGATTACAGTCACCCGGCATCGTGACTGGCTAATTTTTTTGTACTTTTTGTAAAGATGGGGTTTCATCATGTTGGCCAGGCTGATCTCGAACTCCTGACCACAGGTGATTTGCCTGCCTCAGCCTCCCTAAGTGCTGCGATTACAGGAGTGAGCCACCATGCCTGGCCAAGAGTCCTGAACTTTAAAGAAAGAAGACCAACCTGTGAATTAAGGAGCTTGCCCATGTTGAATGTAATCAAAGCTTGTAAATAAAATATTATGAAGGAAACAAGTTTTTGCACCCAACAAAAATCAAGCTGATGTTTTCTGAGAGCTTACTACAGGGTAGGTACTATATTAATACCTTACATGTATTAAATCATTTAAGCCTCACTCATCCAATCTATGGAGTAGGTACTACATCATCAGCAGTTTTTAGATGAGGAAGCTGAGGCGCAAAGAGGTCATAGGTAGGAACTGGTGGAGTGAAGATTAGAAACCAGAGTCCCAGGCTCCACAACAGGTTATCCTGCCTCTCAAGCTTTTTGAATTCTTTATGCTGCTTCTAGTGCTGTGAAATTAACAAGGTAAATATCAGATAATGATCATAGGCTAAGGAAACACATTTAGTTGTCAAAACGTAGATTGGGTCTTAAACGCATAGTTTCTTATGTACCTTCTTGTGGTCTTTTATTTTTTTGGAGGCAGAGTCTTGCTCTGTCACCCAGGCTGGAGTGCAGTGGTGCGATCTCAGCTCACTGCAACCTCTGCCTCCCGGGTTCAAGAAATTCTTATGCCTCAGCCTCCCGAGTAGCTGGGATTACAGGCATGTGCCACCATGCCAATTTTTATATACAGATATTTTTTAGTAGAGACAGGGTTTCAGCATGTTGGCCAGGCTGGTCTTGAACTCCTGACCTCAAGTGATCTGCCCGCCTCAGCTTTCCAAAGTGCTGGGATTACAGGTGTGAGCCACAGCATTCGGCCCCTACTTGTGATCTTTAAGTACTTTTATATATAGACGGTTCCCGACTTACAATGTTTTGATCTATGATTTTTCAACTTTATGATGGATTTATTGGGACACTGTCTCATCATAAAAGTCAAAAAGCACCTGTACTTGAAATGTTTGCTGTGAAATTAACATACATATTTTGAGACAGGGTCTTGCTATGTTATCATGCTGGTTTTGAACACCCTGGGCTCAAGGTGTTCACCTCCCACTTCGGCCACCTGAGTTGCTGGCACTAAAGGTACACACCACTGTGCCCAACTTTCCTGTAACTGTAAAAAAACCTTTTGGTGGAGGTGAGGATGACGAGTGATGCTCGAAGAGAACAATTTTGGTACAGTCTACATGATTAACACTAAAGCTGAAATCAGTTGTTCTCTCAACTCTAATTTAGTTATTTTAACTAATAATGGGATAGACTTGAAGAACAGATGGTTAGAGAAAAAAAGGGCTACTCATTTAAACACCTCAAGTGTTCCTTAAAAATGTGTGCATGAATCCTCAAGAACAGAGATGTAGTCCTCCTTGTATGTCCAGTTCTCAATATACCATGTCTCGCAATGCTGTGGTGGTGGCAGTGGCCTTGAAACGGGGAAGGGCAGGAGCTACAACTCTGGGAGGGGAAGCTTCCTCTCCATTCATTGGAACTACAGTTCTGAGAGGGTTGGCCTAGTCTAGTTGCTTTTCTCTTTCTGTGCTGCCATTGCTTGGCCCCTGACATGGGCACAGCTGCAGGAGGCACATGGCAGAGTGGGAAAAATAAAGCCCCAGTTTTCTAGCTGAAAGACTGAAACAAATGCAAAAATTAAGTGTCAGCAAAGAAACAGAAGATCTAAAGAAAAAATAAATGAAAATTTTAGAACTGAAAAACCCAAAAACTGAAATAAGAAACTCATTGGATGAGCTCAATTGCAGAAAGATATGAAAGAGGGAAGAGTCAGTGAAGCTGCAGATAGACTGAAAGAAATTATCCAACCTAAACAGAGTGGAAGAAGAGCTATATATATATATATATACACACACACATACATACACACACACACACACACACAGCCTCAGGAACCAGTGGGAGAAAAATAAACATTCATTTCACTGGAGTCCCAGGAGAGGAGAAAGAGTGCACTGCAGGAAATTTACTTTAAAAAATACTGGGGCTGGGTGCAGTCGCTCACGCCTGTAATCCCAGCATTTTGGGAGGCCAAGGCAGGCAGATCTCTTGAGGCCAGGAATTTGAGACCAGCCTGGATAACACGGTGAAACTCCATCTCTACTAAAAATACAAAAAAATTAGCTGGGCATGGTGGCTCATGCCTGTAATCCCAGCTACTTCGGAGGCTGAGGCATGAGAACTGCTTGAACCCGAGAAGTGGAGGTTGTAGTAAGCCAAGATCGCAGTGCACTCCAGCCTGAGCAACAGAGCAGGACTCTGTCTCCAGAAACAAAAGACAACAAAACAAAAAAACAAAGAAATACTGGCCGAAGTCTTCAAATTTGGTCAAGAAGCTCAGAAAATGCCAACCAGAGTAAACCAAAGAAATCCACACTTAGACACATCATGATCAAACTGCTGAAAAATAACGATAAAGTCTTTAAAGCAGCCTGAGAAAAACAGCATATTAGTAAGAGGGGGACAACAAATTGAATAACTCATCAGAAAGGTAGGAAGGGATGCTTCATAATTTATAAGTGTGATGGTTGGGTTTCTATGTTTATGGGTGAGATATGTCTCCCTCAACCTTGTTACAACAGTTGGGCATTATCTGCCTGATGTGGGAAAAAAAAGAAAAGAAAACAAAGGCTAGAAGGAAATAGAACAATATTTTTAAAGGAAAGAACTAAACAGCTAAAAAGAAAGAACTGTTAAAGTGAAATTATATATCCAGCAACAATATGTTTCAGGAATGAAGGTAAAAGGAAGACATTCATAGAAGAAAGAAAACTAACAGAATCTGTTCCCACCATGCCTGCTCCACCACATTGCTAAAGGACACCCTCTAGACTACGGCAAAATGATATTAGAAAGAAGTGTGGAAATTCAGAAATGAAGGAAGAACAGCAGAAATAGTAAATATCTAGGTAGAACAGACTACTCTCCTCTTGAGTGCTTAAAACTTGTTTGACAATTATAAGCAAAAATTATAACATTGCCTAATGAAGTTTTCAGTATACGGAGACGTTAATACATAAAGAGCTATAATACAAAGGGTGAAGGGCAAAGGGCCATACAGGGTGATATGGTTTCTACATTCCACTTGAATTGGTAAAATACTGATTCTCAGTAGACTATTGAAATATATGGTAATCGATAGAGCAACTACTAAAAATCTATACAAAGAAAGATAGTCAAAATGAATGTGACATTTCTTAGTGTGTTAGACTTACAGTCTGTAGACTAGGAACCTTACCCATCAACAAACTAGGATGTACAAAGTAAAGCTAACTACCAGGAGTCTTAATCACGTCGACTGTACCAAAATTGTTTTCTTTGAGCATCATTCTTCACCCCCACCCCAACAAGTAATATGGCTGCTTACTTGAAAAGAAGCTGCAGCGTTCCTCAAACTTTAAATCACCCAGGGATCATATGAAAATGCAGTTTCTGTAGGGTCAGGTGTAGGACCTTTAAATCCTACATTTCTCACAACCCCTCAGATGCTGCTGATACTGTCTGTCCAGGTGCCATGCTTGGAGCAGCGAGGGGCTAGATACCACGTAACTACTTGGAGTGCTGTATATTCCACTTGGCGCTCTTATTTTATTTTTTGAGACAGGGTTTCACTCTGCAGCCCAGGCTGGAGTTCTGTGGCATGATCACAGCTCACTGCAGCCTTGACCTTCCAGGCTCAAGCAATCCTCCCACCTCAGCCTCCTGAGTAGCTGGGACCACAAACGTGTGCCACCAAACTTGGCTATTTTTATTATTAGTTTTTGTAGGGAAAAGGTCTCACTATGTTAACCAGGCTGGTCTTGAACTCCTGGCCTAAAGTGATCCTCCCGTCTTGGCCTCCTAAAGTGCTGGGTATACAGGCATAAGCCACTGCACCCAGCCCCTTATTTTGTAATTTACATTTTATATTCCAACTCTTAAACAGATGTGTATGTTCTTTATCATTCACACCAGTGATAATAGTCAATACACATCCCAAAAGAATTATATTAAGAACTCAGAGAATATAAAACTTGATATGAAGTAATTTGAGAGAAAAAAATAGGTCATGTAACCCAGGCCTATAAGGATCTTTTAAAAATCAGATATAGGAACTATTTAAACAACAGATTTCCTTAATACTAATTGGAAACTTTTGAATATTACTGCTCAGAGTGTCAGTGGATCAAATTTAAAGACAGGCCCAAAGTTCCATAACTTACAGTGTTCAAGCTGCAAATATTTTAACTCCAATACAACTTGAATATAAAGCACAAGATGCAATTTACCTGGTATCCACGGACAAGAGTAGTCTGTAATTCTTTTAAAACATATAGGAGGAAGTGCACACCAAGATCCTCTATTATTTTCGCAAGAGTGCTGCGTGCAATGTCTCTGATTTCTTGGGCTCTGTTCTTGAGTAGGGCACACACTTTCAGCAAAATACTAGAAAATGAGAAGTTGAAAAATGACTAATCAAATAAACAGAAGCAATTAAACATACACATATCCTTTAGTCTCTTAATTACTCGTAACTCAAATTTTCCTGTTAATATTCGAAACCACAGCAAGTTATGACAGTACTTTTTCCTCTTCCTGACAAAAGAGACTCAAAAGTAAGGAAGAAAAGAACCAATTTTTGAGTTTCACTAAACTTCTAATTTGTTAAAAAACATACCTTGGCAGATTAGCTTCCATAACTTCTTGTGGAAGGGACTGCATTAGTTTAACCATGGCAAAAGCTAATGGAACTCGAACGACTTCCTCATCATTCACAACCTTTGACTTGACAAGCTTGTGTTCTTCTTCCCTTTTAGTCTGTAAGAAAAATTTAGGTTAAGCTAAAATGAAAATAAATGGATCAGTGATCTACCAACACTGCAACTTTGTATTTGAAAGACAAGTTTTTCTAGAAGGATGGATGATCATAAAAAGAAGAAAGAAAAGGCTGGGTGCGGTGGCTCATGCCTGGAATCCCAGCACTTTGGGAAGCCAAGGTGGGCGGATCACCTGAGATCGGGAGTTTGAGACCACCCTGACCAACCTGGAGAAACCCCGTCTCTACTAAAAATACAAAATTAGCCGGGCGTGGTGGTGCATGCCTGTAATCCCAGCTACTTGGGAGGCTGAGGCAGGAGAATCGCTTGAACCTGGGAGGTGGAGGTTGTGGTGAGCCGAGATCGTGCCACTGCACTCCAGCCTGGGCAACAAGAGGGAAAGTCCATCTCAAAAAGAAAAAGAAAGAAAAGAAAAACAGCTCTTTCTATAGATCTTAAGCCCATTTCTAAGTTTATTTAAAAACAAACCAAATATCTAATTTGAGGATAACCCTTTAAAAATTATAAAAATAACAGGTGTAAGAATGTTCTACTTTTGGAAGAAGCCATGAGAAAAAAATAAAGCCAGATTTTCACCAACGTGGGTTAAGACTGCTGTCAAGTATAGGAAACTCATATAAAACGTGTGTCGGTGGGAACTGTCAACTGTGTGAGTGACACTGTTAGTATATAATAAATACAGGGCCTCAAATAAAGGTTTATTTACAAATATATAAATTTGTATTACAAATATACAAAATATAAATAAATATTTACAAATATACAAAATATAAATCAATATTTTATACCAGGAGTTAGCAAAATTTTTCTGAACAAGGCCATATAGTATTTTTGGCTTTATGGGCTCTGTTGAAGTTACTCAACTCTGCTGTTGTGATGAAAAGGCAGTACTAAACACTACGTAAACAAGTGGATAATTGTGTTCCAATAAAACCGTACAAAAACAGGCCACAGGCTAGATTTAGTCCCTGAGCCATAGTTGGCCAACCCGTGTTTCACCCTGAGAAGGAAGGAAAGGCTCTGGCTTCATGAGAATGCACTGCTGAATGTTATCCCTGTTAACTAGGAAAGATGAATTTTGAATAGTGCAGAACTGACCAGAAAGTAGAAAATGGAAACATTCTAATTTTTAATAACCTTTTTGGGACATGGGAGTCTCTTAATAACTACTTTGGAGATGGAAAAGCATTTATCTACCCTATCAAAATCATAAAGAAGGAGCGTTACTGCTTAGTTGCAGCAGGATAAGCCTGAAGTTGAAGAGATAAGAGTAGAGGGGTGAATTGTGAAGTGTTGAGATAAAAGGAAATCTAAAAGCTGAAATCAATCAATAATCACCAAGAGCCTCAGTGTGACAGGGCTCCACCAACACCAGAATTCACACAGACCTGCTGGACCCCGAATAAATTTATTACCGTAGATGCAAGGCATTTATGTAGCCTGGGGAGAATATCCCCGGTTATGGTTCCTTGGATATTTTTAATTGTTCTCTCTATTTCTTCCTTGTTTTGAGGAAGGAAAGAGACAGGCTTTGTGATACACTCGGATTCTTTAGCTGATGTTCCTCCAGAGTCAGCTGGATCAGGGGTTCCCGGTTGTCCGTTGTCTGACAAACTCTTGCATGTATATTCCTTCTCTTCCTCATCCACACGCTCTAATTCCATGGCCTCAGGCTCTGGTAACTCAATTGCTTCAATTGCGTCTATGTTTAATAAACAACAAAAGTCACCTTAAAGCAAATAATGAAACCACACAGTTGTGGTAAGCAGTTTTTCCCACCAACGTCCAACTTCCGATAAAAAATATCTAATCAGCAACTGTGGGCAGGCAAGGTAAGTGCTGAGGAAAGAGCAGTAAATGAGAGGGCCATGGGTTTTGCTTTCTCACAGTTTAGAGTTTAAAGAGAGACAAATAAACTGCCGATTATAAAAGAACACAGAACTGCAGGTACAGGGTAATTGGGGAACACACTGGGAGGCTTGGGGGGCAGGAACATCTTAACCAAATAAAGCACCTCCCTTCATGAGCATGAAAATCCTAATGACAGCCAACTGCCCAGAGTCTTTGTCAGTTTCTGGTATGCGATTACAATTTTACAAGTTAGTGGGAATTCCTCTTTTCCAATCATCTGAAATAGCTGGTATAGGCTGAAATGATCTACCCCTTGAATGTTTGGTAAAACTTAGCCATAAAACAATCTGTGCCTGGTGTTTTCATCAGATGACTAACTGCAGATTGAATTTCTTTTCTTTTTTTTTTTTTTTTTTTTTTTGAGACAGAGTCTTGCCGTGTCACCCAGGCTGGAGTACAGTAGTGACATCTCAGCTTACCGCAACATCTGCCTCCTGGGTTCAAGCAATTCTCATGCCTTAGCCTCCTGAGTAGTTGAGATTACAAGTGTGCATCACCATGTCCAGCTAATTTTTTGTATATTTAGTAGAGACAGGGTTTCGCTATGTTGACCAGGCTAGTCTCGAACTCCTGGCCTCAAGTGATCCACCTGCGTAGGCCTCCCAAAAGTGCTGGGATTACAGGTGTGAGCCACCGTGCCCCAGCCTAACTGTGCATTCAATTCCTTTAATGGTTAGAAATCTATCTGGATTTTCTATTTTCTTCTAAAGTCAGTTTTTGTATTATATTTTTCTAAGAATTTGTACATCTCAGCCAAGTATTCACATTTATAAATACGAAGATACCTTTTCACTTAATCGTGACGCTTTTTAATTCCTAGTAATGTTTATTACATCTTACATTTTTACAGATCAATCTTGTCAGGCATTTGCCAATTTATAATGTTTAAAAATTTTATTTTAATTTCTTTTTATTTTTAGACATAGGGTCTCACTCTGTCACCCAAGCCAGAAGGCAGTGGTGCTATGGTGATCATAGCTCACTGCAGCCAGCTCCTAGGCTCCACTGATCCTTCTGCCTTAGCCTTCCAAGTTGCTGGGATTACAGTTGTGAGCCACTGTCTCTGGCCCAATTTATAATCTTTTCAAATACTTATTTATTTTTAGCTTTGTTGATCTTTTCTATTGTATCCAGTTTATTTTTCACCAATTGCTGCTTTAATTTTTAATTACTTATTTTCTTACACTTTCTTTCCATTCATTGTGTAATGCTCTTTTCACACAAGAAGGTGATAAAATTGGATTTCTATATAAATAATCTACAGCTCACATTTTTTCACTAATACAATTTAGACTAGCCTTTTCTTTTGTTAAATAAAGTTTTCCAAGAATACTTAAACCATTTATTTTAGCCTCCTTCCTGACTCATTAACTGTCCATTGCTAGTAAGAGCAGACAAAGGGAATAAGTTGAATGTCACCATCTTTAATTAATTACCATACACTATCCAAGAATAAGATGAAAATCTTGTTTAAGAAAGTTTAAGAAACTTACTTTCTTCATTCTCAATTTTTCCCATTTGTTCTTCAAGAGTTTTGTGGTCAAAGTGGAATGCTTCTAACACTATTACTAGCAAACTGTTAAAAAAAAAAGTATACAGAAATGTTCATTTGATTATTAATATCACTGGATTATAAAAGGAGAGGAAATTTAAACACTAATAAACATTAAAATTATTTTTATTAGTATTTTTAATTTTAACAAGTATTAGCATAACCTTATTAATACAAGATAAAAGTAAATTGAGATTACAGAAAGACTAATTCACAAAATATTTTTTAAATTACTTTTTTTTAAATTTATTTATTTATTATTATACTTTAAGTTTTAGGGTACATGTGCACAATGTGCAGGTTAGTTACATATGTATACATGTGCCATGCTGGTGCGCTGCACCCACTAACTCGTCATCTAGCATTAGGTATATCTCCCAATGCTATCCTCCCCACTCCCCCCACCCCACAACAGTCCCCAGAGTGTGATGTTCCCCTTCCTGTGTCCATGTGTTCTCATTGTTCAATTCCCACCTATGAGTGAGAATATGCGGTGTTTGGTTTTTTGTTCTTGCGATAGTTTACTGAGAATGATGATTTCCAATTTCATCCATGTCCATACAAAGGACATGAACTCATCATTTTTGGAAGTCAGTGTGGCGATTCCTCAGGGATCTAGAACTAGAAATACCATTTGACCCAGCCATCCCATTACTGGGTATATACCCAAAGGACTATAAATCATGCTGCTATAAAGACACATGCACACGTATGTTTATTGTGGCATTATCCATAATAGCAAAGACTTGGAACCAACCCAAATGTCCAACAATGATAGACTGGATTAAGAAAATGTGGCACATATATACCATGGAATACTATGCAGCCATAAATTACATTTAAAAAACAAAACAAAAATAAGAAGTTTGACCACACCTGACACCCAGTTTTTGATTGATCTGTCCCGTTTGTAAGACATGAATGAAATGTTTCAAGTAATACATATACGCTGACCAAGAGAGATGTTTGCAAATGGCTCCAATAATCTCTGTGGCAGCAGTGGTTATATTTTCATGCTGTAAAACAAATCAAGAACATCAATGCAGAACAAGTATTTGCTAATAAAATGCAAGGCTAACTCAGTATATTGAAAAAGTTAGTAAGTTCTCAGTAATTACAGAAGAGAAAGAATGTCCAAACTATACTAATTTTTTCCCTCTAACCCCAGGAAAACATGCTATAGATTTAAAGGAATGACATCATTCTTTAAAGGCTATTAACATATTTTGGACTCTTTTCCACTCAGACCTCCCTGATAGGTTCAAGACTACAGAAAGCGAATGAAATAAATTCAATGTAGAAAAATCGACAAATGACAAAAACTATATATTGTGCTACTCAGCCCTCAAAAGTACATTGTCGGTGGTGGGGGTCGAGGGGAGGGAGATCATCGGAAAAATAGCTAAAGCATGCTGGGCTTAATATCTAGGTGATGGGTTAGTAGGTACAGCAAACCACCACGGCACATGTTTACCTATGTAACAAACCTGCACATCCTGCACATGTACCCTGCAACTTTTATCAAAAAAAAAAAAAAAAAAAAAGTACACTGCCTCAGAGACACCTCTTTCAGGCCATGATGAAAAACAGAGAGTGGACTTACCTTTAGACCTTAAACTAGAAAAGCAGGCAAAATACATGAAACGGACCAGGCGCGGTGGCACACGCCTGTAATCCCAGCACTTTGGGAGGCCGAGGCTGGTGGATCACAAGGTCAGGAGTTCAAGACCAGCCTGACCAACATGGTGAAACCCCATCTCTACTAAAAATACAAAAATTAGCTGGGCATGGTGGTGTGCACCTGTAATCCCAGCTACTCAGGAGGCTGTGGCAGGAGGATCACTTGATCCCGGGAGGCGGAGGTTGCAGTGAGCCAAGATTGTGCCACTGCACCCCACCCTAGGCGACAGAGTGAGACTGCGTCTTGGAAAAAAAAAAAAAATGCATGAAACGACAGTTTCCAAATCTTGGATATCAACCACTGCAGGCCAGTGATCTCTGAGAGAAAAGAAATAAATAAAGTGAGGCTTATTAATTACCCCCAATTTACTGTGTGGAGAGAACTGTTAAGTTGCAGCACAGGAAGAGAAACCCAAAAAGAGCCCAGTGGTCTTTCTGAGTTAGGAGACAGGTTTGAGGCTACGGTAGCTAGAGTCCACGGGGCACAGCACCAGAGAGGAGAGCTGCACAGAGGAAAGCTGCACAGAGCAAGCCCCTAGAGTCTTCGGCTGAGTACTGAGCAGTAAGCGTGAGTAAGGAAGACACGGGAAAAGAACCACAGAAGGGAACAGGCAAAACAATCATCAAAGACCATATAAGGTTGAGGCTAGTTCACAGTCCTATCAGCCAGAGTGAAATGCCTCATGCTACACAGGGCATTGGGTATTTAGGTACTTAGAATGGTAGTGTCTCAGTACCAGGGCCATATTAGTCATAAACTAAAGGCTGCTCCTGCCCTAAGAGAGCTTGAAAGCAAGACTCTAAAGAATTAGACTATTCATAAGTAACCTAACTGCACCTGAGAATAATTCTCAGGAATACTTAAAGACATCCAAATGTACCCAACACCCAGTAAGGTAAAATTCATAATGTCTGGCACCTAATAAGAAATTACAGCTGGGCATGGTGATGCTCGCCTGTAGTCCCAGCTACTTGGGAGGCCAATGTGGGAGGATCACTTGAGACTAGCCTGGGCAACAAAGCGAGAACCCCATCTCTACAAAAAATAAATTAAAAATTAGCCAGGTGCAGTGGTGTACACCTGGAGTCCCAGGTACTTGGGAGGCAGAGGTAGGAGGATCGTTTGAGTCCAGGAGTTTGAAGCTGCAGTGAGCTATGATCATACCACTGCACTCCAGCCTGGGAGACAGAGCGAGACACTGTGCAAGTTTTCTAGCAGCCTTGGCAATAATTTATAAAATTCTCATATGGTTATAAGTGGTTAAAACATTAATATTTAGAAAAATAAAAGAAGTGAGAGAAAAATATGAGCATGTTAAGGAGAGACATGAAAGATATTTTTAAAAGATGAAATTGAACTTCTAGAGATAAAAAAGACAATTCTGAGAGGGAAGATTTACTGGATGGGATTTACAGCAGATTAGACAATGCAGAAGAAAAGATTAGTGAACCTGAAGACAGAGCAGCAGAAAAATGAAACAAAATGAAACCCAGAAAAAAAAAAGATGAAAAAAACAAAGCAAAACAATATAAAAGTCTCTGAGTTATGGAACAACTTCAAGTGACCTAATAATGTACACTGGAGTCTCCAAAGGCAAGAAGGGGACCCAAAAATATTTAAAGAAATAATATTTGAAAATTTCCAAGTTTGGCTGGGAACAGTGGCTCAACCCTGTAATCCCAACACTTTGGGAGGCCATGGTGGGTGGATCACTTGAGGTCAGGAGTTCGAGACCAGCCTGGAAAACATAATGAAACCCTGTCTCTACCAAAAATATAATAAAATTAGTCAAGAGTCAAGGCGTATGCCTGTAGTCCCAGTTACCAGAGAGGCTGAGGTAGGAGAATCACTTGAACCTGAGAGACAGAGGTTGCAGTAAGCAGAGATTGTGCCACTGCAGCCTGGGTGACAGAGTGACATTCTCACTCCAGCCTGGGTGACAGAGTGAAATTCTGTCTCAAAAAAAAAAAAGAAAGAAAAAAAAAGAAAATTTTCAAGTTTGATGCAAACTACATATCTACATATTCAAGAAGGTCAATGAACCCCAAGCACAAGAATCATAAAAGAAACGACACTAAGGTACTCACAATCAAATGGCTTAAAACCAAAGGTAAAGAGATGCATTTTTAAAAGCAGTTAAGAAAAAACTATGAAAAAAATCCAGAAACTGTCTACAAGGGCCAGGCCATACAATAACAACAAAAAACAAAAAAACAAAACAAAACAAAAACAAAAAACCCCAAACACATTACATTTGGGGGAACAAAGTTAAGAATAACTTCTCATTGGAAATAATACAAGCCAGAATACAGTTGAGCACCATCTTTAAAGTACTGGAAGGAAAAAACAAAAACAAAAACAAAACAATAAACCTGTCAATCTAGAATTCTATACCCAGCAACATTACCTTGCAAAAACAAAGACAAGAAAAGACAAACAAAAGCTGCAAGAATCAATCACTAGTAGACCTGTACTAAAAATTAAGGGAAGTCCTCTTCTCAGAAATAAAATGAAGTCCAGGCACAGTGGCTCATGCCTGTAATCTCAGTACTTTGGAGGCTGGGGTGGGATGGTTGCTTGAGGCCAGGTGTTTAAGACCAGCCTGAGCAACAAAGGAGACCCTGTCTCTCCAAAAAAAAAAAAAAAAAAACCACCAAAAACTCACATACACACAAAAAAAGGAAACAACAACAAAAAAATCCTCCTTTGTTTCCTGCCACAACAAATAAATAAGAAATTTTAAAAATATAATTTAAAGAAGAAAAATGATACCAGATCAATAACTGGATCTCCACAAAGAAAAAAAGAGCACCAGAAACTACAAATATGTAAGCAAATATAAAAGACCTTTTCTTTATTTTCAAAGAGCTCCTTAAAAGATAATTGACTACTTAAAGTGAAAATGACAACAATGTACTGTGTGGTTTAAAATGAATGGAGAGGCAAAACCTATGGCAAAAATCCCTCAATAACTAATAAGCCAATGGAGATAAAATAAAATCTCAACAAGTACAATTAATCCAATAGAAAAAAGATAAAGAGAAAAAAAGAAAAAAATTGGGTCAAATGGAAAATAACAAGACTCAGATCTAAACACAACCTTATAAATAATCATATTAAATGTGAATGGTCTACATACCAGTTAAAAGGTTGTTGGACTGGATAAAAAACAAGACCCAGTTAAAAGCTACCAATAAGAAACCAACCTTAAATGTAAAGTCATAATTAGGTTAAAAATATAAGGCTAGAAAAGGATATACCAGCCGGGCGTGGTGGCTCACGCCTGTAATCCCAGCACCTTGGGAGGCTGAGGTGGGCAGATCACCTAAGGTCAGTAGTTAGAGACCAGCCTGGAGAATATGGCAAAACCCCATCTTTACTAAAAATACAAAAATTAGCTGGGTGTGGTGGCGGGTGCCTGTAATCCCAGCTACTCAGGAGGCTGAGGCAGGAGAATCACTGGAACCTGGGAGGTGGAGGTTGCAGTGAGCTGAGATCACGCTACTGCACTCCAGCCTAGGTGACAGAGTGAGACTCCATCTCAAAAAAAGGAGATACCATGTGAACATCAACCAAAGCTAAGTATACTTTATTTTTTTCCTGTCTACACACCATTCATATTTCAATGGCATCAAACAGTTAGGTTGTGCTTACTAGCTTTTAAACTAGAATATAAGGGAGCTATCTTTTAACTACTTAGGTAATTCTTTTAAACATTTTGAATATCCTGAAACAACAGAGGAAATCTATTATTGTATAAGGCCATGTAATCAACAGTATAAATTTAAGTCACAAATCCTGACATTACTGCAGTTAGATTTGAATTTCTATGATCATTTAATACCACCTTTCATTAAACTTTTTTTTTTCAAATAGTCTCGCTCTGTCGCCCAGGCTGGAGTGCAGTAGCGTAATCTCGGCTCACTGCAGCCTCTGCCTCCTGGGTTCAAATGATCCTCCTGCCTCAGCCTCCCGAGTAGCTGGGATTACAGGCATGCACCACCATGCCTGGCTAATTTTTATATCTTTGGTGCACATGGGTTTTTGCCATTTTGGCCAGGCTGGTCTCAAACTCCTGACCTCAAGTGATCCACCTGCCTCGGCCTCCTAAAGTGCTGAGATTACAGGTGTGAGCCACTGCACTTGACCTCATTAATCTTTTTAATCAATAATTACTTATCTAGTCTTTACTATGTGCCAGGCACCATTCTAGGCACTGTGTAATATAAAGGTTAAAACAGCCCTAAGTTGGAATACCAGTTCTGACTCTGGGTGTCTCTGAGAAAGTTATATAACCTCACTTCTTCTCAGATTACTCTCCTGTAAAATAGTAGTTGAAGAATAGTCCCTACCCTACTCCAGAGAGTTGAGTTGTTGTGAGAATGAAGCACTTGAAATAGTGCCTGGTACCTGGTATGGTGTTAATGATAACCTACTATTTCATTTCATTTCTTGTAAATCATTTGCAAAAATAATGACTGCTGACTAGGGGAGTTAACCAGATTTAAGTCCTATGACACAAAAATAAAAGTATGCAATTTTAATAATGGGATAATTTCTAGGAGGAAGAATATTTTGCGCTCGGCCTTTGTGAGCTAATAATAGCAAAAACACAAATAATAGCCACCATTTATATAGCATTTACTATGTGTCAGACACAGTTCTAAGAACTTTAGAACTATTCTAAACCTCTAATTATGGTGATGACATCAACACAAACACCACCAACTCCATGTATATTCTGGCAAAGTGTGTCATGGTATGGGAAGAGGGTCCTTGGTTTCTAGATCTAATGACCTACCTTGAGCATTTTCTCATCAAAAATTGGAGTCATGGCATAAGGCATGATGTAATTCTGAAGAGATTTAGAAGACAGAACAACTTTGCCTTCCATTAGTTGTTTTGCAAGTTTCTTCAAGGCTCTTGCTCTTCTGTGGATCTATGGGTAAGATAAAATATGAATTAGTTACCGAATAATCTCACCTACAACCAGCTCCATTTTAGTATCGTATTCTCTTTTCATAAAAAGATTAAAGGAGTGGCCAGGTGCGGTGGCTCATGCCTGTAATCCTAGCACTCGGGAGGCCGAGATGGGCAGATCACCTGAGGTCGGGAGTTCAAGACCAGCCTGATCAACATGGAGAAAACCCCGTCTCTACTAAAATACAAAATTAGCTGGGTGTGGTGGTGCATGCCTGTAATCCCAGCTACTCAGGACGCTGAGGCAGGAGAATCACTTGAACCCTGGAGGCGGAGGTTACAGTGAGCTGAGATTGCGCCATTGCACTCCAGCCTGGGCAACAAGAGCGAAACTCCATCTCAAAAAAAAAAAGACAAAGATTAAGGAAGTGAAACACAGTCCATGTGTTACAAGAGCAAACACCTGTGCCTTGATTTGCTTTCAGAGATATAATCCATAGCATTTGTTTAACAATGGACCCAAAGCATTTACACTTCTTAGGAAAAGGCAGAGAAAAGCGACACTATTATTAACTGTGGTTTGTGATACCACCAAAGAAATTAGAATCCAGGAAATGATCATCTTAACACAAATTTCAATGATGATCATAAAGACCAAGGAAAGAGAAGCTTAAACCTTTTTGGAAAGTTAAAACATGTCTTTCCAAATGAGGTAGAACTGTTTGAAATATGTATGCTTATGTCGTAGGTAGGAAAAAGCAGAATTGTCTTCTACCTGAATGTGCTTCATGTTCTCAAAGAAGTCCATTTCTGGGTCATGGTAATGAGTAAGTTGTACCAAGTCTTTGAATTCCAGTTGGTTTGGAAAGGTTTGAATTAAACAGGAAAGTATTGTGGTATAATCCTGCTGAATACTCTGTAAATATGAAGTGGAGAAAAAACATTTTATTTTAAAAAGAATTTGTTTCTAATATGAGGAAACAGAAAAAAACATAAAATTTTAAAAAGTAAAATATTTCCACTGTTAAAAAAAAAAGTCAGGATTGCTTGAGCCCAGGAGTTTGAGGACAGCCTGGACAACATGGTGAAATCCTGTCTCTACAAAAAATACAAAAATCAGCCAGGTGTGGTGGTGTACTCCAGCCTAGGCAACAAAGTGAGCCCCTGTCTCAAAAACAAAAAACAAAAAAAACCTGACAGCTATATTAGATCCAAAGTGACTGGTGGCCAGGCATGGTGCTCATACCTGTAATCCCAGCAATTTGGGAGGCCAAGGCAGGTGGATCACTTGAGGTCAGGAGTTCGGGACCAGCTTGGCCAACATGGTGAAACCCCGTCTCTACTAAAAATACAAAAATTAGCTGGGCGTGGTGGCATGTGCCTGTAATCCCGGCTACTCTGGAGGCTGAGGCAGGAGAATCACTTGAACCCGGGAGGCGGAGGTTGCAGTGAGCCAAGATCACGCCACTGTAGTCCAGCCTGGGCAACAGAGCGAGACTCCGTCTCAAAAAAAAAAAAAAAAAAAAAAAAAAAAAGCAAAAAAAAGTGCTCTCCTTTCTAGACCCACTCCCATTAAAAGTCTGGTGACTATTTACTCAACCAAGTATTCTCATTAAATGCACTAAGCCTGACTACTTTTCTATACAACAGTAGCAAACGTGGGAAAACAAAACAAAACACAGCCTCAGACAGTAGTGCCTAAAACACAAAGTTATATACCTCTGTCTGGCTCTTCAGACCTTTTCTCAATTTCTCCAGGAGTGAACGGTGGATGATTTCTCTATAGTCTTTCTCTGTGACATTCAAGGCAGCTAGCTTTTTGATGATACTCATCAGGCACATGCTGGCATTATCACTTAAACTCATATCTCCTAACTGCAAAAAAGAGAAATAAAAAAGAAATTATTCTCTGTAATAACTACAATATGGAATATTACTTCCCAGTGCAAGCATCTACAAAATTCTGTCACTGTGCTTGTAAAAATGCCTACTAAACAAGTTCCCACAAATATTTCAAACCTAAGGGAGAACCAAATGTTCTGTGAGGAATATAATACTGTAAAAGGCTGAAAAACCACGCTTCCCAAGAAGTGTCATTTAATTTCAGGCAGCACTATGAAATGTCCTTGTTAATTAGTTTTACTTCCCAAAGCAGGCAGTCTAAAAGGTTCACTAAAGCCAGTTTTCAATATTCAGTATCCGGTCATTACTGAAAATGACAGAATTGGCTGCTCCAGAGTTTGTGGTTTGAAGAATGTCAAAGTGAGTGTAGGGAAGGTATCCTTGACTCAGCCAGCCAGGCAGCGACTTAGAATTTTTTGTGCTGAATTTTGGCATGATTATGAAGAATGAGTATAAAACAGGGAGATTATTTTTTCATATATTACGTAATCCTTAATATTAGATGAATAACTATAAAATGCCACAAAGAGATCACTGATGCCACTACATGATTAACAATAATCAAAGGTTTCATTTTCTGCATTTTTGGATTTTAATTTAGTTCAGCAACATAGCACTTAATATATTCCAAACACTTTTTAATTCTCTTATAACTTCAATAAAAAAGGGATAATTTTCAATTAGTATAGTTGCATGTTTAAAAATTGACATAATTGACACACCATAAAATTCACCCTTTTAAAAAACTTACTATTTGGCTGGGTGCGGTGGCCCACACCTATAATCCCAGCACTTTGGGAGGCCAAGATGGGCGGATCGCCTGAGGTCAGAAGTTCGAGACTAGCCTGGCCAACATGGTGAAACCTCGTCTCTAATAAAATGCAAAAATTAGGTGGGTGTGGTGGCGTGCCCCTGTAATCCCAGCTACTATTCGGGAGGCTGAGGTGGGAGAATTGGTTGAACCTGGCAGCAGAGGCTGCAGTGAACCAAGATCACATCACTGCACTCTAGCCTGGGTGACAGAACGAGATCCTGTCTCCAAAAAAAAAATTTACAATTCAGTGGTTTTAAGTATATTCACGAGGTTGTGTGATCATCACCACTAATTCCAGAACATTTTCATCACTCCCAAAAGAAACCCTATACCCATTAGAAATCACGCCCCATTCCTCCCTTTCTGCAGCCTTTAGTGACCTAATGTACTTCATCTCTATGGATTTCCCTATTCTAATACATAACTTCTTGATTTTTTTCAAAATGCTTTCATATGTATTATTTTATTCACAATATTTGCCTTTTAAATCATGAGAATAACTGTTTTGCCAGACATAAGATTCTTCATCTAAAAGAAATTTAATCCTAAAAACCTTTGTCCCCCCTCAAAAAACAAATTTAAAGATCAGGTCACTGTATTAGGCAGCCGTATTACCAAAACAATAAAAAATAATTTAAAAATTTTGCTATAATAACCTACCTCTAGATTATAGAAACAATTATGCATAACTGGAATTAGGTAGTTAACATCCACAATTTGCATTTCTTTAATGTAAGAGGTGATGGTCTGGAAAGTCTCAAAGCGAACGTCGAAGTTGATATCATCAAGATGTCTTTGATCGAAGGCGTTAAGCTATAAGAAATGCCATTGAAGTTATATAAAAGAAGGCATATAAATCTTCAGTAAACAAAAATGATAATACTTTTGAAGCCAAAGAGAAACCCTTCTTTCTTACCTTGACAACATCAGTAATATATTTTAACCCACTCTCAAAATCAGAAAGAGTCTGAAAGGAAAGAAAACAGTGTATTTATCAGTGAATAAAACTTTAACTTTTCTGCCCTCCTCCCCTCAGCTACCTGTCCCCATTCAAATTCATATAAAAACATCACCCTGGCATGAAGAAAGCCCCTAATATGGTTTACAAGTCATAATTACATTTTTTTAAAAGGGTGATTTGGAGTAAAAATGAATAGTACAGACCTCAAAAACCGTACAAAGCAATTTTCTTGACAATTTGTTCTTAATAACTGAGAAAAGTTTTGCTATAGGCTTGAGGAAGCTTGTAGGGTCCACACAATGCTTTAACAAGTTTTGTACTGTCACCAGAATATCAACCTCTGTATCCTTGAGAAGAAATAATCAGAGAAATCATATTTCAGTAAGTTATAAACTGGTCAACTTATACTTTAATATATTATAGCATAGAAAACAATTGTGAATAAGATGTAAAAGTAGTAATTGGAAAAATTATTTTATCGTCTTTTAAAAGTTTTTAGCATTTTAATTTAATGTAAAACCCATAAGAATGTGTGAACCAGTTTCTTCCTTTAATTCTAATAAGCAATATATGTAGTTTTGAAACATAATTTCTTCTATTGTCTAATCAAAAAAGATACAAGAAAATGAGCTTGCTGAAGTACAGTCGTCCCTCGGTATCCAAGGGGGACTGGTTCCAGGACCCCAAAAAATACCAAACTCCAAGGATGTTTAAGTCCCTTATATAAAAAGGCATGGTATTTGCATATCACCCACACACACCCTTCTGTATATTTTAAGTCACCTCTAGATTACTTATAATACCCAATACAATGTAAATGCTACGTAAATAGTTGTTATACTGCATTTTTAAAATTTGTATTATTTTTATTTTATTTATATATTTTTTGAGATGGAGTCTCACTCTGTTGTCCAGTCTGGAGTGCAGTGGCATGATCTCAGCTCACCACAACCTCCACCTCCTGGGTTCAAGCGATTCTCCTGCCTCAGCCTCCTAAGTAGCTGGGAGTACAGACATACGCCACCATGCCAGGCTAATTTTTTTATTTTTAGTAGAAACAGGGTTTCACTATGTTGGCCACCCTGGTCTTGAACTCCTGACCTCGTGATCTGCCTGCCTTGGCCTCCCAAAGTGCGGGGATTACAGGCGTGAGCCACTGTGCCCTGCCAGTTAAAGTTTCTATCATTTTTATAATTATATTGTTATTTCTCCAAATATTTTCATCTATGATTGGTTGAATCCACATATGTGGAAATGTGAATACAGAGGGCCAACTGTATACATTTCTGGTTGTCTACAGATCTGTGGTCTTCTAAATTGAACAACTATGTGGGGAGAAATGTTTAGTATCACTACTGAGGTCTGACAAATGAGCTTGAGCCACTGGAGGACTCCTAATTAAGATTGAACTAGGGTTTGAAAATCATATCAGGAACACTTAGCTGTGTCTGAATATTAAAAGTCTGATTTTATTCTGTTTTGCCACTGTGATCTACAATTAAGATTATATAATGAGGCCGGGCGCGGTGGCTCATGCCTGTAATCCCAGCACTTTGGGAGGCCGAGGCGGGCAGATCACCCGAGGTCAGGAGTTCCAGGCCAGCCTGGCCAACACGGTGAAACCCCATCCCTATTGAAAATACAAAAAAACTAGCTGGGCGTGGTGGCAGGCACCTGTATTCCCAGCTACTTGGGAGGCTGAGGCAGGAGAATTGCTTGAACCCAGGAGGTGGAGGTTGCAGTGAGCCGAGATTTTGCCATTGCACACCAGCCTGGAGGACAAGAGTGAAACTCCATCTCAAAAAAAAAAAAAAAAAAAAAAAAAAAAAAAAAAAAAAAAAAAAAAAAAAAAAAAGATTACACAATGCACTTCTTGGGTTCCAGGCTTGTTAGAGAAAGAAAAACCCCTGAAATGAATCAGAAGCTAAACAAGGGAAATAAAGGGGCTAGTACTTTGTTGTTGTAGATGACGATGTCTCCGCTTTCTTGCCTGCCCCCATTCCTAGTGTCTGTCCCAGTCTTTTCCCTCTATTTCTAATTTTTTTAATTTCTATATAAAGTATTTTAAGTTCCTTGCGACAAATGCATCACAAAATCTAGCCAGTAAAATTGCTGCTCGCAATTAAACCTAGTGATAAAGTGCCACTCTAGAGACAAAGTTAAGTGTCCTATGAGTTTGTACCTCAGCAATATTGCCACGGTGGAGGAATGGAAGGAGAAGCGTAATGAGTACAGAACTTTGTTCTTTGTCTTTCATAAACTTGCTGATCCTAAAGAAGGAAAAAACGGATATATAAGGAACATATACAAGGATATTTCTCTAAGAAGTTAAACTTTTTGTAGAAAAACAATGACTAAAGACACAGTTTTAGCATTCCAATACACAGCTAGCTTTTAAGTATGTGTGCATGTATAAAAAGTTTACCTCAGTTACTTAGCTGTGCTCACTCTTACTCCTCTCCAACATCAAGCTCATGGCCACTATTCTATTTCTTTTGCAATATCTGATTGTGTGGGTTAGAGTGAACAGGTGAATAGGTGGGTTAGAGTGAACTCCAGTCTGGTAATTAGTAATTGTTTTATTTTGAAAAGAAATAACATTTTTAAGTGCCAAGACTTAAGGGTTTATGTACAGTATTTCAATTTAACACCCATGATAGCCCTGCAATATAGGAATCATCAGCCTGATTTTGCCCTGAAAAAAACTGAGACTCAGAGAAACTGATGTCTCACAGCTAGAAGAAGTACAGCAGGTCTTTCAAACTCTGGTCTTTCTGGTTCCTAATCTCCTCTCATCATCCTTCTACTACTACATAGCCTGGGATGAAATTTAATGAGTGTATTAGTATGATTTCCCACTCTGCATAACTTAGAAATACAATAGTATTTTAAAATGCATTGCAAAGAAGTTTCTAGAGGATTCGAACATATCACTTTTTGTTGACACTGTTGTAAGTAACAGAAAAAATACATTTTCAACAACTAAGCCTTGTAATGGTCAACTTAAAATTAAGATAGAATTGTTTCTTGCACTCAGGTTTATTAACCTTTCCCTTTACCGAAATCACAATACACTCCTAGGTCTACTGCCAAACAGACTCTTTAACAACCCTTGTGAGATCTTGACTCAAAAAAACCGAACAATCTGCTCTTTTAAGTTAATTATTTTTATCATTACACTAAAGAGTAAAAAACTGCAATTCCACAAAACTCAAAATACACAAATGCTAAACAAACAAATCTATTAGTCTACTTTAGGATTTTGAAAAATCTGTCCCCTTTAATTTTATTAAATAAAGGCAGATGCTATGAACGGTTTCTAGTAAGTAATCCAGCAGAGAAAGGGAATTCTGCATTAACTTAAAAGTAAAGGGCATTCAAAAATACTAAAAAACTTTTTAGCTTCTTATTGCCAGATTCCAACACCTGAAAAACAAGATAATAATTTTTTTTAAATTTATTTTATTTTATTTTATTTTTGAGATGGAGTCTCACTCTGTCGCCCAGGCTGGAGTGCAGTGGCGCGATCTCGGCTCACTGCAACCTCCGCCTCCTGGGTTCAAGCCATTCTCCTGCCTCAGTCTCCTGAGTAGCTGAGATTACAGGTGTCCACCACCACGCCCAGCTAACTTTTGTATTTTTAGTAGAGACGGGGTTTTGCCATGTTGGTCAGGCTGGTCTTGAACCCCTGACCTCAGGTGATCCACCCACCTCAGCCTCCCAAAGTGCTGGGATTACAGGTGTGAGCCACCACGCCTGGCCAAGATAATAATTTTTTAAAAAGTTAAAACCAAGGATGGTAATGTTATCTTTTAAGTATCAACATATCACTTACTTTGAAAGAATGCCAAGCTCTTTACTGACTTGTGCTCTATTCTTTTTCTTTTTCACCTTTTCTGCGCTTATTGTGGTTTTGCTGAGATACTGAAGAATTGCAGGTACATGAGGTAGAATTAATCTTCCTCCTATTGTGATAGACTCTGAAATAGATAGTGATTTGATTTGATTTTAATAAACTCTCTTAAGGCATAATTGTACAAAATCTTCATGATGATAAGAAAAGCACTCAACCACTATGAACATTTAAGTTAAATTTCAATTCTAAATAAATTCTAAATTCTAAATAAACAACTTTCTTCTTATTCAAAATAGCTATATTACTAGCTAAATCAAGAACTTATTTAAGAGACCCCTGAGGCTTTATTTAAACCATTTTTTGGTAATAGTAAGGGAATTATTTGGGATAATATGGTAAGAAGAATGTAGAGACATGACAGTAGAAATCATTTTCATAATTTCCTGCAGCAGAGTTGAGACTTCTTGGAGAGTAAATAATCTATTCTTATAACTACAAAGAAAATTCAGTTTATATAAATTAGTATTAGTTCCCAGGGAAAAGAAACTTCTGAGCATATGCTCTCGAGTGAGTCAAATTATACTGATTTTTTTTCTCTTCTAAGGAAACAATTGCTACAGCAGAAGTCTAAGAATTATCTGCTTTGTCAGCATACATACCACCGATGTTTTCTGCTATGCCAGGGTATACACATCCAGTTACCAGCAAGTTCAAAACTGTTTCTGTAGGCTCGAAATCTGGAAGGTTAAGAAGGTCATCAACTATGTCCATTACAATACTGGCTGTGGCATCAGAAAGATTCTTCGCTGAGAGAATTGCAAAAACATTGGTCAGGATATCACATTCTGGGTGCCCAGGCTTCTGTTTAGCCAGCAAAGGGAAATATCTGGAAGAAAAAACATTGTAGTAATCATCTTATTCTCAATATGTTCACTTCTAAAAACATGTCCATATGAATTTTCACCATGAGTTTAACAAATATTCAACATTAATAAGATTATTCAAAGGGGAATTAGTTTAAATCTAAAATTTGATGGATAATAATTCTAAGTATTACCTTACAAACATATTACTTAGGCACTTTATATATATTTCTCATTTAATTCTCACAACGTTTCTATGTGGTCGTATCATTATCCCTACATTACAGATGAAAAAACAGATTTGTCCGAAGCCACTGAGCTAATAATAGAGCTGAGATTTGAATCACAATCTAATTCCAATGTCTAAGCTCTTTCTAAAAGAGACTTACTGAAAACAAACTACTTTTCAGTTATAAGCTTTCAAGAATGTGAATGTTTATACACTCACGTAAAACCCTATGTACTAGAACATAGGAGTTAGGAGTACAGACCAAACAAACGTTTATTGATTAGGATATGGAACATTCAATGTTGGGAGACAGGGATGAATCCATCCCCAATAATGAAAGACTCACATGAAAGTTATAAATATCCTTCCTGATGCAAATGCACCAACAAGGGCAGAGAGACAAAGGCTTTCCAGCCAAGGGTAAACCGGCAGTTGATTCAGTCAGAAATGCAATCCTAACAATTACTAGGAAGGTCAAACAGAAACAATCCAGATAGTTTGCCTTTTTCAATTTATCATCACTGGAAAAAAAACAAAAGAGCTTGAGCTCTTTAACATACTTAGCATTGACAAACTGACAGAAAAGTTCTAAGAGGTTATATTCATACATCTTTCTGTCCAGCAAATACTGTGCATGGTACGGGTAGGCTCTACACAAGACACTATATTATATATTATCATCTCTATTATCAATGAAGTAGGTCTGTTATTATATCCATTTTACAGGTGATGAAACTGAGGCTCAGAGGCAAACTTGACCAAAAGAACGCACAGTGGTGCTAGGATTTGAAGCTACGTTAGTGAGGCTTCAGAAACTGTGCTCTTAACCACTATGTTGTTTTGTTGTCTTAAAATTTTTCTAGCAGAAAAGGGAAGGGAACTGCTTTCAACTGCGAGTAAAGTCCTAGCAAGAGCCCATTCAGATACAATGCAACTTCCCAGTGACCAAACCGTTTTCCCTTGACCAACGTAACTTGCTGCCACAGTACAATGAGCATGCTACATGCTAACGTGAATGGCTCAATCAGCAATTCCAATCACTCAGACAACATGCAATGATCATCAGCTACACATGGATGGAGATGTGTAACCCTCTGTGGAGTAATAAATGAGACATGGTCTTTGCCCTGAAGGAGCTGTGGATAATACGTTATGAAGATAGATGAATACAACAAAGGCAGTATGTGATGACAGGGCCTTACAGAGCTGGAAAGGGCATGCAGGAAGAAGAGACTGCTATGCTGGGGCTGTGGTGACTAGAACCAGAGCAGCTAAGAGAGGGGTCTGGGACAGTCCCAGCTTACATTGGCTGTTTTGACTTACTTATTACAACTCTTTTCAACCTCAGGAGTTTTTCAGTTTGGACAAAAAAGTACATGTTCACCCTAATTAATAAGTTTTTGCTGTCCTGAGTTCAGCTATTTCTGAGAAAATTTAAACTTACTTATAAGCTAGTAAAATGCTAGACTTCTCTATAGATGAAAAATCTGTTTTAATTTCTGATTGATACTATGTAAACTGCAACTACACTTCAAAATCTAAATTTTTTTAATTAAAAAGTAACATTCCCATTGAAGGGGTTCTGAAATATTCATTCGTTCTTCCACACACAACTTCATATGCATATCTATTGTTATGTGGATTCCAAGGGAAGTCAACACTTTTATAGATTTCTTCAGGTGAGTGTTAAGTATAAAAGGGAAAAAAAGGTTCTGCTGCCTAACTCTTCCATTGCTATATGGCTTCTATTTACCCAACCAAAAAATGAGAAATTGCAGAAAAGAATGAAGTGGCATCCAACAATGTGGCTCAATACCTTCAATAAGGACCCAATGAATATAAAAATGAATCTCTATTGTAAAGTCTTCCTGGATGAAAGTCCTTCATGGCTTATTTGCATAGAAATGACAAAACTATACAACATTTCTCAAGTAAGCCTATGAAGTGTCGCTTACAAATGTCCAATGATAAAGATATAAAATTGCTGTGTCAAATTGGGGAATAAATGTAGAGAACATACTATTAGTAAAATAAACAAGTTTTCCTGAGGAAGACAATGTCACGGTTTTTGGTTTGTTTCTGAAGACTAGTAACATGAAGAAATGTTCATGACATAAAGATACATGAAAAAAACAAAATCAAAAGCCAGTACAGTATGATTCCAATCTTGTAAAAACCAAGACTATGATTTTAACATCACTGAATCAATAATAAAACCTTTTCTGACCATGAGAGCTGAATGTACATTTAGATGGAGTTTCACAAAGAAGACAATGGTCTAGAAAATCTAGAAAGCTTGTGAGGTTTTCCTGATTTTCAGTGGGAACTGGGAGAAAGACATAGAATGCCAATTACAAGTCAGCATTTATTTTTAAGCAAGCATGCAGAAAATGATAATATTTATGTGATGATATAACTATCTGGTGTGTTTCACATTCTGTTTCTCCCTTTGCCAGGCCAAATCAAACTGCTGACATAATTATTACATATATTGGAAGAACATCTCTATCAATTCTAATACTTAAAATTTTCAAGTTTTAATCAAACTGTAAAAATTATTAAAAAGTATTAGTTTTAGCTGTAATACATACTCTAAAATTTTCATTACTTTGCAAGATGTTATTTTACCTATTTTTCCTGTTTAATTATTATAAAAAATTCAAACAGTCCAAAGGATGTATTATGAAAAGTCTCCTCTCCCTGCTCTGGTCTACCCAAACCTCCACGTGCTATGGCCACATTGTTAACAGTTCTCATGTGTCCTTCTGGACAGTTTCTATTTCATTTCATATTTATACACATAGACACAAACTTTCCTGGATCACACTATATATACTGTCTAGCAATTTATCTTTTTATCTTTTTTTTTTTTTTGAGACAGGGTCTCGCTTTCACCCAGGCTAGAATGCAGTGGCATGATCATGGCTCATTGTAGCCTCAACTTTGTTGGCTCAAGCAATCCTCCCACCTCAGCCTCCAAGTAGCTGGAACTAAAGGCATGCGCCACATGCCCAGCCAATTTTTTGATTTTCAGTAGAGACAAGCCCTCACTACGTTGTCCAGACTGGTCTCGAATTCCTGAGGTCAAGCAATCCTGCCTCTGCCTCCCAAAGTACTGGGATTACAGGCGTGAGCCACTGTGCATGGCTACATTTTTCTTTAAACTATGTATTTTGAGATCTTTCCTTGCTTTTACTCAGCTGCCTCATTCTCTAACTGTACCAAAAGTAGTTCACTGTATGGAAAGACCATAAATTACACTATTAGTTTCCTGGACTGCTTTAACCAGATTCATCTAAAACACTGCCCTTTTTAAAGAAGGAAAAAAGAAAGGTTATACCTTGCGTTTCTGCTCCAGATACTGATCAGTTTCAGCAGAGGAGTAGGAGAATATTGACTCTCAGATCCAAGCCTGCTGATCTAGGAGACAAAGTAAAAAACAGAATACCAAATACATATACCAAATTATAGAAAAACCACAAATAACTAACAAGTACAGAAATCACAGCACAGGATGAAAAAGACAAGGGACAGAGATGAACATCCAAATGACACAATAAGAAAAAGTATAAAGAGATCCAAAAGAACATCTACATAGGAAAAATGGCAAAGGTGATGCATGGAAGTGCTAGACACCAGAAAGGAAATGGTATTTTAGGTTTCAGAGTGTTGGAAATGACTGGGACCTCAAACACCTAGAAACATTTCCTAAAATCAAATCTCTCCTTCAGTCTATACCTATACCAGTTACCATCACCAAGGGGTTACAACCAGAGAAATCAAAATAGGAAGTATGTAATAAAAACACCTGGGTGTTTTCCCTCACACTTGTCCAAAGCCAGAGGCAACGCTATGTGAGGTGCTATAAAAGTCATGTTACAGGCCGGGCACAGTGGCTCACGCCTGTAATCCCAGCACTTTGGGAGGCCAAGGCAGGCGGATCACCTGAGGTCAGGAGTTCAAGACCAGCCTGGCCAACATGGCGAAACTCCATCTCTACTAAAAATACAAAAATTAGCTGGACATTGTGGTGCATGGCTGTAATCCCAGCTACTTGGGAGGCTGAGGCAGGAGAATCTCTTTCTTGAATCCAGGAGGCAGAGGTTGCAGTAAGCAAGACTCTATCTCAAAAAAACAGTTATGTTACAGTTGCTTAAGAGACACATTCATATTCAACTGAGCCTTAAGTGTAAATGCCATGGTACAGCAGAAACTAACTCTTGAGTTTTAGGTGGTAGTGAAGGCAAAGAAAAGTGTTCTAAAAACTTCCAGAAAGAAGGGCTCGATGTAAAAGGAAAGACCCAGGTAAGCATTCATGTCTGGGTGGTAGCTATGTTGGTGAGTTAGTAATAAAGGAAAAAGCAGAACGTACATAGGCAGATGTAGAAATTGAGGTTTACCTGGGGCCAAACTGCACCATGAAACACAGCATCAATTTCTTCTGTTCTAAACTGATATGATTCCCAGTCCAAAAAGATATCAGTTACCATTTTGATTCCAAGACGTCTTAAATTTTTCAATGGATTAATAAATCTCAGCTGTATCTGTAAAACAAAGATCTTCTGTTCAAAAAATACATATGTATCATTTTTATCCCTGATTCCTCAGAGAGGCACTCTTGCTCAGGTGGCTAAGAATCAAACTGGAAATCCTGTTACTAAATCTGTTGACTTGATTTACATGGGAACACCAACCAAGCAAACTGTCTTACTTTTCTCATTGAACAAGAAAAGAAAGCAGAGTCTTAAAACAATATCACTGCCTAGTAGTCACACTAGTTATCCTTAAGAAAAAATATTACAACTGGAATAGTTGTTTTGTATTCTGTATTGTTTTACTTTTTCATTCAAGTAAAATCCTGATTTCTTCCCATGAACAGAACATTCTAAACAAAGCAAAACTTTTTTTTAAAATTTTTTTCCCAACATAATGCCTTATATTAGGGGGAAAAAAATTAAATCTTCATTTCAAATAAAAGCCATTTTTCTATTTATTTCCATACTTAATATTTTACTTTTTTAAGACTAGAAGTTATAAATTATTCTTGTTAAAATTAGTCTAGGGGACTAGTTAAGGAATTTATGATTTTTCCATACAGTGAAATACTTTGTACAGCAAGAGGATGATGTGACTGAGTCAAGGGATAGGAAGATCTCAACATACATAGTTCAAAGAAAAATGCAATTTAGGAGGAAATACGATTTGTCTGTTTAGAGGCATAGAGGCTGGAATGAGTGTGAAATAAAAGCAAACCTTTAAAATAACAAATATTGCTACTTCCACTGGCATCTCCTTCGCTGTGAGTTATAAAATCACAAATACGCAGCCAATTTGTTCAGGCTCAGAGTAGGACAATTTATTGAGTCCCTACTAATGGCTCCAGTGGCATGCCATTAGTATGAATTGAGGTCCTGACCTCAATTCAACTGAAAATCTTATTAAAGGCAAATTTATTGAATGTATGTGAGAGACTGAAAATGCGAAAGACATTTCTTTTTTTTCTTTTTGAGATGGAGCTTCGCTCTTGTTGCCCAGGTTGGAGTGCAATGGCACAATCTGGGCTCACCGCAACCTCCACCTCCTGGGTTCAAGTGATTCTCCTGCCTCAGCCTCCCGAGTAGCTGGGATTACAGGCATGCACCACCACGCCCCGTTCATTTTGTATTTTCAGTAGAGACGGGGTTTCTCCATGTTGGTCAGGCTGGTCTCGAACTCCCCATCTCAGGTGATCTGCCCGCCTCGGACTCCCAAAGTGCTGGGATTGCAGGTGTGAGCCACCACACCCAGCCCAAAGATATTTCAGTAGGAGGAATTACTACAAATTTCAGGATAGAGCTTCATGGAATAGGCAGATTTCTACTGGGTATTAAAGAATGAAGAGCTTTAGGCCAAGCAGAGGAAAGACAAGGGCCTCAAAGGGATTTTTCCCTAGCACAGAATGTTAAAAAAAAAAAAAAACAAATGGGAGAAGATTCAACCCCTAATTGTTTTCCCACTTGATTAGTAAACTGTGGGCTCTAGACATACAAGTGATAATTTATTTTTATATATCACCTTAATTACCTACATTAAAACCTAAAAGCCACCTTGCAATTTATAAAGACAACACAAATGCTCTCATATAGTGAATATCAAGTCTTATGGCCAAGATAACATGAAGAAAACTAATAGGAAAATTACTTATCATGAAAATCTGATAATCTGACAGACAGAGGTATTTGAATCTGATACAGCACATTTTAAATTCAAGTAAATATGAACAAGGATGTCATTAGTTTGCTGAGCAAGCCTCAGGAATCATGGTATCTCACATATGTTCTACTTTCAGCTTATTATCTTATACAAGTTACAAAGGAAATGACAGGTAAGCAAGCACAAGGTGATGTAGTTACAAGTCATTCTGCTCTGCTTCAATTCTACTAGCAATATTTTCATCAGCTGCATCAAGTTTAGTGAAAGATAAAAATTATCCCTGATATTTGAAAAAACATATTATATGGAGCAAATATGAAGCTCACAACTGCAAACATGATATCAAATAGACACTCCCCATCCATCTCCCATTCCCACCAACCACCCTTCCCATTGGGTACAATCTGCATGTTCTATTCATTTCTGTAACTAAAGTGCCAGCTGCCCAATTTACTCAATAATTGTTGAATAAACTAGAGAAAAATCCTGAAAATGAGCAATCATAGAATTTAATTCCTAGAGGAACAGTCAATATGATTGAGTTTGTGTATGTTTACAAGTTACACTGTTGCTTAAATGTACAAAAAAACCTCAAAACCAACAATTTTCAAGTATCTTTCAATACCGATCAATGCCCTAAAGGAAAGACACAAAAAAGTAAATATATAACTGAGCTCAAGCACATAAATGTAGAACTTTAACTCACTTAAGCAAAACTACTGTGCAATAATTCACTTTAAGGAATTCCTTGGATGGGTCCAAGAATTTCAAAGGAAAATATAAGAAAGCTCCTATCTGTCAACAAGCTTAAAATCTCATTAACTAATGAACTGTGAAACTGTATAAATTATCCTTTGAGTTACTGATTATTGACTTGGGAGTGAGGCTGCATTACTAAGTAACTCCTAAGTTAACCAAAAATGTGAAGGCACTACACAGGCAAACCTTTCACAATTTAATATATTCATATACAGACAAAGTCACTATCACTTGCTACAAAGCATAAACAGGTTCTCACCTGATTCTTCCCATGGCCCTTATTACACTCTCATATAACAGAGAAAGAACTTTCTAAGACCTCTTTTCTGCTTCCATTCTTGGCCTCCTATAGTCCCTTTTCCACAAAGCAACTAAAGCAATATTTTTAAAACACTACACAGTCCTTATTACTCACCTGCTTCGAGCTTCTCAGCAGTTTCCATTATCCTTAGAAGTAAATTCACCCCCTCATCATAGCCTACAAAGTCCTACAGAGCCCCTACGACCTACCTCTTCATCCTCACCTTACATGACTCTTCCTGCTCCTGGTGCTCTAGCCACCACAGCCTCATCTATTCTTACAACATGTCAAGACCATTCCCAACCAGGGATTTTGCACTAGTCATTTTCTTTGCCTGAAATGTTCTTCTCATGGTGAGGTGTAAGCTCAAAGATCACCTTTTTATAGAGGACCCTCACCATCCTAGTAAATGCAGCACCTATCCACCCCTACACTGATCACTTTCTATTATATTTCCTCGTCTTACATTAAATTTTGCACATCTTCCATGTCTCTCCTTAACATGCTCATGATTTCTTCTACTTTCTCTAATATATGGAGTGTTTTTATAATAACTATTTTAATGTCCCTTTTTTTTTCTTTCTTTTTTTTTTTTTAAGAGGCAGAGTCTCACTCTGTTGCCCATGCTGGAATGCAGTGGTGTGATCTTGGCCTACTACAGCCTCAATCTCCTGGGATCAAGTGATCCTCTCACTTTAGCCTCCTGAGTACAGGTGTGCACTACCGCACCTGGCTAATTTTTTTACTTTTTTGCATAAATGGGGTCTTGCTATGTTGTCCAGGCTGGTCTCAAACTCCTGGCATCCAGTGATCCTCCCACCTTGGCCTCCCAAAGTGGTGGCATCAGCCTCCTTGTCTAATTCTATTATCTGTGTCATTTCTGGATCTGCTTTTATTGATTGCTTTTTCTCCTCATTATAGGTAAAATTTTCCTCCTTCTTTGTATGCCTAGTAATGTTTGACTGCATGTCAGATATTGTGAAATTTATTTTCACTTAAATCATTTACAATTTTGGGCTTTGTTCTGGGATCAAACTTGAAATGAGAGTTGGAAGATACCTTATACTTCTAGGCTCTTGGAATTAAAATCCAAGAAATATCAGTTCAAGCACTTGACTTGAAAGCATCTATAGTGAATCTAACCTTTTCTCGTTGGTCAAGGATGTGTGATACGGTTGCTGTCATACAGAGCAGTATCTGCAAAATCTTCGGCAGGTATGCGCTGATCAGATGACTAATGTTTTTCAATACTATCTCAAGGCTGTTTAAGATACCGTGCTGACGACCTAAAGGAAGAACTTTAGACAAATCCAAGTCTTCTACTGCTTGAATGACTGCAGAATGGCACTCTCCTAGTGAAACAAAGAGGACGAGAGGTCATGTAAGGTAACATATTAGTTTGTTACTATTTATAATTGTAGTTTTATTTCCATTTCCCTTAATAATACAGTATTTTCTACTGTCATGGTAATTTATAGATGACAATGCACTTTTCTTATGTATTATCTCCTTTTGACTCTTACCAAATACTCAAGGAGCTACATAAGACAGGTTTAACTACCCCCACTTTAGAGAAGAAGAAACTAAGGAATAAGAGGGTAAGAAATCTGCGACAGAACTAAGTCTCTAAACCTAATTCTCATCCAATTTCTTTACACTATCCCTCAAAACCTGAGTTATGAATAGTTTCTTATTCCATCTGGTAATTTTTTTTTTTTTTTTTTGAGACAGAGTCTCACTCTGTCGCCCAGGCTGGAGTGCACTGGGGCGATCTCGGCTCACTGCAATCTCTGCCTCCCGGGTCCACGCGGTTCTCCTGCCTCAGCTTCCCAAGTAGCTGGGATTATAGGTGCCCACCACCACACCTGGCTGGTTTTTGTATTTTTAGTAGAGTTGGAGTTTCACCATGTTGGCCAGGCTGGTCTCGAACTACTGACCTCAGGTGATCCACCCACCTCAGCCTCCCAAAGTGTTGGGATTACTGGCCTGAGCCACTATGCCTGGTCCTCCATCTGGTAACTTTCTATACACTTTTCTTACTTTCCATTTCATTCAGCTCTACTGAGTTTGGCAGTTTTACTAGAAGTAACTTTCTGTATTACAAGTTCCTTGAAGGCTGAGAATCAAGTTTTATTTCTCTTGTAAATCCTAGTTAGTAAATAAAATCAGAGTCCCTTATAAACAGCTGCTGCCATATTAATTTCAAAATTTACTGAAAAGATATGAATTGTTATTGCTTGACCTTTATTTCAAACCATCTGATGTGAGGTCATGAGCTTATGGATTCATACACCCAAACGGGCCATCCATAAGAGTATCATCTATACCTACCTCCTACAGTGGGAGTTATACATTGAACAGAAACTTTTTTTGGCATTCATCAGAGCCAACCTCCTTTACAGGGCAATATTATACTGAATGAAAAACCTGTTAACAGCTGGACCTATTATCATAGAAAAAATACAAAAACAAATGCAACAGAATACCCTATAAATAATTCTCTATGTTTGACCTCAAGCAAAGCAATTTGGGGACTGGAACAGAGGTTTCATAACCAGAAAGGTCTGAGTTTGAATCCCAACTCTACCACTTTTCATCTGAGTTACGATGGGTGAAATACCTTTCTAAGCCTAAGTTTCCCCATGTGTAAAATGGGGATAATCAAGTAATGACAGCTCATGTGGTTGATTGTCTGAAGGATCAACTGAGTTATAAGTAAATGGGTCTGTCATAACATCTGGCATAAAGTAAGCACTCAATACATGTTAGTCATTACTGTTATTAATAATTACTGACACTGCATACCAAAGAACATACCACAGAGCACTCTAGCTCAATGTATACACGATTACATCCATTTCATCTCAACTATCAGGTTGAGGGCAGAGATTGTACTTTTCTATTTTTAACTTAACAGAGTGTCCAGGGCACAGGAGGTATTCAATAAATCATTACCGAATAGATGAATGACTCAGGGAATGAATAAATGCCAAACAATTAAGATTAATTTGCAGTGTGCTTTGAATTTCTTAGAAGAAACCTATTCTTTGTATTATATGGGTAAGTAATAACCATTTTTCAAATGGCCTAAATATGCAATAAAAATACACATTTCTCATCAGGGGCTCTAACACAAGGGTGCCGATAATCCACAGGGCCAACAGTCAGTTTCACGCAATTTAATTGAAGTTTAAAATGAGTTGCACTTCAGCAAAAAGATTGCCATCAAGATTGGGAGGAACAACCCTGTTAGAAAGACGCCCAGGAGCATGGGAAATGTAGCCTGAGATGTGAGAAGTCCACCGCAGACAACAGGTATTAGAGTGAGAGGTAGCTGATAGTTACCATTCTTGAAATGCCTCACAGGTTCAAACAGCAGGTCTAAGAATATCTGGATCTCCTCAGGTTGGGTCCCGGCCAGGAACCGCAGGACAATGGCCATGCGGGTGCCTGAAGCAGATTTCCCCTGAGTTTTACTCCCAGTCTTATTCTTCATTCGCCCATACAAAATTCTGAAAAGGCAAAAGCACATTATTTGTTTGCACATTAATTCTAAAATATGAGTTGTTTTATTTGCCTAAAAGGCTAGAAGAGCAACTCAATAGATTTAAATGGATATATTATAAAACACAGAAACATGAAAATAGAAATTAGATATTTAACACAGACAATGAAAAAAGTCAACAACAAAATAAGGCTAAGAGAGCTGGGTGCAGTGCTACGTGCCTGTAGTCCCAGCTACCTGAGGGGCTGAGGCCAGAGGATCACTTGAGCTCAGGAGTTTAAAGCCAGCCTGGGCAACTTAGTGAGACCACGTCTCTATAAAAAAATTCAAAAATTCAAACAAAACACAACAAAAAACAAAGCTAAGGGAAGCAGGAAGGACAAAGGCCAGAAGGTGGTTTGTTATGGGAGAAAAAGTAGGCAAATCAAAGGTAAGTCTAATGAAGAAAAAATGAAAATGAGAATATATAGATTAAAAGGAAATAAGAGAATACAATTGTAAGTAAAATAAGGAAGCTGGAAACAGTTCAATGAAAAAGCTAATTTTCAGGAAAACACATAAATATAAATAAATAAAAGGAACTTGAGAAGAAAACCCACAGAGACCGATACTTATTGGAAAACACAAAGCTAATACAGTTTACAAGTGGGCTTTTTAAACTTTCAAGGAAAAAAAATAATTTCTATGCTATGAAGTTTCATAGCAGAGAGAAAGAGGGAAACAGTCTTTTCTCATTTATTAATGTGGCATAATTGTGATATTGAGAAGGGTTAATGAAAATAAAACTACATGCCAATCTTGCTTACAAACATAAAATACAACATTTGTAACTATAGTATCCAGTGCTGCACTGAAATCAAATAAGGATTGCCCCAGGAAATGCAAGAAAGAGTCATTAGTAAAATCTACTAGATTAATACAGATTAATCGTTCCTGGTAAAAGTTAATATAATCATTTTAATATATGTTCAACAAACTTGATGAACTCTGTTACACTAAAATCCATCTATCTTGCACTTTGAATGAATCTTTTACCCATACATGATACTATTACATGCATCAGTTACTTGGAAAATATTCGTTTACTAAGTTATGCAGAAATGTCAAATGTTGACACATTTCACTGCAAACCAAAAAAAGAAATTTGTTTATTAACATTTGTTAATATCATTAATCATCTCATCAGAAAAGTCTTTAAGCATTGGGAAGATGTCAGGTTCATAGTACCAGATAAAAGTTTTCTCCAATCCTAATTTCCACTTGAATGCTAGAATTTAGTTATTGGAAATAAATGCTGACAGTTGTTTTCCTTGAAGTGGCAGGCTCACTGCGTTCATGTTCAAGAAAATGCCTGTGAAAAGAATCCTAGCGTATATGTCTTACAAATAAGAAAAGTAGCTAGTTCAGCTTGTACATCAAATACTCACACGGGTGCCATTCATTGAGACAGCCCATGCACAGCAAAAGTATTTTATGCATTCTTCCCACTTTATCATACATGTACTCAGGGTCAAGACTCATCAAGTGTGTTTGTTTGTTAAATAACTCCAAGTATGTGGCAATGAAGAATGACTAGTAGAATTTGGTGCCACCGTCTTGATTCATGTGCTAGGGTACTAGGAGTTTTACCCACCATTGTTTTTGCCTTGTCAGTACAAATGTCAACACAGTGAAAAAGATAATGTCTTAGTAGTAGTAGCATAAAAAACTTTTGGCCAGCAGCAGAGGCTCAAACTACTTGAAGAAGGCATCGCTGATAAGGACACATTTGAGATGAGACCAAATGAATGAGATGTCAGCTGGCATGTCTTCTATGCAGAGGGATGAGCAAGTGCAAAGAATTTAAAGTGGGTTCTGAGAGAGGTGGTAAACAGGAAGAAATATGGTTATAGATATCATTTGAAGCCACCATATCAAGCCCTGTAGGTAGCAGTAAGGACTTTCTATTATATTCTGAGTAAAATGAGATGTCAAAAGGTTTGTAAACAGGGGACTAACATAATCTGTGACTGCTATTACCATTTGTGATTTTTTTAATAGAGAAAATACAAGAAAACCCAATGACAACTACTAACGCTAATAAAAGTTTTGTCATGTGGATGGCTAAATAACACAAAAATCAATAGCTTTTATATATAATTAGTTATGTAGCAAAAATAAGCTAAAAAATATAAAATGGAAAATTCCCTCTACAAGAACAAAACGTAGTTATAAAATGAAAACACTTTATTGAAAGACTACAAAAAAGGAATGATTTGAATAAATGAATATAAATACTGATGCAACTTCTCCTCAAATCAAAAGGGGAAATTACTTTGGGAAAATCAAAGTAAATGTTCATCTAGATTCTAGAAAAAACCAAAATATTTTGGAAAGAAAGGACTAATGAGATTTGTGATTGTTATTATAAACAAACCAGTGCAGAATTGGAACAAGGCAGATTAATGTAAAACCAGCAAAAGCCAACTGAAGAGTCAATTATACATGGATATTTAGTGCATATTAAAAGTGGCACTCTGGCTGGACGTGGTGGCTCATGTGTGTAATCATAGCACTTTGGGAAGCCAAGGTGGGGGGACAGCCTGAGCTCAGGAGTTTTGAGACCAGCCGGGACAACATCTCTACAAAAAAATACAAAAATTTTCAGCTGGTGAAACTCCGTCTCTACAAAAAAATACAAAAATTAACTGGGCGTTTTGGCACGTGCCTGTAGTCCCAGGTACATGGGGAGCTGAGGCGGGAGGATCGCTCGAGCCCAAGAGATCGAGGCTGCAGTGAGCTGTGCTGGCACCACTGCCTTCCAGCCTGGGTGACAGAGAGAGACCTCGTCTCTGAAATAAATAAATAAATAAATAAATAAATAAATAAATGTGGCTCTCAAATCAGTAGAGAAAGTTTAGACTTTTTTAAAAAAATTATTATTATTTATTTATTTATTTTTTTATTTTTTTGAGACAGAGTCTCGCTCTGTCATCCAGGCTGGAGTACAGTGGCGCGATCTCAGCTCACTGCAACCTCCACCTCCCGGGTTCAAGTGATTCTCCTGCCTCAGCCTCCCAAATCGCTGGGATTACAGGCACGTGCCACCACGCCCAGCTTATTTTGGTATTTTTAGTAGAGTTGGGGTTTCACCATGTTGGTCAGGCTGGTCTCCAACTCCTGACCTCGGGATCCATCCACCTCCGCCTCCCAAAGAGCTGGGATTACATGCGTAAGCCACCAGGGGGCGTCCAGCTGAAAGTCTGGATTTTTTAAGTGAAATGGTATTGCGACAATTGGGTAACACTATTTGGAAAGAAATTAGGTTTAATCCTTACTTCATTTCATACATCAAAATAAATTCCAGATGAATAAAATAATCAAATTAAAACAAACAGAATGAGAAGAAAACAGAGAGGAATATTATTTACCTGGTTTTAGAAAATACAAGTTGTCAGACATTAAAAAAAAATTTCATGAGAAAATAAACACAAATGACCCATAATCTTTTAAAACAATTCATCTTCACTAGTAAACCTAAAATATGTGAAGTCATACAACATGATATCATTTATCACTGACAAATTAGCAAGAATTAAAACAATCAAAAAATAATAACAACAAACACCCTAGTGTTGGAATGGTGTGAAACAGGCATCCTACTGCTGGTAGGAATATAAAGTGGTTCAAACTTATGGTTGGAAAGAAGTAGTTCTGAACAACAATTTGGTAATATACACCAAAAAGTTTTAAAATTTTCATCAATTTTCCTATCAAGAATCTATTCTAATCCATCAATCGAATAAGATTTATAGGTATTCAATGTAAGATTTTCTATTTTGCAAAAAAACCAAAATAAACAACAAAAACTACAGACAGGCAAAATGCTCAACACAAGTAAATGACAGCTTGTCTATATGATGAAGAATCACATTTTGAAACATTTCATGATCTAAGAAAATTCTTGTAAAATATTAAGTGAAAAAAGGTTATAAAACGTTTTATAAAATATCATCTCAATTTTCTTTCAAAAACTTGTATGGGTGTATTATTTAGATGTTTTTTGGTAGCTTGTATTCAACTACTCTGGACTTCATACAACCATCTGCTTTTTACTCTTAGAAATTTAAAATATACAAGTATTGCGGATGTTTCCTATTTACTATTGTTTTTGAGATTATAAAGTTGATAGTTATTTTTGAGTGTTTGGATATAAGATGATTTCTGCTTTCTATTTTTATTGTTTCTGTAATCCACCAATAACTGTAATTTTGTATATTCACTTATTCACTCCCTCAAATATTTTTATGTCTATTATAGTAAAGTTCTTAAAGCTTGCTATAAATGGAATCTTAATGCTGGCTACAAATGGAACTAAACAGAGCCATTAGATAAGTGCTAGCAGAGTCCCTGAGCATATCTGAACCAGCTCCTATTAAGGAAACAGAAGCCCAGTGGATCTAAAAGACTTTCTCTATCTGATAGAACTACACAGTAGGGGGCTGGACCAAAAGCAAACCTGTTAAATCCCAATCCCATGATCTTTCCAATTCTCATCATTCCAGAGCTGGTGAGATGAAAGATTTAAGCTTCATTTTTCTTTATACCCAGCATATATAAACTTTGTATTATTTATGGATCATCTTTTTGCTCTACCATTTATAATTAAAGGAATAATAACATCATTAAATATCACATGATATTTGGAAAACAGAGTGAAATATTTCTACTGTATCTCAACAGTAAAATTTAGGAAAATATTAAATTTAATTATATTATTGTCACAATAATACTATGGTAAGATCTTCTTTATATTAGGGCCCAGGCGCAGTGGCTCACGCCTGTAATCCCAGCACTTTGGGAGGCAGAGGCGGGTGGATCGCCTGAGGTCAGGAGTTCAAGACCAGCCTGGCCAACATGGTGAAACTCTTTCTCTACTAAAAATACAAAAATTAGCCAGGCATGGTGGCGCACGCTTGTGATCCCAGCTACTCAGGAGGCTGAGGCACAAGAATAGCTTGAACCTGGGAGGGCGGAGGTTGCAGTGAGCTGAGATCACACCACTGCACTCCAGCCTGGGTGACAGAGCGAGACTCCCTCTAAAAAAAAAATAAATAAAGATCTTTCTTTATGTTAGGAACAAAATTTAGTCTCTATACCAATTTGGCTTCTCCCAAAGGTACAATTCAAAAAAAAAGCAGCTGGCGGTGATGGCTCACATTTGTAATCTTAGCACGTTGGGAGGCCAAGGTGGGAGCATCACTTGAGCCTGGGAGGTCTAGGCTGCAATGAGCTGTGATCATGCCACTGCACTCCAGCCTGGGTGACAGAGCAAGACCCCATCTCCAAAGAAAATGCAATCAAAAGAAAATAGAAAATGAAATATTCTATTACAGTTGTTGAAAGAACCATAATACTGTACTCACAATTGTGTTTGTTATTAACTTTTTAAAAATCAGTGTTTGAACAGCATAAATACCTCATCAGAATAGGAAATAGATCTGCTCGGTGGGCTGTTTTCACTACAGCATTATCTTCTGAAATGCTAAAATGCACTATCTCTTCCTTAAAGCTTCTGTCTTCAAGCAACCTTTGTAAGTTTTCCCTTTAAAAACAGAGAACAGCACAAATCACCACTTTATCAACAGTGCTTTTGAATAATGAAAGAGTGAAATATGTACACAGAGTAATAACTAAAATAAGGTATATAGTACATATTATGGTTGATATCCATAAAGGAAAATCCTCAAAAAAATCTCCTAAAATGACAGATTTGTACATTTCAAAAGGTATAACGGATTAGAAAAGATTAGATTCTGTCCATAACTCAGCTGTTTAAAAAAGCATGATACAAAAAGCTTTCCTCAGTTCTTAGAGTGACTTTGATTCTCTAAGTAACCACCAAGATTCTATGGCATTATATTAATAAGAAGAGGAAAATGACATAATATTTACAACACAGTTTTAAAATTAACATTCTCTATTTTAGTATCATGGAGAACAACCCAACAAATATACTACTCGTTTTCATTTCTTGCTTGGAAATACGATGACCTCAGAAAAAAGGGAAACTTTCTAGGCCTTTAATAAATTATTCTAGAAGAGGCTCTTAGGCAGAAATATAAAAATCAGCTGAAGAAATAACAGTTCTTTAAGCTTCAAGTAACTTACCTGTAAGGGAGGACATGAGGATGTTTATATGTCATTATGCAATCCAAGGTTATTTTTTGCACCATTTGATCTTGGTGTAGCAACAACTAAGAACAGTATTTTACAGAATTAATGAAGTCATATATACATATACCATAGGATAGCAATTTACTTGTGGTTATTTGCTAAATGAGATTTGAAAAATTCTAAATTTTTACACAAGACCTAAACCTGATTGCTAACAACAGCTTCACATTTTCCTGGAAGTAAAAAAAGATGAACAGAATATATGCAAAGTAAAAATGGAAACAAAACTCTCTGACACCTGCATCCCACAGTCATACCCTGGGGTCTACCAGCTTTTGGGTGAGGCCAATCCTCTCTCTCTTTCTCTTTTTTTTTTCAAACAGAGTCTTGCTCTGTTTTCCAGGCTGGAGTGCAGTGATACGATCTCGACTCACTGCAACCTCTGCCTCCTGGGTTCAAACGATTCTCCTGCCTCAGCCTCCCGAGAAGCTGGAACCACAGGCACCCACCACCACACTTGGCTAATTTTTTTGTTTTTGGTAGAGACGCAGTTTCACCATGTTACCCAGGCTGGTCTCGAACTCCTGAGCTCAGGTGATCTGTCCGCCTTGGCCTCCCAAAGTGCTAGGATTACAGGCGTGAGCTACTGTGTGCAGCCTGGTGAGGCCGATTCTCTATGTGAATCTGGATTTAAGCCAACTAGGCTGGTCATGTACTAAGGAAAATCTCTTATCCTATGAAGGTAATGATAGTCAATAAGATGCCAGAAGAAACATCCAAATGAAAAATGAAAATTTTGTTTCCCCAGATGGCTTAGAATTACATCCAATGCTTACTTCATTTCTGATATTAATTTTTTTCTGCAAGCTTATCTGAAATTCAGGGCCACGTAATTATGACTGCAATGGACTACAATAGATCCTGAAATCCCAGTCCTCTATGAAGTCTGACTAAACTAGAAGGGAAAAGTAGTCACTTGTTTTTTTGTATAAACCCTACTCCCTTCTAAAAGCTAATTTCCATGATATAATTCATGCTTTGCTATTCTCACTGTTGACACAGCCAATCAATGTTTAGTCACCCAAAATGCCTTCAAAATCAGCTAAGTTAGTGCTAAAACTGTTTCTCAAGATAACAGAAAATATGTCTATTAATTAAAAAAAAAAAGGCTTTAATACTTAAAATGTAGACATGGGCCCTATTCAGCAATTATTGAAAATCTAAGCTACTCTGACAAAGAAAATGATAGAGAAAAGTTCACAAAGAATTATAATGCCAAGAGTTTATTTTACTGACCTGAAGATATAACTCATATAGTTTGGATTCCAGATATAAGGCCCGTGGATTTGAAAATTTAGAGAAAACTTGCAAATGAGCAATTAATTGCCTAAACAAAAACAAAACAGAGAGTGTTACAGAATTAAAGAATTGAGATCATTTTCTTAAACTGACATCTACAATTTTATTCTGACTAGAACTTCAAACACCCCGCCTATAGTTTCACTATTATATAAACAAGGCTTAGTTATTTACATTTAGGAAATTATTCTCCAGAAATCCCATATTTTGGGCAGGCCTGTCCCTAAAATTCAGGTTCTCCACACCAAAAAATCATTCAGTGTGTGCTCAGAATGGTTTAAATTGAACAAAAATTAGAAAGTAACCAAACTAGTAAAATATTCCAAAATTAAACTCAGATGATTTTTGGAATTATTCCTTGTCTAGGTTCTATGTGGCAGACAGGAAAGTAGTAGAATATATTCTCCCTCACTTTATTATAATGTAAATACAGATGTCAGGCAACAGAGGTCCAGGTTAAGGCAACCAATGGCTGTTGCTCACCAACAAGGAAGAAGAAATATATCTGAATATTTTCAGACTGTGGTTGACCATGGGTAACTGAAATCGTGGGAAGTGAAACCATGGATAAGGGGAGAGTATTGTATAGTGACATGAAGGCTGGCCATAATCTTTCCTGCCCCTGTGCTTCATACACTATTTCTGTTAGTGGACAAGACTTTCTTGGTTCTAGCTGTCTGGCAAACTTTCATCTTTCAGCATCAGAGAGCCTTCCCTGGGTCTTTTTTTTTTTTTTTTTTTCAAGATGGAGTCTCAATCTGTGGCCCAGGCTGGAGTGCAGTGGCACAACCACGGCTCACAGCAACCTCTGCCTCCTGGGTTCAAGTGATTCTCTTACCTCAGCCTCCCAAGTAGCTGGGATTACAGGCGTGCACCACCATGCCTGACTAATTTTTATATTTTCAGTAGAGACAGCGTTTTACCATGTTGGCCAGGCTGGTCTCAAACTCCTAACCTCAAGTGATCCACCCACCTCGGCCTCCCAAAGTGCTGGGATTACAGGTGTGAGCCACCACGCCTGGAATTCCTTACTGTGCTCCAATAACTTCTTTAAAAATATTTCTCCTATAAAAATATTTCACCCAGGCAGGATTGACTATGACTCCTGCATTGCAGTGGCTCTGTACAATTTATCTCTGCACACCAGCACTTAGCAAAGGGTACTCAATACAGTTGTTGAATGGATGAACTAATAAATGGCTCAGGGGAAATACGCAACAAATGGGCATATCAGATTGAGATCTAAAGTGTTAAAATAATATTTGCACCAATCCAGTGGACCTGAGACACTCAATTCAGACAATCATCAAGTAAGCTGAAGTAACTTCTAAAAGCATGATCACTTCTTCTTTTAGGTTTCTAACAATTTAGGTAAATGAACAACTAAAAGAATAAGAAAGAGAGTATAACAACAGCATGAGAAAAAAGTAACCAGTAGAAGGCAAGTTAAAAGGCAGAGAAAAGTGCTAACAGGATGGTGGGGAAGGTGGGTGGAAGGAAAAAAAAATTGCTAACATGCTTATTTTTAAGAAAAAGGATGTTCCATTACATGTTCCCCTAGCATGCAAACACAATACCCTCACGCTGGGAAAGTGCACGACAAAGGTCAAAAGAATATCCAAACACTCCAGGTCCCAAAGTTCTCATCTATAAAAAGGAGCTACAATTAGATGACTCTCAAAAGTCCCCCAATCTAACATTATGTAGCTAACCAAGAAAAAACTAATAAGTAATCAACCAAAAAACTTGGAAGCCTGACAGTTTTAGGCTGTTAAAGAAAATCCCAGGAAGATGTAGCGCTTACGTAAATAATTATCTGAGTAGTTGATTTTGTATAAAGCCGTAAGAGACCTCTTCCTGTTCCTCCCAGAACTGTGGATCTGTGATCTTTCAGCAATGGTGAACTTACTTTGCTGCAGCTCTCCTCGTCTTTTTCTTCTGTGAGGATTCATCTTGGGGCACTGCCTCTTCCTCCAACTCTTCATCATCTCCTGCGGCAGGTTCCTCTTCGATTTCCTCTGCCACCATCCCTTTGCCTTTTCTCCGTAGATCCTGGGTTGGAGCAACTTGCAGATCTGCTGGGTAATACTCATTGCTACCGTGGAAAGAAAGTCACAGGATACTGATGAAGAACGCACACCAATCTGAAAGGTGCTGATTCTGTTCATGAGAGATGTCCACAGTTCACAGAATCACACACTGAAGAGACATAGTGGTACCTTAGGCAAGCTTCCACAATATTACTCTTTCCTAACTTGGTCCTTCTTTAGTATGCTATTTGACAAGCGATTCACTAACTGTAGAAGATAGCCCATTCCACTGTTATACTGTTGAAAATATTTGAAATGTCTATTTTGGACTAAGTGGAAATCAGCCTCCCTGTCTCTGGAACCACCACTGGGGGATGAGGGGTTAGGGATGGATGATATTAAATGATTAAAGTATAGCATTAGGACTGTGCTGGTCACTTTCCATCAGATACATTCTACTTTGCCAAAGTTCTCTTGAAAATATAGTACCACCACAAAATTTAGTCCTCCAGGTATGGATTGATAAGACAGATGGAACTACCATCTCCAGAACTTTTTTGAGCAGCCACAACATGACAAAGATTGAAACTGAATGTCCATGTAATGAAAATCAGTGAGTCTTTATGTTTTATCTCTCTAAACTAAGCTTGTGCAGCTAAGCTTAATACAGTATTCACTTTGTTCTTATTAAATTTCATCCTTTATTTTTAGTCCAATGTTGCAATTAATGAATATTATCTTGAAGTCTGTCATTTAATGCATTAGTTTATGTCACTTTCATTCACTCACCCAAACAATTAACCTTTTGTTGTCTATTGAATGCAGGGCACTGGGCTAAAGATGCTAGGAAACTGATTGGATGGCCTTTCAAGTCCTCACTCAAAAACACACTGATAAAATAACATGTTTGAGGACAGCACCCTACCAACCCTCCTAAAAGAAACTCTAGCTTAGCCCAAGTTAACCTCCAGATCGATAACACTAAACTACAATCTGAGGGCTGGGACACTGTGGTACTTGGTATTTTCATCTGGCAGAATCTAGCACTTAATAAATCAAAAAATGGATGAATGAAACAAGTAAAGTTTCTATAAGTTACAAACTGCACCATCATCCACTTAATATCATACCTATTATACTTACAACATTCAATTAACCACACATTACATACTGTAACCTTTATCTCCGTGAACAGCATGTTCACTCATTCATTTATTAAATAAAACAATTCACACAAAGCATCCATAAGAGTGTCCAGCACACAGTGAGTACTCACTAAATGTCACCTTTTATTGGGATGCTGTTGCCATTGTTAGTCATTCGTTCTTGTTCCTGGTTTGGTTCGTCTCAGAGAATGTTTACAAGGGATTCACAAATTAGTTCTAATACCAAATTAATTGAAACATATTTAGAAATATAAATTGCTAGCCAAAAAATAAAAAGCCTGTAATATACTTCAAAGTCAGAATTAAAGGTGACATTTGGGTTTTCCATTAGTTCGGATCATCTATAAATGTATTATTTATAGGTAATCCATGCCAACCAGTATTAAACGTTCCTTAGAATTGTGTATCTTTAGTCTCTAAATCTTTCTAAACTCAGAGACCCACTCCCTGTTACAGGCTCCTGTTTCTACCTCTACCCCACAGCATCTTGTACCATTAGACTAAGATCTTATCCTTAAGCCGTGGGGTAAACTAATTCTTTAGGGAAAAACTTGGAAAATTAACATGGTATGAAGTTTATATGCTACTAACACCATAAATGCCAGCTGGCATATGTACAGCCCTTGCAGTTCAAAAAACTGATAAGTGTTATTTTATATAACCCTCAAAACAAAGCAAAAAAAGCTAAACATCATTCTTATTCTATAAATTTATGCCCAAAGAATTATTTGAAAAAGAGAAAATCATTGCTTTTCTGCCACTATATCTACTGACCTGCTATATCTTTGCTTGTGCCTTGCCAGAATGAATTATCCATGCAAACCTTTGAATTTATGTACTGTATCCATCTCCTCTTACCTATTTGAAGACATGGTTCTAGCCTTTTTTTTTTTTAGACGGAATCTCGCTCTGTCACCCAGGCTGGAGTGCAGTGGCACAATCTCAGCTCATTGCAACCTCTGCCTCCTGGGTTCAAGCGATTCTTCTGCCTCAGCCTCCTGAGTAGCTGGGACTACAGGTGCATGCCACCAGGCCCGGCTAATTTTTGTATTTTTGGTAGAGACAGGGTTTCACCATATTGGCCAGGCTGATCTTGAAACCCTGATCTCATGATCTGCCCACCTCGGCCCCCCAAAGTGCTGGGATTACAGGTGTGAGCCACCGTGCCTGGCCAGTTCTAGCCATTTTATCCTTTCTTGCATTACCAATTTTCCCCTCCCGTCTGGATCACTTGCACTGGTATCACATACACACACAGTTAAGTCTTTTTTTGGGAGCAGAGACAAAGTCTCGTTCTGTCTCTGTTGCCCAGGTTGGAGTGCCGTGGCACGATCTCGGCTCACTGCAACCTCTGCCTCCGGGTTCATGTGATTCTCCTGCCTCAGCCTCCCAAATAGCTGGGACTTACAGGCAGGCACCACCATGCCCAGCTAATTTTTGTATTTTTAGTAGAGACGGGATTTCACTAGGCTGGTCTCGAACTCCTGACCTCATGTGATCTGCCCACCTAGGCCTCTCAAAGTGCTGGGATTATAGGTGTGAGCCACTGTGCCCAGCCAACACTGTTAAGTCTTAACCCCAACGACAACAGCTCCCTCTCTGCCCCGGCATTTCCCTCCACCTACATCCCTATGTCTGTTTCTTTTTTACTACAAAAACTGTCCAAACTTGCTGTTTTCATTTTTCTTTTCCTCTTTCTTGAGCTTCTTTTTTTTTTTTGAGACAGAGTCTCGCTCTGTCGCCCAGGCTGGAGTGCAGTGACACAATTTTGGCTCACTGCAACCTCCACCTCCCGGGTTCACGCCATTCTCCTGCCTCAGCCTCCCGAGTAGCTGGGACTACAGGCACCCACCACCACGCCTAGCTAATTTTTTGTATTTTTAGTACAGACAGGGTTTCACCGTGTTAGCCAGGATGGTCTCGATCTCCTGACCTTGTGATCCACCAGCCTCGGCCTCCCAAAGTGCTGGGATTACAGGCATGAGCCACTGCACCCAGCCAAGCTTATTTTAATTAGGCTGTCATCCCTATCAGATTAATCAAAACAACTCATTAAGGTCACCTTCATGTGGGTCACTCTGACTAAGGTCACTCCAAAGCCAACGGTCACTTTATTCCTCACCTGATGGACTTTTCAGACACATCTGAGTCAACTGTTTACTGCCGCCTTTAGTCTCTTCACTTGATTTCCAGGATAGCAAGTGGTCTTTCTTCTTTTATCACTCTTTCCTGGCTTCCTTTGCTGGTTCCTTATCTCCCAACTTCTAAATATTGGTATCAGTCCCTGAAAGTCTTTTCTCTCTACAGTCACACTCTAGATGACTTTATTCCGTATCTGATCATTTAAAATACCATCCATATATTGATAATTTCCAATTTGTTATCTCCAGATCAAACCTTTCCCTTGAGCTTTGAACTTCTAAATTAAATGCCTCTCTACATGACAACTCTACTTGGTTATTTATTCAGTGTCCTAAACTTAAAACATCTAAAAATGAACTTTTAATTCTCCCCCACAGACCTGCAACTCCTGCATTCCTCCTATCTCAGTAAATGAGAACTTTCTTCTAGTTGCTCAGGCCAAAGCCTTAGGGAACATCCTTGATTCTGTCCCTCCCCCATTCCTTCCCTCCCTCCTTCCTGTCCCACTCCCCACCACACACACCCGTCCCACATCTGATCTGCTGGCAAATCTCACAGGCTGATCTAGTTGCAACCTTTCATAAATGTTATCTTATCGAATTGAAATCATTCAAAAAATACCCATCTTCACTGCTATAACTTTGGTTAAGTCGCCATCACTTCTTGCTTGGACTTGCAATCTCCTCATGACTGGTCTCTCTACTCTCACCAATGTCATTCTACAGTCTATTCTCAACACAGCAGCCATAAAAATCCTTAAGAAAACTTAGGTCAGGTCAGCCTTCTGCTTAAACCTCCAAATGGCTTCTCATTTCACCAAAAGTAAGAGCCAAAGTCCTTCCTATCACTTAAAGGCCTACACACTTTCATCTCCTGCTGACTTTCTGCCCTCATCTCCAACCATGTCCTCCCTGGATCATTCTGCTAGAACCACTCAGATCTTGCTGTTCATTGAACAAGCCAGGCATGTTGTGGTTTATGGCCTGCTTGACCTAACCCTACAGCATTTTCCCAGGAAACTACTATAGGAAAACATGCTTTTTATGTATTACTTAATAATGTTCTGCACACCACACCCCTCATCTTTAGTTTTAATACAATCAGACTCTCACATAGCATATCCAGTTAAAACAAAACAATGCTCCAGAAAACTCTTGTTATTCCTCAGCATCATAGGCAGAAACATCAAGAGGCCCCAAGCAGTGTTGCTGTTGGGTCACTGGAAAATACCTTCAAGCCCCAGGCAGGCAATAAAATAATGAATAACAGGGCAAGAAATAATAAGGCCTTTCTACATGAATCAAACTCAGTGTGGCCCTTCTTATACTGTAACCCGGAATTTTTTATTAATACCACTGGTGTGCTGGTTAAATTTTGATTTAGATCAAAATCAAATGGTGAACTAAACTAGTTTAGTTGTTATCTGATAGAGCCAGTGCTTTGTAGCTGTGCCAATGATTTGAAAACGTGACAGATGTATAAAGAACTCAGCCTAGGCTGGGCGTGGTGGCTCACGCCTGTAATCCCAGCACTTTGGGAAGCCGAGGTGGGTGGATCACCTGAGGTCAGGAGTTCAAGAACAGCCTGACCAACATGGAGAAACCCCGTCTGTACTAAAAATACAAAATTAGCCAGGCGTGATGGCGCATGCCTGTGCCCAGCTACTCTGGGAGACTGAGGCAGGAGAATCGCTTGAATCTGGGAGGTGAAGGTTGCAGTGAGCCGAGATCGCACCACTGCACCCCTGGGCAACAAGAGCAAAACTCTGTCTAAAAACAAAACAAAACAAAACAAAAACAAAAACAAACAAACAAAAAATACCTCAGCCTAATGGATGATTGGAAGCAGAAAGAAAGAAGGCAAAAAACAAAGAACTCAGCCACTTTGGGAGGTTAATACTTCTCACATTCTCTTCTTCATGCCCCACCAGGGACATATTCTTAGAAGAGGAAACTTACTTGATAAATCTCAAGAAAAGCGGGGAAAGCTCCCTGGACCGTGGCTCTACTCTTTCTGGGAATTTGGTCAGAGCTCTCCAGAGCAGGAATCTGAAGTTGGTGTGGTCAAGTCTTTCCTGACAGTCAGTTTTCAATGCTAACTGCTCATGATAAAGAGCTCCAACATCTCCTTCCTGGGTCTGCTCCCAACTTTCATCTCCAACGGACTTCTCATCTGTCATATCATTCTGTAGTTCCTTCTCTGCAAGAAAGAAAGTTGTCATAACCACCAGACAAATATCAACATTTATCTTAAGTGTTTTCTCAAGAGAGGGCATTTCTTTCTCTATAATGTAAGGAAAGAATGTCACTCCCAAAAGTTATCATGATAATATATGTTTCATCTCTGTTTTCCAATTTCGTGAGTAATTAAGCAATAAAAACAAAACAGTTAAACAACCACTTTTCTTCGCAGCTTCCTCACAACCCCTTTACATACCAGCATGCGTAGCTGCTTTTTCTAGATGCTCATAGTAGACTTTCCAAAATTGCTTATTTTCCATTTCGTGTGCATGAGAACTAAGGGAAAAAAAAAATCACAAAATAAAAAGTGTGGTATGGCCATTTTAAGATTGCTCATAGAAAAAAAAAAAAGAGTGAAAGGATATAACTAAAATGTCAATTAGGTTATCCCTCAATGTGGAGTCGTAAACACCTTTTGCACTTTTCTATATTTTTCAAAATGCCTGCACTGAGCACAAATCATTTTTATAGTCATAAAGCACTAAAGAGTATTTTTAAAAATATAAGTAGATCCTTAAGAGAAAATCATTTTTAAAGGCACACTGATGAAACTGGGGCATGGGGCATGAATAAGATCCATTAAGAGAAGAAGGGGCCCTCTGGAGAGAAAAGTCAGTTTGTTCAAAACTAACTTAAAAATAATTAGTTTCCCTCCACCAAATTTAAATATACTTATTAACACAAAGACAAAATAAACATTCACTAACTACATGAAACAACTTTTCAGAACTTAAAAGGAGACATTAGATGGATCACATAAAGTGCTTATGTAGTTTGATATCCTAGCAACAATACTCTCAAATATTCTATCACTAATTTTCTAAGAATATGCATAAACTTTACACATGACATGTATTATATATGTTGGGAACTGACTCTACTCAGAAAACAAACCAACAGGTATGTTGTTGTTTCTATCCTTCCAAACAGAAAGAGGTACCCAACAGGAAGACAGCCCAGCCACTAGGGAGAATGCCTCATGGCATTCAGTAATTAAAGAACCAACACTGTTGATAGTGTGCTACTGGTAATATGTATGTCAAATTCTCTCTTCTGAAAGTGTAATAAACAAAATAATGAAGCTGATGTTGGGAGAATCTTGCTTTTGGCACACTGGTTTTGATGGCTTTGAAAGGTAGTAAAAGGTAGACAAATTGTAGTAAAAGGTAGACAAGGGTAGTAAAGGTAGACAAATTAGTTTCAAATTGTAAAGGGATCTGTCTATAAATGTTAACTCTCTTATTCTGTCAAGTAAGAACTAATAACTAATCGTTGGGGTTTTGAAAGGCCTCACACGACATATTTCCAATCTGATAATCTGATAAAAAAAGTGAGTGTGTATTATCTGAAGACAAATGTCTGAAGACAGATTTCTACACATGAGCCATAACATGTATTTTTTTTTTTTTTTTTTTTTGGGAGACAGAGTTTCACTCTTGTTGCCCAGGCTGGAGTGCAATGGTGCAATCTCGGCTCACCACAGCCTCCACCTCCCAGGTTCAAGTGATTCTCCTGCCTCAGCCTCCTGAGTCGCTAGCATTACAGGAATGTGCCACCATGACTGGCTAATTTTGTATTTTTAGTAGAAATGGTGTTTCTCCATGTTGGTCAGGCTGGTCTCGAACTCCCGACCTCAGGTGATCCACCTGCCTCAGCCGCCCAAAGTGCTGGGATTACAGGCATGAGTCACCGTGCCCGGCCTATAACATGTATTTTCTATGTGACCACTGAAGACATTTTGGGGCTAAAGGGATTTTGGATGCTAGACAGCAAGGTTTTGAAAAAGTCTTTATTTTTAAAGTATGGCTCAATGACTCAAAATATAGAAATAAAATTATGCAATTATTATACTTCCTTGCTGTAACAAATTTTAATAACACAAAAGTATCATAAAAAGCAAAAAGAGAAACTCCTTCAAAGTTATTTCAACACACAAAGAGACACACGTATAATATTGGAACTACTGAAGATGTGGCATCAGAGAGAATAATTCATGTTTATTTTTAATTTACCTTGTCTCACAAAGGATTTAAAGTACTGTAAATACCATATACACCCATTCATTTAAATCACACCCAGAAGGAGAATAATCTGGGCCCCATCATTCTGCAGTAGTTAAAGTATAATAGTTTCATCCCATTTAACCCATGTTTACCTTATGAGTTCAATAACAGGATCCCAGAGTGCACTGAAATTAATATATAGCATGCCTAACAAATAACGAAGCGGCACCTGCAATTACAAAAGACTAGTTTAGTATTGGGTAATGAAATACAGTATAGAACAGAAGTACTGAAATGCAAACATCCCAAGTTGGACAACCTGAGGTTTGGAAAGAAGCCTGTGCGATAAGAAAAAAAGTTGCAGGCACCAATCCAAAATTCAATGTATACTAATTTTCCTCTTCTCCCCAAAATGTCACTCACTATTTAAAATAGAAGAATCGCTACAGCAAACATAGTATTCAAATTCACTCCAGGTATTCATTCATTTAAATGAACAGATTTGACTAATGATTAAACTCCCTTCTAACAAATGTTGCTGTCACCAGATTAAGACAAAACTTCAACAGCAGTCAGAAATGCACACATGCCGAAGAACGCAAGGAAACATGCTGTGAATGACTGAGGCTTTGCAAGTTCAGTAAAAGGGTCTAAAGTTTCCCGGTCACCTTTTGGAATAAGGGTCATTATTACTAACATTCCCATGTGCTAGGGAGGCACCATCCAGACTGGTAGTTTTATTATTATTTAGGGATGGGGTGTTTGTATATATTCTAGAAGCAGTCTTTTTTCCAAATGAAACAGAAGTATATTTATATACCTAATTTATAAAACAGGTAAGAGAAGAACTGCTCTGACTGAAGGGAGAATGCCTCCTTTTGGCCTTACTCCCAAAGAGGTCTGTGATGTATCTTCAAGGGTCATGGAATGAAAACCCTGATATAAAACATAGAGGGCTGGGCCGGGCGCAGTGGCTCACGCCTGTAATCCCAGCACTTTGGGACGCCGAGGAGGGCGGATCACGAGGTCAGGAGATCAAGACCATCCTGGCTAACACGGTGAAACCCCATCTCTACGAAAAATACAAAAAAATTAGCCAGGTGTGGTGGCATGCACCTGTAGTTCCAGCAACTCGGGAGGCTGAGGCAGGAGAATGGTGTGAACCCGGGAGGCTGAGCTTGCAGTGAGCAGAGATTGCGCCACTGCACTCCAGCCTGGGTGACAGAGCGAGACTCCATCTCCAAAAAAAAAAAAAAACATAGAGAGCTGATGTTCTGCAGCAGCAAACAAATCTAGTGAAGAAGAGCAAGCTTTAAACCTGACATTAAATCCTGTTGCCACTACCTACCTACCTACCTGCGTCACTCAGGTTCAATGAGCCCCTGCTTACTCATTTCTAAAAAGGTACTAACATGGCCAGGTACAGTGGCTCATGCCTGAAACAGAGAATACTAAATTATTCCTGCTACTTAAAAAAGCTGGTAGAGCTGTTTAACTCAAAGCATCTAAGAGAACTGGGGATTTCCCTTATTATTTTTAAATTATTATTATTATTATTATTATTATTTTGGTGACTACTTGATGTGCTTCCCCAAACAGGATTTAAAGCATGAATTAAAAAGGAAAAATAAAAGAACACTATTTTTACCTCCTGTAACGGCCCATCAGGGACAGCAGTCTGTACCACATCATGTCTTAGTTTTCTCAAATGAAGAAGCTTCTCTCTATAATCATTCACAGTTGCTGGAACAAGTTCTGCCTGGCGTAATATAGCAAAGACAGACTGCCGCTCTGAGAGCCCATCATCCTGAATAACCAGAGAAAACCATGGAGAAGACCAGTCAGTATTTTGATTTTCCAAAAAGAACATTAAATGTGACCAAAGGTCTAAAAATAGAAAAACTGGAATATGTTAATATTTTTAATGAAATAAGTAACACTTTTTTTTTTGGTAAATGATTCTTTTCTCCCCATACCATTTACTTCTTGGTAGATAATTTAGTGTCTAGTGCATAAATGACAACTAAACAACAGGAAAATCATTCTCAAGTCACTCAAATTGATTGGCAACATTTGTTGAAATAAAAATAAAATGCACATACGCTTTTGCTTCACAAATCTATTCCTAGTAATCTGCATTATGGAACTATTTCCCTACATAAACATATCCGTATAAGGATGTTCACTGCAGTATTGTTTGAAATCCTAAAAAAATGCAAAACCTACCTAACCATCCGTCAACAAGAAAATGGCTAAATAAGACATTTTCAACTGTGGAGTAGTATTCAAACTTCAAAAGGAATGAGATAGATATTGGCTGGGTACAGTGGCTCACACCTGTAATCCCAGCACTTTGGGAGGATGAGGTGGGCAGATCACTTGAGGTCTGGAGTTCGAGACCAGCCTTGCCAACATGGCAAAACTCCATCTTTACTAACAATACAAAAATTAGCCAGGCGTGGTGGCAGGCACCTATAATCTCAGCTACTCAGAAGGATGAGCCAGGAGGATCGCTTGAGCCGGGGAGGTGGAGACTGCAGTGAGCCGAAATCACGCCACTGCATTCCAGTCTAGGTGACAGAGTGAGACCCCGTAAAAAGAAAAGAAATGAGGTATGTGGTAGATATAGAGGTAATCATATGGAAAAACCCCATTTGTTTAAATTATGTGTGTGTGTGTGTGTGTGTGTGTGTGTGTATTCAAAAAGTTTGAAAGAATATTTGCCGATTAATGGTGGATTTTCAGTGGTGACTTTATTGGTAGACAGGAGTAAGAGTTACCAAAAAAAAAAAATCAATTTTTTTTTTTTTTTTTGAGACGGAGTCTCGCTCTGTCGCCCAGGCTGGAGTGCAGTGGTGCGATCTCGGCTCACTGCAAGCTCCGCCTCCCGGGTTCACACCATTCTCCTGCCTCAGCCTCCCGAGTAGCTGGGACTACAGGTGCCCGCCACCACGCCTGGCTAATTTCTTTTTTTGTGTTTTTGGTAGAGACGGAGTTTCACCATGTTAGCCAGTATGGTCTCAATCTCCTGGCCTTGTGATCCGCCCGCCTCGGCCTCCCAAAGTGCTGGGATTACAGGCGTGAGCCACCGCGCCCAGCCAAAAAAATCAATTTTTACGACAGATATTTATATAGTGTGTTAATTTTCTGCAAAGGTATCATTTTGGAAACCACAATAATATGTAAAACTATATTTTTTTAAAACCTATCCACTCAAACAGTTAAAATACCTCCATTGATTCTGGAAGCTGGACATCAAAATGGTTTAGGATCCTTATTGTCAAAAGCCGAATCTGGAGAAAGTAAAAGGCATCTTTCAAATTCCAAAGTTTAACCATAAAAAGAAACTGATTCACAGTCAGCAAGATTTAAGTTTTATACAATTTAAAAAAAAAATACCATTTGACCAGAGTAATATGTGCCTATTCTAGCCCTTATTTCATATTCAACACCAACCAACACCTAGTTAAAATAGTACATGGAACAATCAGTAGTTTCTTTGAACTATGACACTATAACCATGTCTGTAAATAAGTACAAAGAAGTTGATTAAGTTGTCAATTCAATTAAAGTTAGTGATTTTTATTCCTAAGTAATGTACAATATTCAGGTATTTCCGCATACCTAAATGAGCAGGAGAACCACCTAGAAGACTTAAAAAAAAAAACTATGTTGATTTTTCAGTTCTACCCTAGCCCTACTGAATTGGAATCTTTGAGGGTAGGGACCCAGAATTTGTATTTTTATTTATCTCCCTAACTAATCCTACTGCAATTGGTTTGCAGGCCAACATTTAAGAATCATCGCTTTAAACAGAAATCATCCCACAGCAACACTTTCTAACTAAGATGCTCTGAAAACCACTGCAGTCCATATAGAAACAGGAGAAGAGAGACTGAGGACACACTACCACAAAACACCATTACCTTGGATACACCAGTTGAAATGTTTGCTTGTAACTTGGGAAATAATTCCATTAAAGCCTCCTGGGAAAGTGGCCCTTTGCAGCCACACAAGGCTAATCTCTGATAATAGAGATCAGTCAACAGCAACACAGATGGCTCCAGGGGAAAGGTTCTGCAACGAGATGTTCATTAGACCCAAACTGTACCATATAACCCAGAGTATCTAGACTATAGTATAAGCCACAGAAAATGATCACTGATGAAGAAAATGTAAAAGGTAACAGGCAAAAGTCTCACGTGGATATCTGGCTCACTTCATAGATGAAGAATCTGAGGCCCAGCAACAATGAGTGACATATGCAAGGACACACAGCTGGTTGCAGGCAGAGGTGGGAGCAGAATATGCTAGACTCCAATGTTGCCTCTTCAATCCACATAGTTGTAAATGACAGCCACTTATATATATATATATATAATATTTATTATTTAATTTATATTTTATTAAATAATATTAAATATTAAATTTAATATTTAATATAATATATACATATATAATATTTATTAAGTGTTTGTCATGTGCCAGGCACCGAGCTAATGAGGATAGTAGAGAGGAGTAGTCTGACACACGAGCTCTGGGGTAGGGCAGCCCAGGGTTGAATCTGGCACCATTACTCATAAGCAGTGTAACCTCAGGCAAGTTGCTTAACCTCTTGGTACCATCCTTATGCAACAAATATTCATTGAGTACCTACTATGTACTGTGACTTTTCTAGATACTGTAGATATAGCAGTTAACAAAAGACAAAGTTCCTTTTCCTGGAACTTATATTCTAGTAGGGGAAAGTAGCCAATAAATAAGTACTATGACAGTGATGAGCGTCATGGAGAAAGGCTCCATGAAACCAGGTTTGGAGAAACCAGGTTCTGGAGAAAACCCTGGTTTTCTCCAGAAAACCAGGGGAAAAAGGCTTGACAAAGAGATTGACATGCAGGGAGTTGTGGGGAGACGGTGTGGAGGTGAAGAGAAGCACCATTTGATACAGGGGTGCTCCTAAAAAACGGAGACCAAAGGAAGTGAAAAAGTCAGCTAAAAGGGTATCTGAAAGAAAAGCATTCTAGGCAGAGGGAACTGCAATGCCAGTCTGAGGTGTGCTTGTCTGCAGGAACATCGAGGAGGCCATCTCAGCTGGAACTAACAAAGAGTGCCTGAAGATGTCAGAACTAGCCAGGAGTTAGCTCATACGGAGCCCCGAGGAACATGATGAGGATGCTGGATTTTATAGAGTGAGATGGGATACCTCTCGAGCAAGGTTTCTCTACAGTAGCACTACTGACATTTTGGGCCAGAGAACTCTTTGTGGTGGAGGGCAGTGCTGCCCACTGCAGGGGGCTCAGCAGCATCCCTGGCCTCCACCCACTAGATGCCAGTAACAGTGCTCTTTCCCCATGCTGTGACAGCTGGAAAGTCTCCAGGTTTGCTCCCAGTTGAGAAGCACTGTATTAGAGGGTGATGAGCAAAGGAGTGGCATGATCTGTCCTATACTTAGAAGCAGCAGGGCAAGAGCGGAAGAAAGGAGTTCAGACCAGGGCTTTCTTTTGAAACTTTAGTTCCTCCATCTATACTGATAACAGTACCCACACATCATGGAATTGTTGTGACACAATCAATGCAATTGTTTATTACTATTATTGCATGCATTGTATAACTTAATCTCTACAAGGTGAGATTTCTATTCCTTCCTTTTTTTCTTCACTACCCCTTTTTGAGAGATAATCAAGTTGAGGTTAACTAAGTCACCCAAGGCTACAGCTAGTAAGTGGTGGATTCAAGAGTCAAAACCAGGCAGTCTTGGCTGTGAAACCTAGGTGCTCATCAGTCTACTAGCATAGCAAAGAGAACAGAATCCTGCATCTACTCTGCAAGTTTATGCCCCTGCCCTCAAAACCAGAGCCACTCCTGTTGGACAACTCTGTGTCTCCAAGGCTTAGAGCCACCTGGCTGGGAGGCAAGCTGGCCTTCCCCAAGGGGAACATGGACCCCATTCTGTGCTATGTGTGTCTTTTGTTTCAATTTCTACAGCCACCTTCAATTGTTTATACCAAGGGTGAAAGTATGAGAAGTTTAAACAGAATGATTTTAAAAGGGAGACTATGTAATATGGTAAATGTGGTGATGTCAAAGAACTAATCCTCTCTACAGGAAGTTAATTTAAACCAATGCAATTAACCATGGAGAAATGCCAACTTCACCCAGATTTGGAAAGGCAAAGAGATTCCAGATTATTATAGTATTCCCCTACAGTCTCAACACAGCAGCCGGAGTGATTCTGTTTAGGTCAAAGTCATTCCACTGCCAAAAATCCTCCCATGGCCTCCCCTTTCATTCAGAGTAAAAGCCAAGGCCCTACGGTGACCTAAGGAGGTCTACTGCCTCCACCTCTCTGTCCTCTTCTCCTACAGCCCACTCTCGTGCTCTGCTCAGCCAAGATGACCTCTCCTTGCTGTTCAAGCCAGGCACCCACCACCCCCACAGAGCGTTGGCATTCATGTCGCCTCCAGGTCTGGAACCCAGGGAGCAGCCCAGACCGCAGGTATCCTCATGGCTTACGTCCCTCACTGCTTTCCGCCTTCTGCTTAAGTGTCTCCTCCTCAGTAAGTTCACCTTGATTTAAAACTGCTACCGCTCCCCTCACCTCTGGACTCTCCCTATCTCCTGACCCTGCTTTGTTTTTCTTCACAGCACTTAGCACCTCCTAACACGCTATATAGTTTACTTTTTATTCTGTTTAGTGCCTCTTCTGGCTAGAGCATTAGCTACAAGAAGGCAGGGAATTTTGTCTGTTTTATTCACTATGTTTCACAGTGCCTGGAACAGGGCTTGGCATGTGAGAAAAGCAAATGATTACCTACTGAACAAAGTGAATGAATAAATCTTTAAAACACTTGGAAATAAAATGGAGTAGACTTCAGGAAAAAGCAGCAAGGCTTGACCTTTAGAAAAGATATATTGTTGGCTCCTCTCAAATGGCTCTGTGCTGCTATCAAAATCAAAGGCTGGCTAAACTATACTTAAAAAGCAAACAAAGAAACCAAACCAACAAAAAAAAAGAAACTGGATTGTTTCAGTGTGTAGTAAAAAGACCACAGGGAAGTTTTCTGAAATGCTGATCACCTCAAGTTGAGGCCGAACAAGAGTGGGAATGTGCATGTTGGAACCACTAAAGAAGTTATAAAAGGTCAACATCATGCCACGTTACAGTTGGGAATGATCAGCATTACAAACCCTTCAAACTTTACGACATTAATCTACACACGCAATAAAACACCCTTTACAAAGATGAATCTGTATTTAAAGACTGTGTCAAATGTACTTATTTTAACTGGAGGATCTAAATCAATATTAAATTTCACTACGTGAATACAACTCAGGTATAAAATAGATCAAAGGGATTTTCTTTGTGTCCAAGATTTCACAACAATAGAGGCTTTTATATTTTATTCATTACTAAACCAACTGGAAGATGTTTACTTACAATACTAAATTCTTCACACGTTCCACAGGAACCAAATGAAGAAGTTCAGAAGATTCTTCCAAACTTAGTAGAGTATTTACAGCTTGACAAAGAACAAATAAGTTTCCTAAGGGCAGAAAAACAGGAGAAACCACATTACTTATTTCTTTGACATTATTAACTATCAAACACCTTATTTATTGAATACTTGCTACTTATGGGAAGTTCTTAAAGTGAATTTATGCCTTCCAAAGAATTGTCTGTCAAACATCCAAATATAACAGAAAGAAACAGAAAAGAGAAGTTTCCAAGTCCTATATTTTACCTTTCTTAAGAAAAATACAGGCTGGTCATGGTGGCTCATACCTGTAATCCCAGCACTTTGGGGGTGCTGAGGTGGGAGGACCACTTGAGGCCAGGAGTTCAACACTAGCCTGGGCCACACAGTGAGACTTCATCTCTATAAAAGATTAAAAATTAGCTGGGCATGGTGGTTCACACCTGTAGTCCCAACTACTCAGGAGGCTGAGATGGGAGGATTGCTTCAGCCTGGGATGTCAAGGCTGCATGCAGTAAGCCATGATCGTGCCACTGCCCTCCAGCCTGGGTGACAGAGCAAGACAGTCTCAAAATAAATAAATAAATAAATAAATACTCAGAAGTAGAGAATAAAAATGTGTATGTTCCATTAACCAAAATGAGTACCAAGTATAATGGTCCCACTCACTGATGTTATCAAAACTAGTACTTTTGAGGAGTGCAGGCTTGGATTTATCAATAGCTAAGAAATTATCTTGGTATAAAACTTGTTGATTTTATTTTTCAAGTTTATAAGAAGTCACATATTCAATGGCTACTACCCATAATACATTCAATTAATGATATTATTTATTTATTTATTTATTTTGAGACAGAATCTTGCTCCATCGCTCAGGCTGGAGTGCAGTGGTGTGATCTCGGCTCACTGCAACCTCCACTTCCCAGGTTCAAGTGATTCTCCTGCCTCAGCCTCCCCAGTAGCTGGGATTACAGGCATGTGCTATCATACCCAGCTAATTTTTGTATTTTTAGTAGAGATGGGGTTTCCCCGTGTTGGCCAGGCTGGTCTCAAACTCCTGACCTCAGGTGATCCACTCACTTCGGCCTCGCAAAGTGCTGGGATTACCGGCATGAGCCACCACACCCAGCCTTATTTTTTTAAATAGAGAGTCAGAGTTGGGCGGGGGGGGCTCTCACTATGTGTCCCAAGCTGGTCTTGAACTCCTGGCCTCAAGTGATCCTCCCGCCTCAGCCTCCCAAAGTGCTGGGATTACAGGCCTAAGCCATGATATCCAACATAATTAATGATATTAATTAAACACTCATTTAGTCTCTGGCCCAGAGGTCAGCAAACTATGTCTCTAGCCCAGAGGTCAGCAAACTATATGGTCTGCAAGTCAGATCTGGTAAGCAGCCTGTTTCTATATGGACTGCAAGCTAAAAATGTTTTTTACATTTTGAAGGGGTTGTTTAAAAAAATATATATATGTATGTGTGTATATATACATATATATGCCACAAAGACTGAATGTGGCCCATAAGACCTAAAACATTTACTGTCTGGTCCTTTACAAAAAGATTTTACCAGTCCCTGCTCTAGGCTCTAGATCAGTGCTGTATAACAGAATTTTCTACAATGGTAAAAATACTTGTCCTAATATGTCGCCACAATCCAGTACAGTAGCCACCAGTCACATATGGCTACAGAGCACTTGACATGCGGCGAGTCCACTTTATTCTCTAATACGTCTGCTTAGTATCTAACACAGAATGTAGCACATTAATATTTAAGTGAATGAATGACCACTATATACACGTGATTTTTAAAAAATTTTGCATTAGAATAAAACAAAATATTAAATAACTGCTTTTGAATTGCCGTTTGCAGACTAGTGGGGGAGACATATAAATATCTAATAGGAAATGGTGTTTTGGGCAGGGCAGTCTAATTCTGCCTAAAGAGTCATAAAGGCCTTCCTAGAGGTGTTGTGCCTGAGCTGAGTTTTGGAAGATAAGCAAGAGTTCACTGAATGACAAAGACCTAGAAGGGTCTCCATGCAGAGGAAACACATGGGCAAAGGCAGCCATACAGTTGTAAAAGTTGCAAAAGAATGTGTCTTTCTCATGGTAAGCAAATGGATTTGCTTGGAGCATAAGGTGTATACTAGGAGTCAGATGTACGTGGGAGATGAAAAAGAGGACCTGGTATGGGGCTCAAAAACAAATGGCCTTCTAAGCCATGGCATCCTTTTGATATGTCCCCTTCCTTATGCTCAAGCCACCGTGACCCAGTCACCACATTATGTGGTACAAGTGAGACATGCCCATCATATCCTCATTTCTTCCAGATTTATCATCCAGGGGGTTATGCCAGAACACAATGTAAGTATTATTCTCTAATAGCTCATGTGTTTACAATTACTTTGAGTGTGCCAGAAAAGAAGAGAAGAGAACACATGATGATTGTAACTGACCTTTCCCAAAGCTTCCTTTGTCAACAGTCATGAAGAGTGCCTCTATGAAGCCGGTGACGAGTGGTATCACCTTCTCTTTCTCAAGAGGTCTGTCCAAGGGGGAGAAAAAGGGAAAAGTTCAAACTGGCATTCAATGGTTTGTTTCAGAGAACAGCAAGGAATGGCTAACATATTTTAATCAGCATGTTATCTCTTTCAAAATTAAACATAGCTTATTTTCTTACCTAATATGAGGTAACACCACGAGGGCTGCCCAAGATTGTGAAAGGTAAGTAGTATCTTTATTTGGGGGTAACTTAATTATAGATAAAAGATGGTCCAATACTGGAAACTGTTCGTTTCTTCCCTTGGATCTAGTCTTCTTCTGCTTTATATAGAATCTGAAGGATTAAAAAAAATGTTTAAAATAACAGAGAATGTAATCGCTCTTGCCCTCTGAAGTCTGAAATAAAATTGGATTCTTACCATTGTGGAGCATTAGAGGGAAGGAATTGGTGGTGGTGGTTGAGCTAAACAAATGTGAGTCATTTACTGAGTTTTCAGTGAGAAGCTTTTTCAACTCCACTGGCTCTACTTCCTTTCACTTCTATTTTAATTTGCTTTATAACTTAAACCAAGTTTCTTCTAGTTTTAAGTATGATTTCTCAATTTTGTGCTCCTGGGCATGTTTTTGATTGACAATTCACTGGAATGAACTGACTTCCTCCATTCTCCCTTTCCTTTTTGACATGAATTTTACTACTTTCCACAAATGTAGAATGATGTTGCAAAGTTACTGTGATGAAGTTGACGAATACCACTAAAATGATTATGACATATAAGTAATTTTCTCCTGCTGCTTTGATCAGATACACAGTTGCTCAATGACATTTTTCGACATGACATTCTGTTTTGAATATCTGTGACTCTGGTCACAGATTAGATAGAGGCTAACTATTCTTGTTAGCCTCTTTTTATTTTTGCCAATGTACTACACCTCGGTCCTATTTGAAAGACAAAAATCTAATCAAAAGAAAAATCACAGAAATCTTAAGTTAAATGATCTGTTTTACAATTATCCTCCAACTCCAGTTTGGTTAGCTTGTTATGCAATAGAAGTGGAATATCAGGTTTTTACTCTTGCACCCTTTTTATCATTAAAATTCACCAAAAAATGGTCAGGTAGGGGAAGGAAGGAAAAAAAAAAACAAAAACAAAGAAAAAAAATTCTCCAAAAAGCTACATTCTCTTTTGTTTCATACTTACCAGGATGTTTAGTGTCTGGAAATCATGATAGATAACTAAGTTAATTTAATTATCAATTCCTTAAAGTCACCACATCTTGATATATATAGTCTTTTTAGTAATAATCATGACTCAACAATCTGCAAAAATCTTACAAAATACTAAGATGCTTTAAAAAACAAAAATGAGTCATTAGTTGCCACGTCATTCCCGTTTTCTAGACCTGCCAATGGCTCCACCAATGAAGTCCATACTCCTTAAGTCATCCTGTAAGGCCCTCTGTGATTTGACCCTCACCCACCTCCATCTCCTCTCACCCCAATCTCCTCCTTGCTCTTTACCCACAGAGGTTTTCTTTCTGTACTTCAAACATGCTGAGCTTATTCCTGTCCCAGAGTCTTTGCAGTTAACTTTTCCTTCTGTCTGGAGAGTCTCTCACTGAGATCTTTGCAAGGCTGGATCCTTCCCAGCTTAAAATTGGACCAAACGTTCCCTCTCTGGAAAGTGACCCCTCTCCATTCAGTCTCCCTCTCAACACTGCTTTGTCTTCTTTTATCACGATCAGGATCTGAAATCATCTCGCTTATTTGCTTACCCGCCTCACCACATTCCTTTCCCCAAAAGAAGGAACTTTTTTCTTATTCTTTGTTGCACCCCAGTATCCAGTGCCTGATACCGTAAGTAGTTGTCAAACGACAGTAAGTTTATCTCCTAAAGAGTCTTTTCACATTTATTATCTTTATTTTTTCTCACAGCAAACTGGTGAGATGGGTAGATAGAGTGTTACTAGTAATATTCAAACTATGATTTTAAAATCTTCATAGAAGGAATCAAAACAAAGGTGACCATTCACACATACCATATCTCCGTTGGGGGTGGCAGAGGGGTGTTTTTGCAGAGAAAGAAACACAGAAGTGGAAGAACTTGCCATGAGTTAGCACATCGAAATTTATTTATTTAACACGTCACCCTCCTGGGAGGATCTGAGATGGCTGAGATGATGGGGTAAGAAGGTCTGACGCCCAGTCTCAGTCAGTCCCTTAGCTTCACCTCATGGAAGCCAAACAACAAAGCAGCTTCACTCTCCCTGCACAGAACTCAGTTTTGGCATGTGCAAGGAATCTGCCTGTTGGAGATGGGCTTGGGTGTTGACAAATCAAGGGAAAAGTTTCAAAGGAATAATTCTATTGGAGTTACTCACTACCCATTCCTCAGGAATCAGAATTCAATACATTTAAAAACCAACAAGATTCTGTTGGCATATTTTAATAGAGAAGCAATTTGTAAGGTATACAGAAGATATAAGTAGGTGTTAAGATGAGTTTGCTAAACACAGTGGCTCAACCTGTAACCCCAACACTTTGAGAGGCCAAGGTAGGAAGATCACTTGAGTCCAGGAGTTTGAGACCAGCCTGGGCAACATAGCGAGACCTCGTCTCTACAAAAATTAAAAAATTAGCTGGGCATGGTGGTGCGTGCCTATGGTTCCAGCTACCTGGGAGGCTCAAGTGAGAGGATAGCTTGGGCCCTGGAGATCGAGGCTGCAGTGAGCCGTGATTGTGCCACTGCACTCCGGCCTGGGTGACAGAGCAAGACCTGCTCTTAAAATAATAATAATAATAAATAAAACATTTAAAAAAGAAAATAGGTTCCTCCAGAACCTCAAGCTGATCAAACTCAAAAGCTAGCTCTGCTCTGTGACTGTGGGACAGTAACTCCCACCTCCATGGATGTTTCAAAGTCGAGTATTCAGCACAAACTCAAGGAATGCCCATCAATTCCGCCTCAAAGCAAACCAAAAACACAACAACGGGTCTAACTACTCCAAGAGAAATAAGAAGATTAAGTATAAAAACAAAGGAATGACAAGGGAACTGGTTTCCTAAGCTACAGTTTCTAGAAGCATACCCACTTAACTATTTGAGAAATGATACAATAAATCTTCTCATGTATGTAAATAAGCTTTGTTTTTAACTTCTAAACAATGTGTCATTTTGAATGAAATTAAGAAAGTAATCCATGACACTTAACAACTGAAACAATACAAAGGTATATAATTTTTATTTTTATTTTATTTTATTTTATTTTTTGAGATAGAGTCTTGCTCTGTCGCCCAGGCTGGAGTGCAGTGGCATGATTTCGGCTCACTGCAACCTCTACCTCCTGGGTTCACGCCATTCTCCTGCCTCAGCCTCCTCAGTACCTAGGACTACAGGCGCCCGCTACCACACCCACCTAATTTTTTGTATTTTTCTTTTTTTTTTTTTGAGATGAAGTCTCGCTCTGTCGTGCAGGCTGGAGGGCAGTGGCGTGATCTCGGCTCACTGCAAGCTCCACCTCCCGGGTTCACGCCATTCTCCTGCCTCAGCCTCCCGAGTAACTAGGACTACAGGCGTCCGCCACCACGCCTGGCTAATTTTTTGTATTTTTAATAGAGACAGGGTTTCACCGTGTTAGCCAGGATGGTCTCGATCTCCTGACCTCGTGATCTGCCCTCCTCGGCCTCCCAAAGTGCTGGGATTACAGGCGTGAGCCACCGCGCCTGGCCAGGAGTGTGGTTATTAAAAGGTAGCATGAGGAATCCTCGTGGTGAGGGAACAGTTCCAGATATTCACTCTGGTGGTGGTTACAAATCAACACAGGATAAAACTACATATGACTATATATCTATATAAGTATACACACTCAGATGAGTGCACATACAACTGATGATATCTGATAAGATTGATGGATTGCACCAATGTCAATTCTACAGTTGTGATATCGCAGTATGCTCATGCAAGATGTACCAATGGAGTAATCTGAGTGAAGAGTATACGAAACCTCTCTGTACTATTTCTTGCAACTGCACGTGAATCTACAATAACTTTAAAATAAATGGTTAAAAAATTAAGTCACCTCTGTCTTTCCCTTACCATCCTTCTGATTAAACAAAGTTAACAAGTTTCTGTATCCTTCCACATGTTTTTCTATGTTCATACACACTTTTTGCTTTACCTTGCAAAATGAGATCATACTATACGTACTATGTGTGTAGCTCTACAACTTGCTTTTTTCACACAACTTATCATGGACATCTTTCCTGTTACATATAGATCATTTTTTTACAGTATTCTTGATACATTACATTTAAATGGGTAAACTTATCATCATTACAGGAATAAAAAGTTAGAACTCACCCCACCATCTGCGGTGAGAAAACCAGAGGGTACTTTTCAATTGCCATCGAGCCAGCAGTGGGAGGTGCTGCTTTGTTCAGAATGAGCTTGGCCAGAATGGCCAGAGCTTCATCTTTGACTACAGCATCATCAATTAAGAAGCAATTCACAATATATGACAGAAAGCTTGGTAGAAAAAGCTAAAGTTAAGAAAAAAAAAATCACACTTATTAACAGATATAATAAAGAGAAGATGCTAACAATTCAAAAAACTAGACCAAAAACAAAGGATCAAGAATCACAATGGCATTAGACCTCTACATAGGAACAATGGAAACTAAAGACTGTGCAGCCATGTCTTAAAACTCTGAGGAAGGATGACTTAGAATCTAGAATTCTATACCCTGTCTACTAATAATGCAGTGTCAGGAGAGAATAAAGACATTTTCAGATGTATTAAATCTCAATATTTTATCTCCATGAACCCTCCCTACCCCCAGGAAATTATGAAAAATAAATTCCACCAAAATTAGAGACTAAACTATAAGAAGAAGAGAACACGGAACCCAGGAAACAAGAGAGAAGCAAAAGGAAGTCCCAGTACAACATTTGTGCACTGGGCAGAGAAAGCAATGCATTTAGACTGGACTTGCTCCAGGAGAAATGTCTCCAAGAAAGAAGAAAAAGAAAAATTGAGCTGCTAAATTATCTGACAGTTTTGTCATGTGAAGGACATTTATAAAGCTGCTGGAAGACAGACTCTTTGGCCAGCCATTCAAAGAAAACAATTTCCAGTTTTTAAAGAACGAGGCAATTATAAACTCTAAGAAAAATGAGGCCAGGTGTGGTGGCTCATGCCTGTAATCCCAACACTTTGGGAGGCCGAGGCAGGCAGATCATCTGAGGTCAGGAGTTAAGAGACCAGCCTGGCCAACATGGTAAAACCCCGTCTCTACTAAAAATACAAAAATTAGCCAGGCGTGGGGGCACATGACTGTAATCCCAGCTACTCAGGAGCCTGAAGCAGGAGAATCACTTGAACCCGGAGGGTGGAGGTTGCAGTAAGCAGAGATGGCACCACTACACTCCAGCCTGGGTGACAGAGTGAGACTATGTCTCGACAAAAAAAAAAAAAAAAGAAAAACGAGAATGTATACAAAAAGGTCATATAATCATAAAATACTCCTTGTTTATATAAGTATGTGGTGAATATGGATTCAACCAAAATTTCTAATATAATTCTATTGGGAGCATGAGAGGTATAAAGGAACTAAAGTCCATCTGCCATAGGAGGAAGTCTACACATGAGAACCAAAACTAGCAAACCAAGGTAAAGCAGTATATTCAGATGATTTAAAAGTATAAAGTAAATATAAGAAAAAAATAGCTGGCCGAGGCAGGCAGATCACAAGGTCAGGAGATCAAGACCATCCTGGCTAACATGGTGAAACCCCATCTCCACTAAAAATACAAAAAATCAGCCAGGCGTGGTGGTGGGTGCCTGTAGTCCCAGCTACTTGGGAGGCTGAGGCAGGAGAATGGCATGAACCTGGGAGGCAGAGGTTGCAGTGAGCCGAGATCATGCCACTGCACTCCAGCCTGGGCGACAGAGTGAGACTCCGTCTCTAAAAAAAAAGAAGAAAGAAAAGAAAAAAAATAGCTAAAAATCATTAGACCCGATGGCTGCTAATAAGATGGGAGCAGAAAACAAATGACTGCCATTTAACCTGGTTTGTCTTCCTAAACTACAGACGTGTAAGCAGTATTTGGATAAAAATAAGATTAAAAAAAAATAAAAAGACCAAAGGGAACACGGGAGAAAGGAAAAATGCAGTTGTTAAACAGAGCAAGATGAAGAGTCTTCCTGGGGCAGAAAGAAACAGATCTTGGACAGGTACAAAAGTGTTCTTTTTAGGCAAATGAGAATATATAGTATTAAAGGCTAAAAGGAAGAATATTGAGAGGACAGATACAGAGATATGTTTCCATGATGTATACTGTAGGGTTACTAGTTAGGAGGAGGGCCAAGTGTTTGATGAGAAGGAAGAGAAAAAAATAAAATAAATTCAGGATTAGATAAGAACATTTTCTCCCTCACTCAGTTACCTTATTTTGGAGCAATGAAATCAATTTGCAAACTTCCACCAGTGCAAATTGTTTCACAAACTATTTTCTATGCTTCAAATTCACATAAAAGTTTCTTAAACTGTTTTTTCAATTTTACCACACGGTTCTGTAACTACCTAAAGGATTATTAAAAAAACAAGTAATCTAGAATTGAATATAATTTCTTTAAAAAACATATTGACTAAAACATCAAGCACTTATCCTGTTCCTCTCAAAAAACAAACAGAAATAACAGGATTTCAAATTTGATCGTTTTTTCCTGACAGATTTGTTTTTAAAAATACTCCGAACTTAGTAACTTGCTTACCTGCTCAAACTGCTTCATGGCAAACATGACTTCAGAAAAACTGAAAATTAAACGTTTTTCAAATCTGCTCTCAAATATCTGTGACCAAGGTAAAAAATATTAATGTAAGTACACAGAGAGTATTTTCCCCATCCCCCCAGCAAGCAGCTATAGAAGGGAATGGCAGGGACACTTCACTCAGTGCTCTGTCCAGTTGCCCGGCCTTCTCCAAAGGTGCTTCCACAGATGCAAAGGGCTTCTGCTGATTACACAGGGCTCTGCCTAAAGGCTGCTCAACTCTTGCCCAGCTACAGTGAATTATGAAAGGGCAAACAGCATGATTGTATATCTTCCCTCAAAGTGTACTACTGTGCTCCATTAAGCTAGAAAGAACTTAACCAACCTTTCTATTTCCAATCCTACTTCCAAATTCACTAAAATGCAAATCTCATCAAATCATATCCCTGCTTGGAATTCTTTCAGGGTCCTCCACTAATGCAGGATAAAACCCAACCTAACTTTTCAAAGCCAAGCCAGAGCTTTGCTGATATCATGTCATATCATGTGTCCATGCGCTCAGACTGCAAACATTTATGAACACACGTCTTTTCTGTTCCCTCTCTTAGTATTTTTAACCCCGCTTCTGACTGGCAGACTGCTTTTCAACCTTCAAGGACTATCCCAAATACAAGTCCTTTGAAAAGCTTTCTCTGTTCCTCAACCCCAGGCAGAATTAATAGTTATAATTCAATATATCTCCAACAGACAAATTCGCTAGACTATAACTACTCGGTTCCAGGCTCCATTTCTCCAACAACTATCAAAACCTGCAGGCATCACTGTTTACCCTGGAATAGCCAGCTCATACCCAGCACACAGTAAGCTCTACTGCTTACTGCAATATGTGCTTACATATATTGCAGAATATGTATAGATTTAGCTTTTGCCACACTTTATTTTGCTTATTTGCTATATAAATTAAGCTTTTATCACACTTTATTTTGTTTATTTACATTACTGCATGCAATTCCCATTTCCTTAACAAGATTATAAATTCCTTGAGGGCAGAGCCTTTGTCACACTTCACTTGTATTCCTCAGAAGGTTACTCAATGCTAAACATATTATTAACTGCTCAATTAATATTTGTTGAAGTAAATTACTTTTTCTATGGTTTCTTTGATGAGGGTCTCCGGCAAGGAAACATTTTCACCCAGGATCAAAGCAGAAATTACATCCAAGAGGGTCTCCCAGCAAGATGTGGAGAGACTGGCTACTTGCAGTGTTTGAGATAACACCTGCAAAAAGAAAAAACAATGCATACTCAGCAATCAGCTTTTAAAAACCAGACTCTCGAGCATATTAAGTTGGGAACTCACCTTACAGACATCAGCAGGCGTGGGTATCTTTGTCCCACTTCCATGTTTTACAAGTATAAGGTATGTTTCCAACAACCTTTTAATCTGTTCAGAACTTTCACAACAGTTAGTTTTTGTTACTTTTGTGTGTAGATCCAAGAGCGATTCCTGCAAACAAAGAATTTAACAGAGAGAATATAAAGTATCAAACTCAACTGTTAATCCAACAATAAAAACTGTGGGACAGTTCAACTTTTCCCATTCTCTTGCTTTGGAAGAAAAAGATACATTTACCAGGACTCACTAACGATAACAGCTAACATTGGCTGAGTGCATTGTTCTAAGTCTTTTTTTTTTTTTTTTTTTTTTGAGATGGAGTTTCACTCTTATTGCCCAGGCTGGAGTGCAATGGCGCAATCTTTGCTCACCGCAACCTCTGCCTCCCAGGTTCAAGCGATTCTCCTGCCTCACCCTCCCAAGTAGCTGGGATTGCAGGCATGCGCCATTTTGTATTTTTAGTAGAGACAGCGTTTCTCCATGTTGTTCAGGCTGGTCTCGAACTCCCAACCTCAGGTGATCCACCCACCTCGGCCTCCCAAAGTGCTGGGATTACAGGTGTGAGCCACTGTGCCCGGCCCATTCTAAGTTTTTTACAAGTATTCACTCATCATCCTCACAGCAACCCTGAGGGAGAGAATATTACTACCCCCATTTATTATCTGAAGAGACTGGGGAATCGAGATTTCAAATAATTTTCCCAGGTTACACTAGCAGTAAGTGGAAGGGTCAAGATTCAAACAGGCAGTCTGGCTCCAGAGCCTTCTACTGCATCTCAAGATAACATATCAAATAAAAAATAGCACAGGGGGGCAGAGGGAAGGAAAATTTTAATATGTGTACAGAAGTATAAATAAAACAATTATAAAATATAACTTCTAGGAGTGATTTGCAAAACTGAGAGCAGAAACAGTAAATTCTTAGACTCCTTATCAAAAACCCATCCTTAAAGATTAGAACTCACTTGCAAACATTCAAAAAATGTACCAAAATGTTCCTTGGAGATGTAGGATACAGTGGATTTGACCATGTTTTTGAGTGTTTCTCCAATTAACATCCATGGTAGTTGAGTTTCTGTTTCAGTGACTGGTCCTAGCTTTCGCAAAATTAGCTTCACTGCCTGTGGGAATACAAGTCATTAACATTAATATATAAACTCTTATTTTCAAGTATTGCTCTGGGAGTCACCACTCTGATTACATTAGCTACCTTAAAAATCAGGTCTGGAATAGTCAAGGATATGGCAACTTTGATGGTTAATAACGTGTCCCAAAAGGAACTTCTAAACTAGGATGGGAATTTTATCATTACAACTGTTCCCTCCCCACCTGCCCTTGCCCATTAATCAATTTATCTTACCCCCTAGCATCCAAAATAAAGAAGACATCAATGGCTCTGTAAGTAACATCTCACTGTCCAAGGCCTACATTGGGTAAGCATTGTTACTGAACACCCAACACTCCTCATCTAGTGCTATGTACTCTAGGCTGTCTTCCCTCCACATCATTTGCCTCATTCTTTTCTACTTTCTGTTTCATCCATCCACATAGACTCTAAGCACCCCTCCCCATTATGTACCTGGCCTGTACAGGAGTGAAACATATTTCTAACTCCTTTGCACATTTCAAAGAGCAACTGTCCAACACCTTCAACTTTTTCTGGATGTTTATCAAGATCAAGAAACATTAAATTGAAAAGTGCGTTTTTATCAGAGACCTAAAATATAAAGTAGAAATGGAAAATTATATTCACAAACATAAACATATCCAAATGAAGAACTCTCATTTGCTATTCTATATATTGTTATTTAAATATACTTAGGAAAAAATTGTGAAAAGAACAGACATTTGTAATGATTTCAAACTACTCTAATAGTGTGTTCTCACTTGGAATGTCACACAAAAGAGTGAATTCATTGGTATTACAGGAAGATATGTACTACAAAAAAAACTACAGAAGTCAACATTCTATCTTTTAAAGTAAATACATTTGTATTTTGTATTGTATACAGTAAAATATTTGTATTTTATGAAATAAAAAATTTAATATTAATGTTTTTGTTTTATTACAAAAACCCTCTAAAATTTACTATGAATATTTTATACAAACACAAATGACACCATGCTACCAGTTACTTCCAGGAAACTATTAGAAAAGTTCTTGTTAATGTCACAGTTCATGTATTTACTGACTTGAATTAGAGAGCATTTTTGATATATACACACTGAAAGCTATCACAAACCTAAATAACAATACAATAGTGACCCAAATTAGATCACATCAATTTGTGAGCAACAAATAAGTCTTACTGTGAGATAAATTCAAAATAGTAACAGATTTCTGTTAAGTATATATATAGATACATAGAAAAAATTAGCCCATAATAACCACATTTTTAAAAGATATCTACTTCTATTCATCAGATTATTATTATTATTATTATTACTAGTGTGTGTGTGTATGTGTGTGTGTGTGTGATATGGAGTCTTGCTCTGTCGCCTAGGCTGGAGTGCAGTGGTGTGATCTCAGCTCACTGCAACTTCCACCTCCTGGGCTCAAGCAATTCTCATGTCTCAGCCTCCCAAGTAGCTGAGGATACAGGTGCGCGCCACCACGCCCAGCTAATTTTTGCATTTTTAGTAGAGACGGGGTTTTGCCATGTTGGTCAGGCTGGTCTCCAATTCCTGACCTCAGGTGATCCACCTGCCTCGGCCTCCCAAGGTGTTGGGATTACAGGCATGAGCCACCACGCCTGGCCTATTCATCAGATTCTTGATGATTAGCAACAAACAGATAAAATACCAGACTAACCTTTCTCATCAAAAAAGTAAAACTTTCAGCAGCAAAATTTCTTATATGTAGTTTTTTATGAGCCAGGAGTGTGCTGTACATGCTATACATGAAAAAAATAAGATACATTTCATTAATCATATAATTGTAATAAATACATACTACATGTCAACAATATGGGCAACAATGTGCTGGGTATGCAAGGAATACACAGCAGGTATCAAACAAATTTAAAATCTCATTCATTTATGGAGACACCCACATGTTGAAAGGAAGACTTGACCACAGACATGAAGAGTCCTAGGACTGGTGGTACTGGTTTTACAAACAAGACTCCAGGAAAAGTTGAAATTTGTAATGAGCTCTGAATGAAAGAAGAATTAGGTGGGGACTGCAGTCCATATTATTGGTATAAAAGCAAGAGCAAAGATGAGGCAGGTGGAAATGATCATGGTCATGACAAGGAGGCTGGTCCATCTAAAAGAGGAAAGATGATACAGTAGAGGAGAGCAGCTATGGATAAAGTTGGTCAGGTAGACAGGTCTAGCTTACATCTGTATAAGCACTTACTCTGTGTTACGCCATTTAATCAGCACAATAACTCTATGGGATGGGTACTATTATAATCCTCCCATTCTACAGATAATGAAAGTGAGGCAGAAAGCATAAGCAACTTGCTCAAGGTCAAGCAGCCATGCATCTATAACTAAATAATTACTTATATATAATCACATTGTTAAATTTGGTCTCCCTAATGATAGAAGGGTATGGAATATATCTCTCCAATTTTCTCATAACCCCAGTACCTAATAGTTCCTTGCTGACAGCAGGTACTAATAAATGTTGGCTGAATGAGAAATGACCATTTTCAGAAAGACTAATTTGGCAGCAATATACAGGATAAAATAAAGGAGGAAAGAAGAGTCTGCTAATTCAGTCAGAAAGGTGCTCAAGTCATACAAGCTTGGGCTAACAGGCATGAAAGAGACTGGAAGGAGAGGCAAAATGGCAAGGGATGAACCCAGTAGACATTTCAGGAGTGCCCACAATGAAGCTGAAGACCTTACAGCGGTCCACAGGGCCCTGGATGATCTGGCGCCTTACTACTGCTTCTCTGACATCACTTAGCTAGTCTCACCCTTATACAGGCTGCTCGGCCACCTAAAACTTCTCCCGGGCATGTGCCCAAGACATTCTCCCCCTGCTAAAATGTAAACTTTGTGAGAAGAGCATTTTTTATCTGTTTTATCTGTGACTGTATCTCAAGTGCCTGACATACAGACAGTGTCCAATAAATATTGACTGAGCAAATGCATGAATGACAGAATCAAGAGGATGTGGACACCTCTGAAGACAACTGGGTTAGTGATGCCTCTGATATTCCAAAACTCAGAGACAGGAAGAACGTTAGTATTAATGACAGAAAATGGGCAACCAAACAGGGCCTGGCATACGGCAGACACTCAATACCTATTTACTGAACACTTGAATGAATGTACAGATAAGAGGAGTTGATTTAACAGGAAAGTGTTGAGTTCAGTTTCAGTAATACAAGTGAAAATAGCCAGGCTACTGAAGTTGTCACACCGAAAGCAAATAAATTTAGAACTGAAGAGCCTGACTTAGGAGACATAAAAGTGGCAGCTTTTATGACAGCTGAAGTCATAAAACTAAATCAATTATTCCCCAAAGACCTTGTTGGTTGTTTAATGAAATAATATTGGTTTCTAACATATTTGACCAAAAGCTTCATAGGGAACTAGTAAAGGCTGGAAAAAGATTTCTTTCTCTTTCTTCATTCAAAGTTCCTAAAAGAGAACGGTGGGCTGAGTGAAACGGGTGGCATAAAACAAAGTCTATTGTCCCATACCATGCATACACCATTTACTGTGGGGTAAGGGGCTGATGACTGATATTAAACACTCCTGTGGCAATTATAGAACATGAAAACAACCGGAAGACCAAGTGGAAAATCCCACCAAACCCCAGACTTAAACAGATAATAAGACAATTTATGCTTACTTTAAACAAAAGGTTACTACAAAATTCATTCTCTTTCCTTGTCCACATTTACTCACAAATACTGAGTGTCTCTTTCACCTTAGTAAGTATTAGTGGCTGGGGAAATGTCAGTGTTTAAAACAGGGCTCTTAACCTGTCTTAAACCTCCCTTATACCAGGTGTAGAGAGGACAGCAATACATTATAACCAAACAATTCTGGTAAAAGTTGTGTGACATAGGTGGTTAAAAAATGCCAAGAGGATAGAGAGTACAAAATTTTATTAATACTTCTGGCAAAGGTGCCTGTTTGTGGAGGCTGTAGGGACCGAGTCAGGCCTTCTTGGGTGGGTATACTTCCAGTAGCTGGAGAGGAGAGATGGTCATGGCAACTCAGACTGGCAGACTAGATTGTGGACCACTTTGGCTGGAGAATCAACTTTGTACATGGAAACAATTAGGCACTGAGCTGGCAAAGTGGTTTGGAGTCATAAAGAAGCCAGGGAAAAAGAAGCAGGCAATTAAAAAACATACTAGAGAGAGAAAGGGGTTACCTGTATATACTGGACATGTCCTTCACCATCAGTCTCCACAGGTACTTATAAAGATATGATAACGAGGTGAAAGCCCATTCTAACAACTCTGTGTCCTGAGTCTCCAGGATCGAGGTGATAGTCAAAAAAAACTCTGGAAAGTGTGGGTAGAAATCCATCTGCAGATCTCGTGCCAACTGTACAACCAAACTGGATTAAAAAAAGAAGCAACTGATCATGTGGATTTTTTTAAAAGGCTACAAATCTACTTAACGATAGTAGGTGGCCTATGATCATAGGATTAATTAAATAAAAATACTTCTAAATCAAGTCTGAAAAATTATAAAATTCTTTAAATCTTAAGATCTCAGCAAAGAAATCAGGCAAGAAGTTACATTCCATCATAAGTTGTAGCCAACTGTTCCTATAGTGTCAAAGAAAAATGAGATTATCTTAGTATATAACAAATGCGAAATTATACCCCAAGATTCCACTTTATGGTAATGCACTTATTCCTAACAGAAAAGGAAAATCCTCCTTGTTTCTAAATTATGAGCACCTGATCTGCGGTATATGTAGCTTTGAAACACAATCTTTCTTAAAATTCAGGCAAATATAGTTGTGAGCTTTCTCTCAAGATGCTACTTACTCCAAAAGGGGTTGATAGGCAAAACTGTTCTTAACTTGCAGGTGAGTCTTCAAACTCTGAACTATCTCGTTTTGGTGATACACCAACTGATTGAATGATTGGCATTTGTCAATAACTTCTTTGTAAAATTTTCCTGAGTGGGGGAAAAAAAAATATGTTCTTTTCTATCACACCACTATTCAGCTGTATGGAACATATAAAGTGCAAACTATGGGTGAATAAAATAGAAACGAAATAGAAAATACCGAAGTGTTCTGTGAGGTTTAATTCTCTCCATTTCAGCAGACCCTCAAAAAAGTAGGTTTCAACCTCCTGTCAAGATTAAAGCAGTCCATTAATCAAATAACTCTAAGAAAGCAATGATCAAGGTAAATAGAATAATGATATATTAATATCTTAAGACAATGATACTGAAGAGTTTAAGAACTCCTTTTAGTTTTTTAAAACAGGCCATTAAGTAACACACTAAAAAGCAATCAGAAGTTATCAATAGGCCACTTATAAAATGCTGTTTTGTTGATTTGGTTTCAGCAAATAATTTTCTGGGGCCTATATATATTGTCCACTAAGGGAAAATTATTTTCTGTGTTTTTTTATAATTTTAGGCAAAGAATAAGGTGTTGGTTCTTTACAGTTCCTTCATTCTGCTTTTAGAAATATGAATTACTACAACCTTATAAAGAAGTAATATGGCATTCCTGTTAAAATTCAAAATAGTTACGCTCTTTGACCCAGGTAGTTCTTATAAAGTTTGCAAGCCTTTAAGTAAAAGATGTTTATTCAGCTTAACTACAGTGTGGGGAAACATTAAACAGGCTAAAATATCCGACAATAGGAAAATGGTTGGAATAGCCCATGGTCTATATATACTAAGGTATATTATGTGGCTACTAAAAAGAGCTATATCTCTATTGAACTAGAACTACACTGAAGATATGCCCCCAAAATGATAAAAGTTATGCAGTGAGAGGGTATGGCAGGATTCAATTTTCCTTAAAAAACAAAAATAAAAAACCCTCTATAAATGTTTGTACATACGAACATGAGAGGACAGTATGGAAGAATACAACTATACTGAACTGTCAGTGTTGGCTTCCTTGGGAATTAGGGGTGGGAGGAGTGAGATAATGGGCTTTTCGTAAGTTTACCACTATGTTACTTAACTTGTTAACATGGTATCAATTACTTTGTACTTTGAAAGGTAAAGCCAATAAATTATCATACATGTATGACATGTATGTATACATGTACGTATGTGTGTATATAGATGTATAAATAAATGCATACCCCCCCAAAACAATCATTCTACCAAAAAGATACATGCCTTCGTATGTTTATCTCTACACTATCCACAATAGCAAAGACATTGAATTGTCCCAGGTGTCCATCAACAGTAGATTGGATAAAGAAAATATAGTACATATACACCATGGAATATTATATGCCTTAAAAAAGAATGAAATCGTGTCCTTTGCAGCAACATGGATACAGCTGGAGTCCATAATACTAAGCAAATTAACATAGGAACAGAAAACCAAAAACTGCATGTTCTGACTTATAAGTGGGAGCTAAATATTGAGTACACATAGACATAAATATAAGAACAATGAACACTGTGGATTACTAGAGGGTGGAGGAAGTGGGGATGGGTTAAAAAAAACTACCTGTGGGGTACTATGCTCACTACCTGGGTGACAGGATCCATACTCCAAACCTCAGCATCACACAATATTCCCATGTAACAAACCTGCACAGGTACCCCCTGTATCTAAAATCAAAGTTGAAATAAAAATAAAAATAAATACAAATATGTGTTTATAGAGAGAGAGAAAAAAGAGAGAATAAACACATAAGCACACATGCAAACAGCATGCCAAATCTACAATATCAAAAAAAAAAATCCTTAAACTGTTCTTTGGAAATCTTTAAAATCAATAGTTAGGCAGAATAGATACTATGTAACCACAAATATTAAAAACTAAAAATTAAAAAAAAAGGCAGAAAAGAAAGAGAATCCCATTAAATTTTGTTTTAGGCTGGGGACAATGGCTCATGCCTGTAATCCCAACAGTGGGAGGCTGAGGCAGGAAGAGCATTTGAGCCCAGGAGTTTGAGACTAGCCTAGGCAACAACACGAGATCCTATCTCTATTTTTCAAAAGTAAAAATATTAAAATTTTTTTGTTGTTGTTTTCATGTCCTTTAAGGCATTTTCATGTCCTTTAAGGCAGAAAGAAAATATGCAACACAGTTTAAAACTTAAATGCAGAACGCATTTCTAGCCTAGCACAGACCTGGCGTATGTCAGCTATGTGTGAGAGACCATGTCACGTCCTTTTGCAAGGTAACTCTGGAGCTCCTTTCACCAAGAGACGGAGTCTGTTTCCTCACCCTTTGAATCTGGCCTGGCCTCCTGACTTGCTTTGACTAATAACATGCGATGAAAGTGACTCTCATGACCAAAGCAAAACTTTATGAGGTCTTGACAGCTTCTGCCTTCACTCTATTGAAAAGATTCTGCCACCATGAAAAGAAGCCTAGTCTAGCTTATTGGGGAATAAGAGGCCATGAAAAGAACCAAGATCAACAAGCCACAGCCAACTGCCAGACACGTGACAGAGGCCATTCTGGACCATCCAGTCCAGGATTCTAATTTCAGGCTGTCTTCTCTGCCTTCTTAACACTGCCTCTTGATACCTTCAACCTCTCCTGTGGCTTAAATTATTAATCATATTCTAAATGCCAAATCTGTAATTTCACCTCTGAAGTCACCTATACTCCAGATCCATATATACAAACATCTTTTGGACACTATCATTTGGATGGCCAAAGGTATTTCAAATTCAAGCCCCAAATGGAACTAATTATCTTATCTTTACAACCTTGTGCTCCTTTACCTATAAATATATCTTGATGAGTAACATCCTCAACCATTCAGCCTTAACCTCATTATCTTCCTTGCTGCAAACCCAGTAGGTCACAAGTCCTATCCATTCATTCTACTTCCTCAACATCTCTGGAATCTTTCTCTTCTCTCTATCTTGATTGCTGCTACCATAATCATTTCTTACTTAGATAACAGTCAAATCCTCACAACTGGACAACTGAGATTGGATCTCCAAGTTAAAGGCATGTTACACAGGACCTTAAAAGGCTAGCAGAGGAATCATGACATGATGAAGAACTGCAGTCCTGCTCTTTTCTCCACACTAAAGCCAGAGAGATTGAAAATTTAAACCTGATCATGTCATTCATTCCCCTGCTTACAGTCCTAGAACTCTAAGTCCCTACAGCTTCAGGATAAAACCCCAACTTAGCTTCACATATGAAGTCCTTTATGATCCTTGCCTATTTCTCCAGCTTTATCTCACCAGTTGCCCCCTTGCCCCATCCCAGTCACCATGAATACAAAAAAAAAACACCCTATACACACCTATAACCACACTGGACTGCTTTGCAGTTTCTTGAATGTGACATGCATTCTCTAGCTTCTGTTCCTTTATATAGGCTTCTCCCTCAGCCTGGAACAGGCTTTCCTGTCCTCTTTACCATGCTAAAACCTATATAAACAAAATTCAGGTGTCACCTCGTCTAGATCACCGTTTTTTTGACACCCCTAAAGAATGTAGGTTAGGTTCCCTTTACTATGAGTTCTCAAAGCACAATGTGCTCACCTAGACGACATCATTTAACACATTGAATTTACACAGTGGAGATAATGCATTCAAAGACCCAGCGAGTGGAGTCTGATTATAGTAAAGAAGAATATTACGAACTGAGATTGGATCGCCAAGGTATAGGCATGTTACGTACGACCTTAAAATGCTAGGAGGAATAACGACATGATGCAGAAAAAGACTTCTGCATAAAAGGATGACAAGGCCGGGCGTGGTGGCTCACACCTGTAATCCCAGCACTTTCGGAGGCCAAGGCGAGCAGATCACGAGGTCAGGAGATTGAGACCATCCTGGCCAACATGTCAAAACCCCGTCTCTACTAAAAATGCAAAAATTAGCTGGGTGTGGTGGCACGTACCTGTAATCCCAGCTACTCGGGAGGCTGAGGCAGGAGAATCGCTTAAACCTGGGAGGTGGAGATTGCAGTGAGCCAAGATCACGCCACTGCACTCCAACCTGGAGACGGAGCGAGACTCCATCTCAAAAAAATGAATAAATAAATAAAAGTAAAATAAAGGGATGACAGAGTCAGAGTATGGTTAAAACTGGAAAATATTATGTAGTCTAGCCCCTTTATTTTTATAAAGGAGAAAATTAAGCCCCGGGAAAAGGGCTTCCTCAAAATCACTTTAAAGTTATAGCTTCAGGAATATGGATCTGCAGCAGTGCTTGGAATGCATAAGGGAAAGGGAGAGGCTAGAATCACAAAGACAGCTGAAAGTCAAGTCAATTGTCTAATAGAGCTTCACCCAACAGAACTTTCTGCAAAGATGAAAATGTTCCAATTCTATATTTATTCAATATGTTAGCAACTAGCCACATTTGGGCACCCAAATTTTTAATTTACTTTAAATCCAATTTGTCATATGTGGCTACTGTATGAAACAGCACAGGTCTAAAGCATTTCATGTCCAAAAAGGAATACCTTGAAAAACAATTCACTTCTACTAACAGAAGAAACTAAAACACCATGAACACTTGAAGATTGACTAGTATCACATTCTCTTACCTCCTCATAGCTTGCAGTTCTATCAATCCGGTGAATAATATCAATATTAACATTCCCCAGTCGTTCAGCAAATGTAAGAAACTGGAAGGGAAAGTATATTTAAGATACATAATTAATTAAAATTTATCAGATCTTTAATATCTATTTGAATGCTGCATGTAGGCATCTCTAATCACAAAGGATAAGTGGAAAAATAAACTGAAAAACATACGGCCGTAAACAAATTTACTGCATCACTGTTCAAAGATAATGAATACTTCTATGTTTGCATAATTTCTCTCAGCTATGTCATTTCAAATAAAATTTCCATTGCCAGACTGGTGAGCCTAGGTGGATGCTGGCAATTAGTCTCGCTAGATCTATTAGGTTTCATACCCTCCCATAAGCATGGGGACCTAGCAAAGTCGCTGCAATAAAAGTGTTTTTAAACATATACAGACCTATGATTGTATCCTAAGGAAGACCTGGAAACAATCTATCAAGGGGCAAACAGAGAAAGCGCTGTATATTTGCCCTTAGCTGGGAATCACTCACCGCCAGCCGACTCGCCCAATTCGGTCTTTAAAGATAAAAGAGCAGGGGAGAATTGGTCCTAAGCAATCTCCTGGAATAGTGAATTTAATTCTGGACTACAGGAAATTCCCAGGACTGGCCAGACCCCATAAAACATGGGTGAAACTTGCTGTCCACACTTCTTTCCTCCTCCAACCCATGTTTACTACATCCAGTGTCTCCCTCTTTCGCCGGAGCCTCCAGGAAAGTGACACACTCGGCCCAGAAGTCTGAGGCCCCTGGAGTCTCGCTCAGAGCCTGTCTCACGACTGAGGCAGCGGAGACCCGCGGCTCCCTGCCTAAGCTCCCGCGCTCACCCGGTAGGTGTTCTCGGTCTTGTGGGAAACGGGCTTTGTCTTCATGGCTGCAGAGGGCCAGTGGCCCGCGACGGCCTCGGGAGTGTCGAAGGGATGCAACCGACAGTAAGGAGGGGAAAGCGGCTCACAGGCTATACTCTCCGATTCCCAGATGCCCAGACTTTCTCACGTGCGGCTTGAGCCCCTGGGCGCCGCCATGTTGGAGACAAGGAGGAGCCTGAGTGGGTCACGTGGACGGAAAAAAGAACGGCGCAGGCGCACCCTTTGGTGGGGTGGGGCCTACAGGAGGCGGGGCTGCGCACATAAGGGCGGGCGTTTGGGTGAGGTGTTCTTTTCACTCCCTTCGGTAAAGGTTTAGAAGACAAATGTATTTTCATTATAAAATAAAACATACCTGTAATCGTTATCAACTAACATTACTGTCCCTCACTACGTACCTGCATCGTGCAAAGATCCTTTCATCCATAATTTCACAGTAAAGCTTATTAGGGATGTTAATACAAAGGAGGTACTGCGTCTATCTATATATCTATATATAGATATATACTTTTTTTTTTTTTTTTTTGAGACGGAGTCTCACTCTGTCTCCCAGGCTGGAGGGCAGTGGCGCGATCTCGGCTCACTACAATCTCCGCCTCCCGGGTTCAAGCAGTTCTCCTGCCTCAGCGTCCAAAGTAGCTGGGACTACAGGCACCCGCCGCCACGCCCGGCTAATTCTTTTGTATTTTAGTAGAGACGGGGTTTCACCTTGTTGCCCAGGCTGGTCGCGAACTCCTGAGCTCAGGCAATCCGCCCGCCTCGGTTTTCCAAAGTGCTGGGATTACAGGTGTGAGCCACCGCGCCTGGCCGGTACTGTGTATATTTTTAAGCCAATTTGACACAAGAGGAAACCAAGGTTGTGCAGCTGGTAACTGGCAGTCTTCACTCAGACTCTAAATTTTGGTATTCTTAACCACTACGCTGTAAATAAAATTGAAAAATAGAGAAGGAGTTTTAAGAAAAATCTTTTAATTTCATGCACAACCGCTGTTAATGTTTGGTGTTTTTCCCATCACTTTAATGTCTACACATAGCATGTTGTTAAATTGTACAGTTATATATACATATATGTACAATTTTAAAAAATAATTTAAAAATATAATTATTTACCCCATTTTACATTCATTCATTCATTCAGCAACTATTTCTTGAGAGTCCTCTGTGGACCAGGTACTGTTCTGGGAGCCAAACGAGAAAGGCAATAATAGTATTAATTAATTATTTGAAAATATTCACAGCCTTCAATTCCTGGGCTAAAGTGAGCCTCCCACCTCAGCCTCCCAAGTAGCTAGGGCTACAGGCATGCACCACCACACCCAGCTCTTTTATTATTATTATTATTATTATTATTATTATTATTATTATTTGTAGAGATGGGATCTTGCTATATTGCCCAGGCTGGTATCAAACTTCTGGACTCAAGCAGTCCTCTTGGCTTGGCCTCCCAAAGTGCTGGGATTACAGGGGTGAGCCACCATGCCCAGACTGGAAATACTTGGTCTGAGATGCTTACATTTTAGTCAAGGAGTGATGTTAAGTAGACAATTGGATATATTGTTGTACAGAGCTCACTGTAGCAGTCTGGGCTGCAGACGTGACTTAAATACACCTAAATACCTCAAGTGTGAGGCATTTGCGACTGGGAAAGAGAGCCAGTAAGGTAGAAACAGACTAGTTATGGCATGGAAGCAGAGCTGGTGGCCAACTATACTGCAAATTCGAGGATAGAGAAGTGGTTGCTGGATCTGACAAGGTGAAGGTCACTGGTGACCTTGCTAAGTACAGTCTAGTTGGAAGAAAGGAAGTGAAATATGCATGGATTGAGGAGGTAATCAGAGTTGAGAAAGTGAACATAACACTTTCAAATTGTTATTGGCATTATCACATCAACATTTTCTGTGTCACCACAGGGTTGTTCTAAATATTTTAATGCCTCCATAGCATTTATAGATTTTTTTATAATAAAATATTGACGTGCCTAATGTTCCATTGGCTTTCAGTAGGCTAATAATTGGTCTTTTTTTTTTAAAAGCCTTTTATGGGTCACAGGGAAATCTAAGAAAGCTGTAGAACTTCTCCCAGAAAGATGCAAAGAAGCTCATCCACACTAAAATGTGCACGTTTCAGAGAGTTAGAAGCCTGCAGTTAACTGAGGGTAGAAGCCCCCACTCAAAGCAATATTTTCCCAACCTGTTGCCAAAATCACCCCCACATCATTGTGCCATTTTCCTTCTCTGCAATTTATTTTTGGTAATGGAGTTAACTGGACAATAAGGAGTGAAGAGAAAAATCAAAGAAACTGAAAGAACTGACACAAGTTATATTGACCATTTATTGTTTGCATTGTTCTTCATTACATGACCCTCACACACTGACTTGACTCTGACTGGCTTAACAATATGTCAATAGAACATGGTGGTTGAGAGCATAGATGCTGGAACCAGGTTGTCTGGAGGTAATCCTGGTTCTGCCATTTATTAGTAGGGTCAGTTACCCTTTCAGAATGACATTTCCGTATATGTAAATGAAGCTAACAAAAGTAGCTACCTCACGGGTGGTGATTATGCAGAGTAAATAAGCTAATGGATAAAAGATGCTTAGAATGTGCCAGACACCATAATTGCGCAAGCTCAGAAATTACTTAACCTTTCTGAGACCCAATTTCCTCATCTATAAAATAGAGATGACAATAATACCAGTCTTTCAAGATACTGTGTTGGTGCATAGAGCATGAAATAAATGTTTGCTAAGTGGATAAATAAATGACCATTTATTCTCTACTACCTGGCTACCTGACAAGTTCCTTAAGGGCTGACACCTTATACTTTTTCAACTTTGTGTCATCAGTTCCCTTGAACATAAGAGTTGTTTAATGAATGTCTGTTGAATTAACAAAGCTTATAATACTTACATTGACCCGGACAAATTTAAGAGTAATATAGTTCCAGCATTGGATGTGAATTGCACCACATGATTTTTGGTATCTCTCAAAACTAAGTTTCTAAGCTTTAATGGAATACCGAAAGCATCCGTGAAGAGCACGAGTGTTTCTTATAAACATTTCCTTGCTTCCAGCGTTTGTCCTCTGTCAAGGTATAGGATGAATATCCTATACCATCCTTTATATCCTTTTTCCATTAGGGCTCTGCCTGTCCTAACTACTCCAGCCAGTAAATAACATACATTATTTTTTCATTCTTTTATTCTTAAGCTTTATAGGGCGCTCCTGGAAGTTTTGCTTTTTAATTTTTGTTTCCTTATTGCTTAGCGTGCTGCAATTTCAAGCCAAGAAACTTTAAGAGCATGTAAGAGCTAGGCCCAGTGGCTCATGCCTGTAATCCCAGAGCTTTGGGAGGTCAAGGTGAGAGGATTGCTTGAACCCAGAAATTTGAGACCAGTCTTGGGCAACAAGGCGAAATCCCATCTCTACAAAAAATACAAAAATTAGCCAGACATGGGGATGTGCACCTGTAGTCCCAGCTACTCAGGAGGCTGAGGTGGGAGGAACACTTGATCCAGGAGGTCAAGGCTCCAGTGCTGTGATCCTGCGACTGCACTCCAGCTTGGGTAACAGAGTGAGACCCTGTCTTGAAAGAAAAAAAAGGAAGGAAGGAGAGGGAGAAAGAAGGGAAAGTAAAGGAAAGGAAGGGAGGGGAGAGGAGGGAAAGGAAGGGAAGAAAGCACATGAGGAGTTTACCCAGCCTAGACAAGAAAGTGGAATCCAGAGAAGGCTTCTTGGGGGAAGTGACATCTAAGCTGAGACCTGGAAAATGAATAGGAATTAGCCAGGCAAGGAATGGACATGAATGGTGTTATCTAGGTAGAGGGAGGAGTATAGGCATTTGTCTCAAAATGGTTGAGACAAATTTGGTTACTTTTAGTTTCCAAGGCAAAGCCACACCCTGTCAAATTAGCATTGGCCATGGGTATCATCTTTAGCATCCTTGGACTAATAATAGGAAAGAATAGGGACAAGATGAAGCTCAGAGGTAAGAAGAGCCTTGGTTTTCTCATCTGTAAAGTGAGATAGACATATGAGAAAGTCAACAGTCATATGAGACAGTTGAAAGATTAACACATTGTATCACTTCTCACAGTCATATGAGACCGTTGAAAGATTAATTAATACATTGTATCGCTTCTCAGCCTTTTGGCTAAGATCAAGTCTAGTAATTAACACATTGTATGTGGTGATCTGGAAGGGGGCAAGTCGACCTAGTGGCATGGTCTTGTTTAGAAAGCAGTTCAAGGAGTGCTGTGTATCAGGGCAGAGAGGATTTGACTCAGAACAAGGGACCAAGGAAGTGAATGTAAAAAAAAGAAAGAGAAGAGAAAGTTTTAGTAATTCTTTGTTGGTTTTTTCTTAAATAGAGACAGGGGTCTCACTACATTGCCCAGGCTGGTCTTGAACTCCTGGGCTCAAGCGATCCTCCTGCCCAGCCGAGTAGTTCTTGACTGTGGTAGTAAGGAAAGCTGATCCACGTATCTCTTCTTGAGAAAACTGTGTATTGTTGACAGTGTGTGTAAATCAGGAAGCAGTGAGAGCATGGAGTTTGGATTTGGGACAACTGGGTCCCAGTTCTAGCATTTTTCATGTATTAGCCAGTAACTGGGCAACTGACTTAACCTTTCAGCCTCAGTTTCCTCATCTTTAAAACAGGCATAATAACTAGTTCTGCCTTTTCCCTTAACGGTTGCTAAGAAGACCATTCGATATAAAGCAGGCAAAGTCCCCTGTAACCAATACAGAGGAGTTACAGAAACACTAAGTATTGTTTCCCTTTGCATTGTGTGATCATGTTCAGCCCTGATACCACAGAGCTTCTATTCTCCTTTCCTTATTTTGAAGCTCAGGCATTAGAAACATTAGACCAGAAATTGCGGATTTGTGGGGCCTATAAGCTCAGGTAGCCCACAGATAAGTTTTGTTTACCAAACATATTCTTCTTCTTCTTTTTTTTTTTAAGAGAGTGTCTCGCTCCGTTGTCCAGGCTGGAGTACAGTGGCACGATCGTCACTTACTGCCAACCTCAAGCTCCTTGGCTCAAGCGATCCTCCCACCCCAGCCTCCCTGGTAGCTACAGATACTACAGGTGTGCATCACCATGTCCAGCTAATTTTAAAAACATTTTTAGAGGTGAGTCTTGCTGTGTTGCCCAGGCTGATCTCGAACTACTGGGCTCAAGTGATCTTCCTATTCCAGCTTCCCAAAGTGCTGGCATTACAGACATGAGCTGCCATGCCCAGCATACCAGATGATATTCTTGAAATTTATTTTTATTTTTTATAATCAGATACTCTCTCAGCAGAATCACAAATGTTTTAATTTGTTAAAAATCTGAAAATTTTAGGTAAAACTCTAGATTTTCAACTTCTCTTGAAAAGTAAAAAAAAAGAAAACTGCAATACTGGGCCCATATTTTGAGAAGCAACAACCAGCTGGAGTTGAGTAGTAGTGGCTCTTTGATGCCACCACTTTGTCTCTGTGCACACCACTCCTTCCTTTTTGTCCTACCCCAGGCCCATGTCATGACTTAAGGTGGATACCTGGCCCCTGTGGAAAGCTCAGTGTGTAGCCTCTGCCTCAGAATATTCCTCAGGCAGAAGGCTGTTCTCGTCTTTGGTTTTAAACATGCCTCATAGGCAGCAGATTATTTTTCTGTTGCTTCTGCAGCTGCTTTTATTGTTTAATGCAGTGAGTGACTCAACTTGTTGTTGCTGTTGTTGTTTCTGTTGTTTGAGACAGACTCTCACTCTGTCTTCCAGGCTGGAGTGCACTGGCGTGATCTCGGCTCACTGCAACCTCCACCTCTCAGGTTCAAGTGATTCTCCTGCCTCAGCCTCCCACATAGCTGGGATTACAGGCACCCGCCACCATACCTGGCTAATTTTTGTATTTTTAGTAGAGACGGAATTTCGCCATGTTGTCCAGGCTGGTCTCGAACTCCTGACCTCAAGTGATCCACCTGCCTCGGCCTCCCAAAGTGCTGGGATTACAGGCATGAGCCACCCCGCCCAGTTGAGTGACTCAACTTTTTATAAGGGAGTCAGTGCAGTTTTTCAGTTGGTATTCAAATATTTGTAACACCTTCCCTATCCCTGAACACACACACACACACACACACACACACACACACACACACCACTGTGGTCTGTATTCATCTTGTTTTCCTTCCTCACTTTCGCTCACCATTTGCATTTCTGTCATGGACTTTAATTTCCTTATTCTTTAAAGTAAGCTATCTCAGAGGATAATCTAAATTAACCTGCTTTTAGAACAATTTAAACATCCACATACTTTTACCTACCCCTGTTTATGATTTTTATCCTTTCTTTTGATCATTAGCTAAACTGTTGGCATCATGTTTAGGAAGGATGAGTAGTCTCACCACTGGGTTGTATCTCCCCTTTATTTTCTCACCTTTCTCTTGGTTTGGTTTTGGTTTCCATTGTTACAGTGTGATTGCTTCTTTGAACACAAGGCGCTACATCACAGTACAAAGGAGCTTGGACTCTGCACCCAGCCCTCCCAGGCTCACACACTTGGGCTGCCACTGCTCTAGGAGCTTCCATTTACTCATCAATACGGGGGATACTAGTGCCCCTCATGGGGTGGTTATGAGGAGGCAATGACCTCATACATTGCTTCTCAAGTGTGGTCCCTGACCAGCAGTATCAGCACCTCATGAGAACTTGGTTAGCACTGTAAATTCTCAGACCCTGCTCCAACCCTCCTGAATCAAGAACTCTGGGGATGGGGCCCAGCAAACTGCTTTCATAAGCCTTCCAGGTGATTCTGAGGCAGGCTCTAGTATGGGAATCACTGACTTAACATACACTACAGCACCTAGAACATTGTCCAACACATACCATGTGCTACAGAAAGTGTTTATTCTTATTACTGTCTAGTCTTTACATAAATGTTTGCATCATCATTATTTAATTCTTCTATTCATCTCTCTGATATAGTAGTATGATACTGTTAGCCTTTTTATTTTTTATTTTTATGGATACATAACAATTATATATATTTATGGGCTACATGTGATATTTTGATACAAGTATACAATGTGTAATGGTCAAATTAGGGTAATTGGGATATTCATCACCTCAAGCTTTTATTATTTTTTTGTTAGAAACAATCCAGCTCCCGTCTTCTAGTTATTTTGAGATGTGCAATAAATTATTGTTAACTACAGTTGCTCTATTATGCTACCAAACACTGGATCTTATTCCTTCAATCTCATTGTATTTTTGTATCCAATAACCACCCCCTTTTTATGCTTCCTCCACTACCCTTCCCAGCTTCTGGTAGCCATCATTCTACATTCTATCTCCATGAGATCAATTTTTTTAGCTCCCACATATGAGTGAGAACACTCATATTATTTGTTTTTCTGTGCCTGGCTTACTTCATTTTACATAACATCCTCCAGTTCCATCCATGCTGTTGCAAATGATAGGATTTCATATTTTTTATGGCTGAATAATATTCCATTGTGTATATTTACTACATTTTCTTTACCCATGCATCCATTAATGAACACTTAGATTGAGTCTATGTTGATTATTATGAATAGTACTGCAATAAATATTGGAATGCAGATATCTCTTTGATATGCTGATTTCCTTTTCTTTTGATATATACCCAGCAGTGAGATTGCTGGATCATATCATAGGTCTAATTTTAGTTTTTTGAGGACCCTCTATACTGTTCTCCATAGCCATTGTACTAATTTACATTTCCACCAACAACATATGAGAGTTCCCTTTCTCCACATTATCACCAGCACCCATTATTGCCTGTCTTTTTTATAAAAGTCATTTTAACTGGAGTGAGATGATACCTCATTGTAGTTGTTTGTGGGGCTTTTTAAAATTTTGTTTTGTTTGTCAGACTTGAGCATTTCCCAGGCTGGAGTGCAGTGGCATGATCATAACTCACTGCAGCCTTGAACTCCTAGGCTCAGGCATCCTCCTGCCTCAGCATCCAAAGTAGCTGGGACTACTTGTAGTTTTGATTTGCATTTCTCTGATGATAAGTGATGTTGAGCACCTTTTTACATGCCTATTTGCCATTTGTATGTCTTCTTTTCAGAAATGTCTATCCAAATATTTTGCCCATTTTTTAAATCACATTTATTTTTACTATTGAGCTTCTTCTATATTCTGGTTATTAATCCCTTGCCAGATGGGCTTTGAAAATATTTTCTCCCCATGGATTGTTTCTTCACTTTGTTGGTTGTTTCCTTTGCTGTGCAGAAGCTTTTTTAGTTTGATGTAATCTCATTTGTCCATTTTTGCCCTTGGCTGCCTATGCTTTTGAGGTCTTACTCAGGAAATCTTTGTCCAGACTAATGTCCTTGAGCATTTCCTCAATGTTTTCTTCTAGTATTTCATAGTTTGGGGTCTCAGATTTAAGTATTTAAGTCATTTTGATTTGATTTGATTTTTGTATATGATGAGAGAAAGGAGTCTAGTTTCATTCTTCTGCATGTGGATATCCAGTTTTCCCAGCATCATTTATTGAAGACACTGTCCTTTCCCCAATGTATGTTTTTGATGCTTTTGTTAAAAAAGAATTGACTGGCTGGGCACAGTGGCTCTTGCCTGTAACCCAGCACTTTGGGAGGCCGAGGTGGGAGGATCATTTGAGGTCAGGAGTTTGAGACCAGCCTGGCCAACATAGTGAAACCCCATCTCTACTAAAAATACAAAAAATTAGCCAGATGTGGTGGCACACGCTTGTAATCCCAGCTATTCCAGAGGCCGAGGTGAGAGAATCACTGGAATCCAGGAGGCGGAGGTTGCAGTGAGCCAAAATCATGCCACTGCACTCCAGCTTGGGCAACAAAGTGAGACTCATCTCAAAAAAAAAAAAAAAAAGGAGGGGGGAGTTGACTGTAAACATGTGGATTTATTTCTAGGTTCTCCATCTTGTTCCATTGTTTTATGTGTCTATTTTTATGCCAGTATATTATGTTTTTGGTTACTATAGTTTTGCAATATAATTCGAAGTCAGGTAATGTGATGCCTCTAGCTTTGTTCTTTATAAGTAGCCTCATTTTAAATGAGGGATCTGAGGCTCAGAGAACTGCTAAATGGTAGAAAGAGTTGAAGCTGGGTCTTCTAACTTCATGTTCAGTGCTCTGTTTCATGTCCCCACACTATCCCACATCTTAAGAGTGTAAACTAATAGGGGCAAATTTAGATAAATTGGCCAGGCATGGTGGCTCACGCCTGTAATCCCAGCACTTTGGGAGGCTGAGGTGGGTGGATCACTTGAGGTCAGAGTTTGAGACCAGCCTGGCCAACATGATGAAACCCTGTCTCTACTAAAAATACAAAATTAGCCAGGTGTGGTGGCTCATGCCTGTAGTCCCACTTACTCAGGAGGCTGAGTCAGGAGAATTGCTAGAACCCAGGAAGCAGAGATTGCTGTGAGCTGAGACCATGCCACTGCACTCCAGCCTGGGAGACAGAGCGAGACTCCGTCTCAAAAAAAGGAAAAAAAGATAAATAAATGCTTGGCTGTTGTAGATATTTGTAGATTTCCTTGTCCTCTCTTTTCAGCAGCAGTCCCCAACCTTGTTGGCACCAGGGGCTGGTTTCGTGGAAGACAATTTTTCCACAGACTGGGGGCTGCGAGTGAGGGGGTGGTTTCAGGATGAAACTGTTCTGCCTCAGATCATCAAGCATTAGTTAGATTCTCATAAGAAGCACTGCAAGCTGGATCCCTGTATGCGCAGTTCACAATGGGGTTCCACTCCTATGAGAATCTAATGCCGCCGCTGATCTGACAGGAGGCGAAGCTCAGATTGTAATGCTCTTTTGCCTATCTCTCACCTCCTGTTGCGCAGCCCAGTTCCTAACAGGCCATGAACCGGTACCGGTCCGCGGCTCAGGGGTTGGGGACCCCTTTTCAGGAAACAGCATCCTGATTTTCCTTTGAAGAATCAATCTGCCTTCACTCTTAGTGTCTGAGGTTCGAGCTAGGGTCCAGGGAAGGTCTGTGTCCTAGGCTGCATTTCTTTGACAACATCATTGGCTTAGAGATGGGCAGGTACCCCAAGCTGGGCCAAGCCCCTGAGCTGAACTTTTACTAGAGCTAAGCCATAGGTAAGAAGGTGCTTCTTTTTCTTAGATTTGCCAGGATGCTAGGAGCCTGAAGTTTTTGGTGGTCCTCGTTGTCACTTCATGGAGAGGTCGGCCTGAGAATGAAGCCTATGCAAAGGAAAACAGAGGGGACAGGGAGAGAGAAATTGATAATAAGTATTGATTAGCTTATTGGATCCATCCAGTCCTTGGACTTTCAGTAACCTTAGTTCACTAATTCCCTCTTTTGTGTTTAAGCCAATTTGAGTTGGGTTCTGTCATTTGCAACCAAAACAATATAGAATTTATGCCGATAATTTAAGATTTGTATGTTGCTCATAAGATTGGAAACCTAAGCCTTCCTCCGAACACAAATATGTGAGTAAGAATAAAAAAAGTCAAATACAAAGTCTTGATGATAACAGTCAATGGGATGGATTTGGAAAGTGTCTCAGACTAGGAGTCAGAAAACCTGGGTGCTGATCCTAGGAGGTTCACTTAGCCATGTGACTTTGTAAAATGTGTGAAACTAACGCTGTAAAATATGAAAAATTAACCCTGCAACAAAAAAGTAATGTACACATACATATTTTGAATGTTGCATGATATAAAGTCAAGTAAGTAATTTATTAGAGTTGCTCCCAGAACTTTTTCTGTATATCCAATAATTAGTTTTCAATAATAGTGAAGGAAAGACCTAGGAGTGGACATTTCTCAGTCTCTCATACACCATATGCACTGATCTGGGTGACAGAATACCTTTAAAGATACACTTAAAAATGCATCTTAAGAGAATAAGACAAGCCACAGACTGGGAAAAATATCTGCAAAACACTTATCTAATAAAGTTTTGTATTCAAAATATGCAAACACCCTTAAAACTCCACAATAAAAAACAAATAGCCCAATTAAAAAATGAATGAGAGATCTGAACAGACACCTCACTGCAGAATATATACAGTATGAAAAGATGCTCAACATCATATGTCATTAGAGAATTGAAATTTAAAATAACAAGATACCACTACACACCTATTACAGTGGCTCCACTCCAAAATACTGACAACACTAAATGCTGGAAAGGACGTGGAGCAGCAGAAATTCTCATTCATTGCTGGTGAGAATACAAAATGGCACAGCCACTTTAGGAGACACCTATTTCTTAGAAAGTGAAACATAGGCTTACCATATGGTCCAGCGATTGTGCTCTTAAGTACTCATCCAAATGAACTGAAAACTTATAGCCACACAAAAACCAGCACACAAATATTTATAGCAGCTTTATTCATAATTGCCAAAAATTGGAAGTGACCAAGATGTTCTTCAATGGATAAACAAACCATGGAACATTTAGACAATGGAATATTATTCCAGGATAAAAAGAAACCAACTATCAGGCTATTGCAAAGTGAAAGAAACCAATCTGAAAAGGCTACATAGGCTTCATCTTTAAGACTCCAAATATGACATTCTAGAAAAGTTAAAACTGTAGAGACAATAAAAATATCAGTGGTACTAGAGTGAGTGGGGGAAAGAAGGGAGGGATCATTAGGTGGAACACAGGGCATTCTTAGGTCAGTGACACTACTTTTATGACACTGTAATTATAGATACATGACTAATGCAACATATTACTAATGAAGAAAATTGTGCGGGGAGGGAAAGTAGGCATATGGAAACTCTCTGTACTTTCTGTTCAATTTTTCTATAAACCTAAAACCACTATAAAAATAAAGTCTATTAATTTTTTTTAAAAAATGTGTCTCTCTGTAATTCCTTCTGCCTCTCATCCTGAAGTCCTCTATGAAATGGAATCAGGAAAGACAACACCTTACTCTTGAATCCTGGGAGCCCCAAGAAGAAGTAGGACTGGAATCTCAGGAGTACTAGAAACCAGGAAAATTTGGATCCACTGACATCCAAAGTGGATCAGAAAGAAAAGTGAGTGCCTCAGACACCAATTGGAAAAGAAAAATTTATTTACTTTCTCAATGAATATTTATTGAGTGCCTCCTGTGTAAGGCACTGGTCTAAGAGCTGAAGATACAACAGTAAACAAAGTTTCTCCCGTCACGAGGCTCAGGTTCTAGTTTGGAGGGACAAAAAGAAAAAAACATGTGAATTTATAGACTGTCAGATGCAATAAGTGCCATGGAGATAATATAGCTGGTGAGTAGTGTGTGGCAGAAGCTGTTAATTGTTCCGTAGAATTAATTGTTCCATTCATCTTTTAGAAAAAGAAGCCTCATCTCAAAGTTTACTTGGTTATGCATCTGTACATTACAATCTTCATTTCCCCAGATCCATTCTACTCTCCTGCCCCCTTGCACCTAGATACAGCCTTGTGACCAAGGTCAGCCCCATGGGAAGTGCTCTGCGTAACTTCCAGGTCATTTGCTAAAAGATAAAGCTACTTGCCTTGGATTCTTTCTTTCTCTCTCCTATTGACTGGGAAATAATGATTGAAGAATCCTTGGAAGCCAAAAGTGGAAGACAGCAGAGCCCCCAGTTGTAGTCTGTTCGATTCTTAGCTGTTACATGAGAGGAAATTTTTTTTTTTGAGACTTCCCCAATGCCTGGACTTTTCAGTAACATAAGGCAATATATCCCCTTGTGTGTATAGGCAAGGCTGAGTCAGCTTTCTGTCACTTGTAACCTAGATTAATTTTTTCTGATTAATTAATTGTTCCAATTAGTACAAGAATAATTTATATACTAGACTTTCTGCCTCACCTTGAAACCTGGAAGCTCACTGTATCAGTTCTCTCTTGCCACAATGAAGTTGCTTGTAAAACAACCACAGTGGCAAGCAACAAGTCTACAGTTGGCTGAGTGGCTCTGCTATTCTGTATTGGTCTTGGCTGATCTTGGCTGGGCTCATTCATGTGTCTGTGGTCAGCTGGCAGACTGGCTGGGGGCTGGCTAATCTAGCACAGTTTTGGCTTAAATGACCCAACTACCTGGCTCTGCTTCACAGCATCTCTCATCATCCATTAGGCTATCCTGAGCTTTTTTCATGGTAAAGCAGGGTTCTGAGACAGACAGGCAGAATGCAAGGTCTAAGCTCATAATGGTCACAGTACCACTCCCACAGCATTTTGTTGGGTACAGTAAGTCACAAGGAAGGTCCATATTTAAGGATGGAGGAAATAGTCTCTACTCCGAAGAGCTGCAAATTCCTATTGCAAAGGGCATGGCTACTACAGGGAGGGGTGGAGAATTGGAGACATTTTTGCAATCAGTCTACCACATTTATCATAATTATTCCCATAATTAAACAGTGGTGGTAGAGAGAAAAGGAGCAACTGGATACTGGAGCTTAACCAGGTGCCTACTAAGCACAAATTCCTCAGTACATGCAGGGGATGAAGCTATCCTATTCTGATTCCACCCATTTAGCATATGTGATTTTTTTTTTAAGTTGGAAATAGGCAGAGAGACCCTGTTTTGAAAGAGAACTTAAGGGTCATCCGGCCCAATCTCCATATTGTTTCAGAAAAAAGAACCAGGCACCAAAGTTAGGGGACTTGCCCAGGGCCACACAGTGAGTGAGGGACACACGTGGGTCTAGATGTTTGCCTGCTGACTCCCCGCACAGCAGACCTTCCACGGTCCTGTGCTGTTCTCTTCTCACGCCAAGGCAGAACACAGCAGTGGCCACGTGCTTGCACTTTGGAGGCAGTTAGCCTGGGTTGTCTTTCTTCCTTCCTTTCTTTTTTTTTGAGACGGAGTTTTGCTCTTGTTGCTCAGGCTGGAGTGCAATGGTGTGATCTCCGCTCACTGCAACCTCCACCTCCCAGATTCAAGCTATTCTCCTGCCTCAGCCTCCCGAGTAGCTGGGATTACAGGCATGCACCACCACGCCCAGCTAATTTTGTATTTTTAGTAGAGACAGGGTTTCTCCATGTTGGTCAGGCTGCTCTCGAACTCCTGACCTGAGATGATCCACCCACCTCGGCCTCCCAAAGTGCTGGGATTACAGGCGTGAGCCACCATGCCCAGCCAGCCTGGGTTTTCAACCTGGCCTCTTGCTTATTACTTATGAGACTTTGGACAAATTATTTAACCCCTCTATCAATGATTGTAATAGTACTGGGCCTCATAGGGTTGTTGGGCAGATTAAATGAAAGAAAGGAAATAAAGCACATAGCAAGTGCTCAATAAATTTTAGCTATTATATTTTCTCTAAAAATACAGCATTTTCCTATTTGGTTTGTTCTTGTGTGCATTTAGTCTGGGTTTAGGCATTCAAGAGAGCTGAAAATATCATAATACTAAATATTTAGATGGCAAAGAATGAATTCAACTTATAAAAGTACCTGGAGTATAAATTCACATTTTCTTGTAAGAAGAGATATTTATAATCTGGTTTATTTGTTTACTTACTAACAAACATTTACTGAGAGTCTACTGCGAGTCAGGCATTGTAGTAGTTTGCTCTTGCTGCAACATATTACCACAAACTTAGTGCCTTAAAACAACATATGTTCTGGAAGTCAGAAGTCTGAAATGGATCATCTGGGCTGTTCCTTATGGAAGCCCCAGGGGACAATCTGTTTCTTTGGTTTTTCCAGCTTCTGGAGGCTGCCAGAATTCCTTGGATCATGGCCTGTTTCACTCCAATCTCTGCTTCCACCATCACCTCTTCTCTCCCTTGACTCCATTGTCTCATTGCCTTCTCTGACACTCTTGCCTGTCCATTATCAGCCTCTCCATATGGATTGTGCTTTCTTACAGCATGGTGGCCTCAGGGTAGTCAGACATGGTGGCTCAAGGCTCCAAAAATGAGTATTTTCAGCAAGCAAAACAAAAGCTCCATGCTCTTTCATGAATTCACATTAGAAGTCACATAGCTTTGTATTCCATGTGGGAGTTGAAGAATGAGAAGTCATGGACACAGGGAGGGGAACAACACACTCTGGGTCCTGTTGTGGGATGAGGGATGAGGGGAGGGACAAATACCTAATGCATGCAGGGCTTAAAACCTAGATGACGAGGCTAGGAAGAAACTGCATCAACTAACGAGCAAAATAACCAGCTAACATCATAATGACAGGACCAAATTCACATATAACAATATTAACTTTAAATGTAAATGGGCTAAATGCTCCAATTAAAAGACACAGACTGGCAAATTGGATAAAGAGTCAAGACCCATCAGTGTGCTGTATTTAGGAAACCCATCTCACGTGCAGAGACACACATAGGCTCAAAATAAAGGGATGGAGGAAGATCTACCAAGCAAATGGAAAACAAAAAAAGGCAGGGGTTGCAATCCTAGTCTCGGATAAAACAGACTTTAAATCAACAAAGATCAAAAGAGACAAAGAAGGCCACTACATAATGGTAAAGGGATCAATTCAACAAGAAGAGCTAACTATCCTAAATATATATGCACCCAATACAGGAGCACCCAGATTCATAAAGCAAGTCCTTAGTGACCTACAAAGAGACTTAGACTCCCACACAATAATAATGGGAGACTTTAACATCCCACTGTCAACATTAGACAGATCAATGATACAGAAAGTTAAAAAGGATACCCAGGAATTGAACTCAGCTCTGCACCAAGTGGACCTAAAAGACATCTACAGAACTCTCCACCCCAAATCAACAGAATATACATTTTTTTTCAGCACCACACCACACCTATTCCAAAATTGACCACATAGTTGGAAGGAAAGCACTCCTCAGCAAATGTGAAAGAACAGAAATGATAACAAACTGTCTCTCAGACCACAGTGCAATCAAACTAGAACTCAGGATTAAGAAACTCACTCAAAACTGCTCAACTACATGGAAACTGAACAACCTGCTCCTGAATGACTACTGGGTACATAACGAAATGAAGGCAGATATAAAGATGTTCTTTGAAACCAACGAGAACAAAGACACAACATACCAGAATCTCTGGGACACATTCAAAGCAGTGTGTAGAGGGAAATTTATAGCACTAAATGGCCACAAAAGAAAGCAGGAAAGATCCAAAATTGACACCCTAACATCACAATTAAAAGAACTAGAAAAGCAAGAGCAAACACATTCAAAAGCTAGCAGAAGGCAAGAAATAACTAAAATCAGAGCAGAACTGAAGGAAATAGAGACACAAAAAACCCTTCAAAAAATTAATGAATCCAGGAGCTGGTTTTTTGAAAGGATCAACAAAATTGATAGAGCGCTAGCAAGACTAATAAAGAAGAAAAGAGAGAAGAATCAAATAGATGCAATAAAAAATGATAAAGGGGATATCACCACCGATCCCACAGAAATACAAACTACCATTGGAGAATACTACAAACATCTCTATGCAAATAAACTAGAAAATCTAGAAGAAATGGAAAAATTCCTTGACACATACACTCTCCCAAGACTAAACCAGGAAGAAGTTGAATCTCTGAATAGACCAATAACAGGAGCTGAAATTGTGGCAATAATCAATAGCTTACCAACCAAAAAAAGTCCAGGACCAGATGGATTCACAGCCGAATTCTACCAGAGGTACAAGGAGGAGATGGTACCATTCTTCCTGAAACTATTCCAATTAATAGAAAAAGAGGGAATCCTCCCCAACTCATTTTATGAGGCCAGCATCATCCTGATACCAAAGCCTGGCAGAGACACAACCAAAAAAGAGAATTTTAGACCAATATCCTTGATGAACATTGATGCAAAAATCCTCAATAAAATACTGGCAAACCGAATCCAGCAGCACATCAAAAAGCTTATCCACCATGATCAAGTTGGCTTCATCCCTGGGATGCAAGGCTGGTTCAACATACACAAATCAATAAACGCAATCCATCACATAAACAGAACCAATGACAAAAACCACATGATTATCTCAATAGATGCAGAAAAGGCCTTTGACAAAATTCAACAACCCTTCATGCTAAAAACTCTCAATAAATTAGGTATTGATGGGACATATCTCAAAATAATAAGAGCTGTCTATGACAAACCCACAGCCAATATCATACTGAATGGGCAAAAACTGGAAGCATTCCCTTGAAAACTGGCACAAGACAGGGATGCCCTCTCTCACCACTCCTATTCAACATAGTGTTGGAAGTTCTGGCCAGGGCAATTAGGCAGGAGAAGGAAATAAAGGGTATTCAATTAGGAAAAGAGGAAGTCAAATTGTCCCTGTTTGCAGATGACATGATTGTATATCTAGAAAACCCCATTGTCTCAGCTCAAAATCTCCTTAAGCTGATAAGCAACTTCAGCGAAGTCTCAGGATACAAAATCAATGTACCAAAATCACAAGCATTCTTATACACCAATAACAGACAAACAGAGAGCCAAATCATGAGTGAACTCCCATTCACAATTGCTTCAAAGAGAATAAAATACCTAGGAATCCAACTTACAAGGGACGTGAAGTACCTCTTCAAGGAGAACTACAAACCACTGCTCAGTGAAATAAAAGAGGATATAAACAAATGGAAGAACATTCCATGCTCATGGGTAGGAAGAATCAATATCGTGAAAATGGCCATACTGCCTAAAGTAATTTATAGATTCAATGCCATCCCCATCAAGCTACCAATGACTTTCTTCACAGAATTGGAAAAAACTACTTTAAAGTTCATATGGAACCAAAAAAGAGCCCGCATCGCCAAGGCAATCCTAAGCCAAAAGAACAAAGCTGGAGGCATCACGCTACCTGACTTCAAACTATACTACAAGGCTACAGTAACCAAAACAGCATGGTACTGGTACCAAAACAGAGATATAGATCAATGGAACAGAACAGAGCCCTCAGAAATAACGCCTCATATCTACAACTATCTGATCTTTGACAAACCTGAGAAAAACAAGCAATGGGGAAAGGATTCCCTATTTAATAAATGGTGCTGGGAAAACTGGCTAGCCATTTGTAGAAAGCTGAAACCGGATCCCTTCCTTACACCTTATACAAAAATTAATTCAAGATGGATTAAAGACTTAACATGTTAGACCTAAAACCATAAAAATCCTAGAAGAAAACCTAGGCAATACTATCCAGGACATAGGCATGGGCAAGGACTTCATGTCTAAAACACCAAAAGCAATGGCAACAAAAGACAAAATTGACAAATGGGATCTAATTAAACTAAAGAGCTTCTGCACAGCAAAAGAAACTACCATCAGAGTGAACAGGCAACCTGCAAAATGGGAGAAAATTTTCGCAACCTACTCATCTGACAAAGGGCTAATATCCAGAATCTACAATGAACTCAAACAATTCACAAGAAAAAAACAAACAACCCCATCAAAAAGTGGGCAAAGGATATGAACAGACACTTCTCAAAAGAAGACATTTATGCAGCCAAAAAATACATGAAAAAATGCTCATCATCACTGGCCATCAGAGAAATACAAATCAAAACCACAATGAGATACCATCTCACACCAGTTAGAATGGCCATCATTAAAAAGTCAGGAAACAACAGGTGCTGGAGAGGATGTGGAGAAATAGGAACACTTTTACACTGTTGGTGGGACTGTAAACTAGTTTAACCATTGTGGAAGTCAGTGTGGCGATTCCTCAGGGATCTAGAACTAGAAATACCATTTGACCCAGCCATCCCATTACTGGGTATATACCCAAAGGATTATAAATCATGCTACTATAAAGACACATGCACACGTATGTTTATTGCAGCACTATTCACAATAGCAAAGACTATTGTCTTTTGCTATTTGGAACCAACCCAAATGTCTAACAATGATAGACTGGATTAAGAAAATGTGGCACATATACACCATGGAATACTATGCAGCCATAAAAAATGATGAGTTCATGTCCTTTGTAGGGACATGGATGAAGCTGGAAATCATCATTCTCAGTAAACTATCACAAGGACAAAAAACCAAACGCCGCATATTCTCACTCATAAGTGGGAATTGAACAATGAGAACACATGGACACAGGAAGGGGAACATCACACTCCGGGGACTCTTGTGGGGTGGGGGAAGGGGGGAGAGAGAGCATTAGGAGATATACCTAATGCTAAATGACGAGTTAATGGGTGCAGCACACCAACATGGCACATGTATGCGTATGTAACAAACCTGCACATTGTGCGCATGTACCCTAAAACTTAAAGTATAATAAAAAAAAAAAACCTAGATGACGGGTTGAGAGGTGCAGCAAACCACCATGGCACATGTATAGCTATGTAAGAAACCTGCATGTTCTTCACATGTATCCCAGATCTTAAAATAAATAAAAAATAAAAATAAATAAATAAAAATAAAAATTATATTAAAAAAGAAGTCACATAGCTTTATTTCCATACCCCATGGGTTGAAGCAGTCACAGCCCATTCAGATTCCAGGGAAAGGGACACAGGCCACATCTCTTGATGAAAAGAACATGAAAGAATGTGCAGTTATGTTTTAAAAACATCCCAGTAGAGTTCACGAACATGAGTTTTTACAGCAGACACTACATTTCCCTGCCAGTTTACCTGCCTTGGGATGGTGGAGGTCTCTGAAGTTGGCAGTCGTTTCCTGCAGGATTCTAAGTTGGATGGCAGCAGCTCTCCAGCTCTGAGGCAACGAAACTGAAAGCTAGTGGAGAGTTGCCTGAATTTTGCCTTCTCAGGTCTTTCCATAAGTTCTGTGAACACTCAATTTCCTGTATCAAATTCCTTCTTCTTGAAAATGCTTAGAGTGATACCTGTTTTTTCTACTGGAGTCTGACTGATTCAAGCTCCAAAGTCTGCCCTCCTAACTGCCTCTCGCGTTGTTCTAAACCTTTCTGGTGCTCCTGGCCTGCTCCTTTGCAACCCACACACACTCACACATCCAGCATACCCTAAGAAGATGACACTGCCTCTTAGTGCTCACAAAAGGAGTGCAAGTTATATGAACCTCAACTATCCTTTCTATCCAACTGGAACTGTATCTGTCTGTTTTTCCCCCTTCTGCTCCGTCTTAGAAGAAAAGTTCATCAATACTTTTGGGAAAAAGGTAAACTTTTAAACACGATGCATGGCACCCTTCATTTATCTTTTCAACCTGATTTTCTGCCATCTTTTTATATGTGCCCATGTTAATTATGGTAGACTAACTGCTTTACCAAATAGACTCATAAAATTGGTGGAATTATTGCTGCAACAGAAAGACCCAAAGGTCTACAATGGCCTAAACCCTGTAAAAGTTTATTTCTTGCTCAAATAACAATTATAGGCAAGCAAATAATCAGTGGCATATGCCCTTCTCTATGTAGGGACTTAAACTAATAGAGAGACAACCATTTCCTTCCCTCCCTCCCTCCCTCTCTCTCTCTCTTTCTTTCTTTCTTTTTTTTTTTTTTTTTTTTTTTGATGGAGTCTTGCTCTGTCACCCAGGCTGGAGTGCAGTGGCGCGATCTAGGCTCACTGCAACCTCCGCCTCCCGGGTTCAAGCGATTCTCCTGCCTCAGCCTCCTGAGCACCTGGGATTATAGGCGCCCACCACCACGCTCGACTAATTTTTGTATTTTTAGTAGAGACAGGGTTTCGCCACGTTGGCCAGGCTGGTCTCAAAGTCCTAACCTCAGGTGATCAGCCCGCCTTGGCTTCCCAAAGTGCTGGGATTACAGGCGTGAGCCACTGCGCCTAGCCTGAGACAACCATTTTCAACATTTGCTTTCCAAGGTCACCCTTTCCAGACATCCAGAAGAGAATGTAAACTAAAAATAAAATCCTAAGCCCCCCAACCAACTGAACAGACCCCCTCTTGGCCAAGAAGACCTCAAGAAAAACTTAAAAACTGAATTCCTGGCCATCACAAGAAGGGAAGGTCCAATATGCTTTGTTATCCTCCCTCCCTTTTGGAGTTTAGGCACAACTGAACAGCATTAGTGTTAAAATAGAGATCGTAAAGCTAACAAAATGGACTTATTGTCACAATAAGATGCCAAATTACAAATAGGACCTAACACGACACAAGAAGGGTTGAGTCACACATTCTTATAATTCACTGTAACCCAGTGTACTGGAAAACAATATCTTAATATGAAATATTCCTTTTTTGCTGCCTCCGAATTTTTAGACAAAGCTTTATTTCTTTAACCAATTGTAAATTAAACAGTCTCTGAATTTACTTATACCCTGTAAGCACCTGCTTCAAGATATCCCACCTTTTCAGGCTGAATCAGTGTAAATACCTTCCATGTGACTGATTTATATCTTTGCCTGTAACGCCTGCCTCCCTAAAATGTGTAAAACTGTACTGTAATCCTACTACCAAGGGTGCACTTTCTCAGGACCTCTTGAAACTGTGTTCCCCAGGCCATGGTCACTCATATTGACTCAGAATAACATCTTTAAAATATTTTAGCCAGGTGTGGTGGCTAACACTCATAATCCCAGCACTTTGGGAGACCATGGCTAGAGGTTAGCTTGAGGCCAGGAGTTTAATGCCCAGCCTGAAGAACATAGCAAGATCCTATCTCTACAAAAAAAAAAAAAAAATTAGCTGGGTATGGTAGCACATACCTGCAGTCCTAGCTGCTCAGGAGGCTGAAGTGGGAGGATCGCTTGAGCCTGGAGTTTGAGGCTGCAGTGAGCTATGATTATGATCATTCCACTGCACTCCAGCCTGGGTAACGGAGCAAGACCTTGTTTAAGGAAAAGAAGAAAAGAAAAAGAAAGAAAGAAAAGAAAAGAAAGAGAGAGAGAAAGAAAGAAAGAGAGAGAGAGAAAGGTAGAAAGAAAGAAAGAAAGAGAAAGAAAGAAAGAAAAAAAGAAAGAAAAAGAAAAGAAAAAGAAGGAAAGAAAGAAAAGAAAGAAAGAAAGAAAAAATTTTTTATGGAGTTTAGTTTCTCCATTAACGGGGGAAGCATACAGAGGGTATATGTGAGAGGCTTTTATGGGTTAGCCCTGGACATGGTACACATCACTTCTGCTCCCATTCCACTAGCTAGAATTCAGTCACAAGGCTACATCTAGCTGCAAGGGAGGCTGGGAAACGTCACCTAACTGTGTGCCCAGGAAGAAGAGAAAATGAGTTTTGGTGAATGACCAGCTAGCAGTGTGTGCCATTGTGCCTTAAACCTTGGCATGCTTATTTAATTTTCCTATAGTTCAGCTTTGTCATTTCAAAGTTGAGGATCATCGTGGCACCTCCTTCACAGGGCTATTGTAAGGATTAATTACATTAGTACTGTGAAGACCTTAGAACATTGCCTGGCTTTTTGTAAGCATCCCATAAAAGTTATCTACTATTGTTATTATTCTTGTAATCCTTAGGGACTCTGCTTTGATACTACTTCCTTACATGAAATCTTTCTTCTCCCTTTCCCCTCTGGCCCATTCTCTCTAGCACCATCATATTGTATTGTAGCTGTCTGTTTTCTGGTTGGTCCCTCCCCTAAATGCTTCTTGAGGATAAGGATTATGTTTAGCTACATTTTAAGTAACTAACATAGTCTCTGGCATATGATAGGTACTCACTAAATATTTGTTGAGGGAGTAAAGGAGAAAGTGATAAAGGTGAGAAGGAAAGCCACAAAGTGGATCAGTATCTTGTCATGGGGAGATCTGTGAAAGGACGGTTTGATAAATTGTCCCTTCATGGATTGTAGTCACCATCTTCCAGGTCCCAGAGGGTCACTTGGTACTGAAGTCTTATCAGCCTAGGGACCAAGGCTGCCTGCCCTTCATGCCCTGTGTGAGACACCGCTTCTGCACTGCCTCACGTCCTCTCAACCTACCTTTTCTCCAGTCCCTGCTGCAGCACCCAGCACCCAGAGAAGTGAATCTACTTTCCCTCACCTTGTAACTGAGTCTTTCAACTTTGAATGCATTTTAAAACTTTTTTCCTCTCTTTCTAGTCTTAAGATGTAACCTCGAAACTGAGTGTAGAAACTCTCTTTTCCTTAGTCTTAAAATATACCTTGAAATGTACTTTGAAACTCTGCTTCCCTCTCTTTCCCACCAGACTCTCCCTTGCACCATGGACACGTATCTAACTGTATACTTGTTAATAAATTCCAGGGGCTGATTTTACACAACAGCCAGGCAAGGAGACCCAGCTGCAGAATTCTCCCCTACTTGGAGATTACCTCATGACAGACATCTATAAACTGACTGCAACTGAGATGGCACCAGCCAGCACTCCAAGTGGACAACAACTCAAAATAACCCTTGGAAGAAGACATGCAGGCCTGTATCTTGTGTTACTCTGGCATGGTTCTCATACTAAGTATCCCCTTTTTATTTTTTATTTATTTTTAACATATTTTTTGAAACAGAGTCTCTCTCTGTTGCTCAGGCTGGAGTGCAGTGGTGTGAACATGGCTCACTGCAGCCTCAACTCCCAGGCTCAAGCAGTCCTCCCAACTCTTAGCCTCCAGAGTAGCTGGGACTACAGGTGTGCACCACCACATCTGGCTAATTTTTTTTGTATCTTTTGTAGAGATGGGTTTTCACTATGTTGCCCAGGCTAGTTTCAAACTCCTCGGTTCAAGCAATCGGACAGCCTCGGCCTCACAAAGTGCTGGGATTACAGGCATGAGCCACTGCGCCTGGCCAAGTCTCCCCCTTTAAAATCCCTTCCTTCAGTCTAACACTTGAAATGGTCTTTTGGAGGCACAAGCCTGGCCATTTCCCAATTGCTAGCATTTGAATAAAGTTGCTTTCCTTTTACTCGCTTCTCATATTTTGGCTCTCAAGTCATGAGCAGCCAGACTTGCATTCAGTCACAACGTGGCTGCCCTGCATCTCATTCTGCCCTGGGGTTGCTCTTGCTCAACTTCCTTGGACATTGTTAGAAATGTATTTTGACTGTCACATATGCAAGTATGCAAGTGCAAGGGAGTTGGCATCTCATGGGGCAATGTAACCACTGCAGGACATGAACTAGTTGATAAATATTCGTCTCTTCTGACTCTTGAGCAGATGATTCTGAAAGGGTGATGAACTCATCCTGGCTTTCCACGGATCTGAGTTTTCTCTGAGTTAGCACTGGAAATCCCATGTTGCTGTTGGTTACCTTAATTCTGAAATGCATTATGCAGGACTCCTTAGGGGGTCCCAGTGAGATCAAGTTCCAGTTTCCCACAGCTTAATAACACAGATTGTTTTGCCTTTTCCTGCATTTCTGGGATTACTTCCCAATATATACTGCCTTCACACAAGCTTGTGTCTTCGGCTCTGTTTTCTATGGGGAATCTAGCTGGTCTTTGAATTGGGCAATGCTTAGCTTATCTGTGCAGTGATGAGTGTTTCCAACTTTAGGAAACTTAAAAAGACAGAGGCAAGTGAAATAAGTCAGGGCCCCAAACAGCCAAATTATCACTTTCCTGACGTTGTTACAAAATTAGTCTGGAAGGTATGGCACTGTTCAAAGACAGTGTAATGAAATATTTATTATAAGGTTTAATTGCTTGAACAGCCAGATATAGAAAGGACTGCAGACAGATAGTCAGGAGACTTAACTTCTGGTCCCACTTTTAGTATTTAAAATCCTATGTGACCTTTGACACGCTTCTCCTTGGGCCTCAGTTTCTTCATCTCCAAATTCTTGGCTGCTACTCTGCTAAGATCAAGTGTACAAAATTAGGAGGTTAGGCTAGATTTTGCTTTTACCAGTTGTTCTATTGCAGCAGGTGCAGTTATACATGATGGGCAAAGGCTTGTGGGGTGTCAGGGGCCTTGTCCCTTCCTAGCGCCACTAGGGTTAATAGGCCTGGTGGCCTGTTTCATGTCCATTTCACTAGTTGAGCACATATTGAAGAAAGATTTTATATATGGGTCATAGTGGACCATGAAGAACTCCCAACTTATTTCCCTGACAACATTCTTTTTTTTCCTTTGAGACAGCCTTGCTTTGTTGCCCAGGCTGTAGTGCAGTGGCATGATTTCGGCTCACTGCAACCTCCGCCTCCCTGGTTCAAACAGTTCTCCTGCTTCAGCCTCCCAAGTAGCTGGGACTACAGGCATGTGCCACCATGCCTGGCTATTTTTTTTTTTGTATTTTAGTAGAGATGGGGTTTCACCATGTTGACCAGGCTGGTCTCGAACTCCTGACCTCAAGCGATCCACCCACCTCCGCCTCCCAGAGTGCTGAGATTACAGGCATGAACCACTGCACCCAGACCCCTGACAAGATTCTCGAGATTTAACAATCTCAAATCTTCTTTCCGCAGTGCCAACTAGACAAGATATCAGGGCCAAAAATATTTGGCTCTGAGATGTAAGAAAGGTCTTTCTAATTACTGTAGAACTTGAGGTCATGATCATCACAGCCAGTGGTGTGCTGCTCCTACCTGCTTGTAAAAGCCAGTTGCTAAATATTCAGGAATGTTTCAAGCCAAACAACCACTGGTAGCTTGAAATCAGTCATGGGGAGAGTATTGACACCACAGAAGTTGACAGATGCTACAAATCCATGTTCTCTCCACATCCACCCCTCCCTGAGCCAGTTTACCAGCAATTCCCCGCATCCAGCTCTTAACACTGGAAGTTTTTATCCAGGACTATGGCTAAATTAAATATGTGTGTCTTAAAAAGAATTTTTTTCCCTGCTTTTTGGTTTGTGGATACAAAGAGCTGAATCATTAAAACTTGTTTTTCTCTCCACCTCAACAGTGGCTTTCTTTATAGATTCTATGAATCTGAAAGATACAAGTTCCACCAGAGGTCTTGGTAGGGTTCCACAGCCCCAAGCTCTGCAGGTTCTGACAAAGGATAGGCTGGGCCCTGCCAGGAAAACTCACAGAACCACATCAAGGTGTTTGTGCTGCTGCTTTAAGAGTTTGTCCTCAAGACAAATAAGAGTTTGCCTATTTGGGGGCTTTGGAAATTTTTTTTTAGGATTTTGGAAGCCTGTTCTGTTACTTGCTAGTTGTGTTACTGGACAAGTTAGTTAACCTTGCTGATCCTGGGAAGTAATCTCAGGAAAGCAGGGAAAGGCAAAACAGCGTGTGTTATTAAGCTGTGGGAAACTGGGACTTGATGCCCCTGGGACTCTCTAAGCAGTCCTGCAAATTGCATTTCGGAATTAGGATAACCAACAGCAACACGGGATTTCCATGCTAAACCAGGGAAAACTCAGGTCCCTGGAAAGCCAGGATGAGTTCGTCACCCATTCAGAATCATCTGCCTAAGAGTCAGAAGAGGGGAACATTTATCCACTAGTTCATGCCCTGTAGTGGTTAAGTTGCCCCATGAGATGCCAACTCCCTTGCACTTGCATACTTGTATATGTTCAAGTATGGTGCACATGCTTGAGACAGGATCTCGCTCTGTTGCCCAGGCTGGAGTGCTCTGGCTTATCACGGCTCACTGCAGCCTCAACCACCCGGGCTCAAGTGATCCTTCCACCTCAGCCTCCTGAGTAGCTGGGACCACAGGCATGCATCACCATGCCTGGCTAACTTAAAAAATTTTTTTGTAGAGATGGAGTCTCACTATGTTGCCCAGCCTGGCCTCAAACTCCTGAACTCAAATGATTCTCCTACGTTGGCCTCCCAAAGTGCTGGGATTGCAGGAATAAGCCACTGTGCCCAGCCAACCTTGCTGAGCTTCACTTATATGTGGAATGGATGAGACCACTTCAGAGGGTTTATGGGTTTGTCATGAAGCTCAGGGAGCTTAAGGCTCAAGACACCTCACTTGTACAAGCTTCTCACAGGAGGGCTTTAGGTACACTGTATTTGTAATTTTCTAGTCTAAAGACCCCTGCCCTCTTCCCAAAATGTGTCATCTTCAGAGCTGCACAAACCTTGGATCTGATCCTGCTTGTGAGGATGAATCACGTGTAAAACACTTATTCTTGAGTCTGGCCCATTGTAAAAGCCTCAGAAATAGTCCTTGCTGTTGTCAGTGGAAGTACTTTCCCTCCATTATCACATATCCACATATTCTTTCTCCCACTGCCTAAATGTCAATGCCCATCCACGTCTGCTCAGAGTTTGCTTCTTTTCCTATAATGTCAGTTTCTTGCCAATCACTCCCCACTTGCCATTTTGCCAGTCTTATTCCATAAGGTGCATCTGCACTTCCTCACTGCGTCCTTTTTCATAATGGGAAAACAATGTCCAGCGATTATATTCTTCACAGAAGTGATGTGACAGCAAAGAGAGATCATAAATGAATCGCCTGAAGCTTGTTGGTGTGAGGGGGAAACCAAAGTCATATTAATACTTAACAAAACAAGCAACAGGACAGGAAAACAAAAGGTAATTAAGGCAAAGCTGTGATGTTTTGCCAGTTGTTAACATAAGAGGCCAATTGTCAGCTGACTGTGATGTAAAGACGCTTCCTTTAAGAGCATGTGTAATATGTATCTCAGAATCATCAAAGGGCTCTAAGTCACCCTAATAATGGGTCTGTACCACAAACAGAGAGAATGCAAACCACATTTTGTCTTAAAAGACACAGCAAATTGCACTGCAGCTGTAACAAGAATCTCAGAGTCATTTGCATTAACTGGGGATGAGTGAAGGGGCTAAGTGGAGTGTCTGTGTGCAACATGGCACTTCTTCCTTGACCTGTGAGAAAGGAACTTGACAGCCAGGCTCAGTGGCTCATGCCTGTAATCCCAGCACTCTGGGAGGCTGAGGCAGGTGGATCACGAGGTCAAGAGTTCAAGATCAGCCTGGCCAACACAGTGAAACCCCGTTTCTACTAAAAGTAAAAGAAAAAAAAATTAGCCGGGCATGGTGGCGGACGCCTGTAGTTCCAGCTACTTGGGAGGCTGAGGCAGGAGAATGGCATGAACCCGGGAGGCAGAGGTTGCAGCGAGCTGAGATCGTGCCACTGCACTCCAGCCTGGGAGACACAGCGAAACTCTGTCTCAAAAAACAAAAAAGGAAAGAAAAGAAAGGAACTTGACTTATATACACTTAGGTGCAGCCATCATTGAGGGCTTGTTGTGCAAGGTGCTATGGATGGTGATGAGTAAAACCAGGTGTCCTTTCTATTATGCTGTGCTGGAAGCTTCTTTGGCAAGTGAAGGGAGTGTGGCCTTTGGGATCAGATGAATCTGGTGGAATCCTGGCTCTGTGCTCAGCATATGATTTAGACATTTATGTAACCTTCTTGAGCCTCAAGTTTCCTCATCTGTAAAATGGTAACAATACTACCCATCTTACAGAATCACAGAGAGGATTAAATGGGAAAAAAAAGACAAAGTGTCTGAAATATAGCAAGTTCTTAATAAATATTAACTTTCTTACCCCCTTCTGGAGGCATAGAATCTTAGTGCAATCTTGGTACTCTCAGAAACTGTTTATGTAGCTCATCTGAATCTTATTTTTTTAGTAGTTGAAACATTTTGTCTTAATACAGAAGCAATACATATTTGTAGCACAAGAATTAGAATATTTATTTATATATATATTTATTTATTTTTGAGACCAAGTCTCACTCTGTTGCACAGGCTGGAGTTCAGTGGTGCAATCTCAGCTCACTGCAACCTCCACCTCCTGGGTTCAAGGGATTCTCCTGCCTCAGCCTCCTGAATAGCTGAGATTACAGGCGTGCACCACCATGCCCGGCTAATTTTGTATATTTTTAATAGAGCCAGGGTTTCACCATGTTGGCCAGGCTGGTCTTGAACTCCTGACCTCAAGTGATCCACCCGCCTCAGCCTCCCAAAGTGCTGGGATTACAGGGGTGAGCCACCGCGCCCGGCAAGAATTAGAATATTTAGATAAGAAAAAAATTCAAAATTACAAATAATTCTAATACGTTAACACCCTTGGGTGTATCCTTCCAGGACACTTTTATGCCTGTTAATACATACGTATTATTAAAAATATAATTATACAATACATATTATTTTATAACCTGCTTTGTTTTCATACGTTACGTCATTATGGGAAATCTTTGAAAAAATCTCTCCCATGAAAAGGCCAGCTAACAATTATGGGAAGTATGGGAAGTGGTTTCGATTAACATACTGTGACAACTATCTATTATTAAGAAAGTCACGACAAAATTTTGGTGCCCCTTTCCCAGATGAAGGCCACATAGCTGCTATAAGGGACAAGGACCAGTAATATCTTCAAATCCTCTTTTTGAAGTGCCTTCATTTAAAAATCATGCATTTTCTTTTAAGAGTTTTATAAAATCTAGGAGGAAACTTATCCCTTTGTGTTTAGAACAAGGCAAAAGAAATTTCTGATTGGATATTGTTATGGGCCCATGACTTCTGTTGCAGAGAAGGTAATAGAAAAAGGTAAAATACTTCTACGCTCTATAATTCACCTTGCTGGAAAAAAAACAACTGGATTGGCTTGACAGGGGCTTAGACGGGTGACCAGGTTACTGTTTGGTTGGTTGAGAGACGGAAGCAGTACAGAATGACAAAAGTGTGTGGTGGGCCACCGGCCACTGGTTCATCATAGCAGGACCTCAAACCAATGTCTAGTCCATGAATGTTTATATATGGGTTGGTATATGAAGGTGGATATTTGCAAACAAATGCTTAGTTTTAGTGTCAGGATTTTCTTCCTAATTAATGAAAAGAGACTGTATGTTTTCAAGTTCTGTAGGCCTAACTAGAAAGGAAAGAGTTCAGGATTTCAGATTGTGCTACTTTCACAAGATGTAGGTATATCTTTACCAAAACACACATGGCTATGCACATGTTCAAGTATCTTGTTATAAGAAGGGTGTGGTGTAAGTGGAAAAATTGCTTCTGTTATTCTTGTGAGGCAGTGTAACTTAGTGGTTAGAAGCACTGATTGAAGAGCAAGACTACCTAGTCTTGAATTCAGCTTCACCAACTGTTAGCTGGGCAATCTTGGGCAAGTTAGTTACTCTTTCTGAGTCTCTATTTTTCTTGACCTGTAAGAAAGGAAATTGATGGCCAGGAGTGGTGGCTCATGCCTGTAATCCCAGCACTTTGGGAGGTTTAGGCAGGCGGATCACAAGTTCAAGATCAGCCTGGCCAACACAGTGAAACCCCATCTCTACTGAAAGTAAAAGTAAAAAACAAAAAAAAACAAAAAAAGAAAAAACAAATTAGCTGGGCATGATGGTGGGTGCTGGGAGGCTGAGGCAGGAGAATGGCGTGAACCCGGGAGGCAGAGGTTGCAGTGAGCCGAGATCGTGCCACTGTCTTCTAGCTTTGAGACAGCGAAACTCTGTCTCAAAAAAAAAAAAAAAGAAAAAGAAAAGAAAGGAACATGACTTATGTATATTTAGGTGCAGCCATGATTGAGGGCTTGTTGTGCAAGCTGCTATGGATGGTCATGAGTAAAACTAGGTCTCCTTACTATTATGCTGTGCTGGAAGCTTCCTTATGGGTATAATAATAGTTGCTCCTATTAATGAGTATATCCACCTCATAGGGTTGTTGAAGGATTTGAAAAATATTTTAGAAAGTAACAACTTTCAGCATTTAGAACAGTGCCTAGTATATAATAGGAAGTATGTGTTAGCTATTGCCATTTTATTAGAGTTTTAACAGGTCAGTCCAACAGAACTGGCAATTTCCTGAGTGATACTTTTTTTTTTTCCTGGGACAGAGTGTTGCTCTGTTGCCCAGGCTGGAGTGTAGTGGTGTGATCTTGGCTAACTGCAACTTCTTCCTCCTGGGTTCAAGCCATTCTCCTGCCTCAGCCTCCAGGGTAGCTGGAATTATGAGAACGCACCAACACGCCCAGCTAATTATTGTATTTTAGTAGAGACGGGGGTTTCACTGTGTTGTCCAGGCTGGTCTCCAACTCCTGACCTCAAGTGATCTGCCCACCTCAGCCTCCCACAGTGCTGGGATTACAGGCGTGAGCTACTTTTAATTCATTCATTACTCAAACAACACGGTATCCTGGATGTCTATATATGGTTAGGCACTATGCTAGGCTCTGGGCAACTGAAAAAAAAATGCCAATATTCTATATCTTTGAAAAGTAAAAACTGACTACTCGTGTCTTCTCAAGAAGCTTTGTGACTGAGGTTATGCAGGTCTTTTTATCTAGAGTAGGCTTCCTGGAAGGAGGACAAGACTAGCTCACCTGCAAAGAACTCAGTCACTTATCAGGAATGAATGAAGTGCAGAGCGTATTGGGATTCCCTAACACCAACTCTTCCTGAACATGCACCTTTGTCAAACCTGCCACTGTCAGAGCTGCCGACACAGGCAATGGATGGGGACATCAGGACAGGGCTTGGGGTGGGAGCCTGCAGTTCCTGGAATTTGCCCTGCTGACCTCACACTAGGTGATTTTATCCTACTTCCCAGAAACTTTCCCCCAGTTAGTCTAAAGTTGGGATGAAGCTACAAATTATTTGCTCTGAAAATTCTGAGTCTATTCTAGAGTTAATTTCCTGTACATGTTACATGGTTTGCATTATTAGAAGGGCCAAGGGGCCCCGGCAGTGCATTCCTTTTCATTTTCTGTAAAAGGGATCTGTGGGACTCTTTCATCTTCCATTAATGATGAGAATGTGGAAAGGGGAGGGTGGGGTAAGAGAACTAACAATTATTGAGCACTTACTCTGTGCCAGGTACTTTGTACATGTTCCTGGCACAGAGTCAGTGCTCAATAATTATCGGTTTTTGGGGGAACTGAAACGAAAATCTGAGAGGCCAGGGGCCATGTTTTTGTCAATACGTCTATTTTGGCAATGAGCACATTACCATGTATATTGTCAGTGGTCCATGTTGTTGAATGATATGATTATACACATGTTATGTGTGCATATCCACCACCTATCTATGTATCATCACTTGTCTATCACTTATTGAATCTTAGCTAAAGCTCATGCTATTTAAAATTACAATTGCCTTGGTCTCAGTTGAATACCATCCCATAATTTCTATGTGAAACAATTGATTTTGTGATTTCTATTTCATAATTGCAGAATTAACTAATTTATTATTCAAGTCCTTTGAACTTAAAGATGTTTTCAGTAGTGTGGATTGAATATATCTATGGGTTTGATGAAATTAACTTTTTTTTTTTTTATGAGACGGAGTTTCACTCTTGTTTCCCAGGCTGGAGTGCAGTGGCGCAATCTTGGCTCACTGCAACCTCTGCCTCCTGGGTTCGAGCAATTCTCCTGCCTCAGCCTCCTAAGTAGCTGGGATTACAGGCGCCCGCCACCATGCTCGGCTAATTTTTTGTATTTTTAGTAGAGACGGGATTTCATCATGTTGGCCAGGCTGGTCTCGAAGTCCCGACCTCAGGTGATCCCCCTACCTCGGCCTCCCAAAGTGCAGGGATTACAGGCATAAGCCACTGTGCTCGGCCGAAAGTAACTTTTAATTGTGATAATTACATTGCCCTTATTTCCATTACGCATGAAACAGAACTCCTCTGTCTTCTTATGGTAAAATTTTGGCACTGAAGACCAGTTGAAGATGAAGGATGCATCTTGGTAAGTTGAAAGAGGAGAGAGAGTGGGGCCAGGGAAGCCACAGTGGGCAACAGATTGGCATCCCAGCTTTCACCCCTCTCTATCATTCTTAGGTATTTCAGGTCAGAATTAAGAGGAACTAATTGGAGATATCATCTTCTTGGAATTGTTTGTGCCTCATAACACTTTAAAAATGCATTGACGCAGTGATTTCTGAAGTTCAGTCATTTGTGTATTGCCTTCACGAATTTTGCTATACCTTTGAATCACCTGTACTCATACTGACTTGAGTTTTTAATCATCTCACTTTCTTAAAATTAAATACTTTTCTTTTTTGGGAAGAGGATCTCATATTATTACTTTTTAAAAAATCTCTTTTTCCACACGTTCTAGTTATATCATTACTATAAAATTGAAGACAGGCTTCACTTGTTAAAAACTGAATGTAACTATAAAATTCAATCCAAGAAAAACAAAGAAAATGTTAGACAAAATTTTAGCTAAGCCTTATTTTTCTTGGACTTGAAGCCTAAGTTTTGCTCCCTGTCAGAGGGTTGCTAAAAGACCAGCAGCAAACTGAGAGTTTACCTTGGAGGTAATCAGAAAGAAAAAATAATTTTAAGGGGAATAACTTTCTCCCCCATATAATTCGGTGTATTTTAATGCCTGGTTGAGCCACTGTAATACTATGGAAGATTATGTCATCTTCCGTAATACACATTATCTCACACATGGCAAAACACTTCATGAGAAGAGAAACTGACATCTCATGATTTTGACCTTCACCACATATACAAGTTTTTTTGTTAGAAATATCACTCACGAAAAATGGATGAAGTAGTCTTCCATGCAGAAGTTTGGACATTTCAATTTAATGTCTCTGGTAAAGATTTTCCAGTTAAAAGCACATTGACCACAATGTTTCGTCTTCTCTTTAACACTGAAAAGGGGAGGAACGGCCTTATTAGCAGTCAATACTATCAAAGTCAATGGAGGCAAGGGACCAATGGCCCATCATAGTCCTAATATCACTTACTGTTTTCGAAGGAGGACATCTTTCATAGTGGTATCTACCATCTCTTGGGGAGAAGAGCAGGAATGGATAGATTAACCTCTTCCAGACATCTGCTCACAGTCCCGATGCGGTTTCTGACTTAGAGGGTTTTTCTTAGAGATCTTCTCTGCTGTCCTCTGCAGCTGTCAGGGCATTCTCCAGATGGGGCCTGGTAGGAGTCCTTGAATTGACTCAGGTCCCACATCTCCCTGCAGTTCATTTATGCTTCAGGTCAAGGGTCACAAATATTCACTTGATAAGGGATGACAGATTAGTCACAGCTAGCTGCTGAAAGTGGAGTTGCATGAAGTGCACATTTAGCTTGCATGAGGGAGAGCACAAATTGGAAACTTATCAAAATTGCCTTGGTGGGTCTCTTTCAAGGCTTCTTTGGAGGCTGCTCTCAGATCTATTACCTCTGGAAATTCTTGAGGACTTTTAAAAATACAATGACATCTCATCTCTTCTTAAATTCTGTCTAGTGGACAATTTGTGAGGGGTGTATGTGGGAATCTGCAATTGAATTCTTCCTCAGGTACGGTGAGTTGGGCCTCATTCCAGCTCCACCGCCATCATCATCAGAATCCTAGTGGGAATTTCCCTTCCTCAGAAGACTGAAACTCCACCTGTGCTGGTAATGCCAGGCCCCCTACATAGCTCCAGTCTATTACCTCAAGGGAACACAAAGGCACACTCTTACAATATATATTTACACCTGAGCTTGTAAATATGACAGCTAAGAATCAGAAATGTTGTTTTACTTAAATGGGCTTGTCAGTAGATTGGGAGTATATTGTATTCCAAGGAAATGCTTTTTAGATGTAATTTTAGGTACAAACTCTGGATTTTCCTTCACGTACAAAAATTAAAACTTTGATTACACACTAGCAGAAATGACAGCAGTAAGAGTTTTTTTATTTTAATTGTATTTATTAAACAATTAGGAAACACTGTATACTTTCTAATTGTTCTAAGTTGCTTTATAATTCTTAATTCATTTCAACTCTATTACAACCTTATGATCACCTACTATGTGACTGTAAAGCACTGTACTTTATTACATTAGCTCTAATTCTTACAATCATCCTTGAAGGTAGTTAGTACTCCCATTGTTATGAATGACCACTCTTCAGAAGCAGGAGGGACCCTCATCCAAATTTGATTTGGATGTCAAAACTGATGATGCCACACATCCACCTCACATAGGTATGAAAACTATTATTCACATAATGAGGCTTTCTGGGGATAGCAGTGTGGTTTCCAAGCAGATAAAAAAAAATGGCTTGAGAGAGAGCACAGAAAGGAGACTGGCTTAGGGTTTGTTTTGTTGGTGGTTGAGGTGGGGCCAGGGTGAGGGTTCCCACACATGGTTTGAAGTTGCCATGCAGCTTCCTAGTAGCAAAGGAGGGAATATCCTGGTTTTCTTATCAGTTCTCCTGGATATGGGCAGATGAGGAAGAGGGAGGGGTAAGGCTTAAAAGCTGGCAGTAGTCAAAAGTCAAAAAATGGAGTCAGATTCCTTATTATACCCATTTTACCAATGAAGAAACTGCGATTCTAGGATATCATGCATTGTGTCAGGCATGACTTTAGTGCAGTAATTCTCTGTGAAACTTAGCCCCACACTGCACTGTACTGTGGTCTTGGAGAAGTAGAAGCAATAGGAAATACACACACACACACACACACACACACACACACACACACACACACACACACAGTGATTTACTATAAGGAATTAGCTCACATGATTAAGGAGCCTGAGAAGTCCAAGATCTGCATTCAGCAAGACAGAGACCCAGGGGAGTTAATGGTATAAGTTCCAGTCAGAGTCTAAAGGCAGGAGAAAATTGATGATGTCTCAGCTTGAAGACAGTCAGGCAAAGAGAAATAATTCTTTCTTACTCAATCTTTTAATCTATTCGGGCCTTCAATGAATTGGATGAGGCCCACCCACATTGGGGATGGCCATCTGCTTTACTCAGTCTACCTATTCAAGTGTTAATCTCATCCAGAAACACCCTCACAGACACACTCAGCAGTAATATTCAGCCAAATATCTGGCTATTTCATGACCCATACAAGTTGATATATGCAGATAACCATCACAGTATCCACCTTGAAAATGCACATCCCTTATTATTGAAGGGGAGTGGGAGGCAGAGGAAATCCTAAACACCATTGCAAATCTATATATTCTAGAGAGACTATGAAAGCAATGTAGCTTGGCATGGTGGAAGGAGCATGGTCTTTGGGATCAGAAGATTTGGTTATAATTTGGCTTTGCCATTTATTGGCTGTGTTATCTTGAAAATTGCTTAGCCTTACTGAGTTTTAGTGATACAGAACATCTCCAGTGACATGCAAATTTATAAAACATCCCATTCTATTTTGGGGGTCTCCATTGGAAAGCTCTTTCTTAAATAATGGCATTTCCCTATATTAGGTTTGGGGTGCATACATAGTCTCTACTGGTATATCAAGGCAAGTTACCAGGAATTCCAATGTATAAGGACACAGCTGGCCATCTGGAACAAATATTGGAAGGGATTTTGGAGAACAGAGGTTAGATCCAGGGGCAATAAGGTCCAGACTCTTCACAAGAGATGAGATGAAGGCCATGCTCTGCCTATTTAGGAATCCACAGGACACTGAGAGTTACCCCAAGACAAGAGAAAGTTCAAATACCCAAGACATTGATTGACTACTGGCAATAGTTTTTGGCACAACCCTGGGATTTGCTGCCCAAATGTTGTTTCAGTCTTGTCCCAGGAGAGCTCAGTTCTCAGGCTGGCTCCACAGCCTACCATGTTAGCAAGCCCAAAAGTGAATATGTCTTTTGTAATTTTTCCAGCAAAAATTCCAGGGCTGACTCTCATTGATCCAAATTTGGTCACAGGCCCATCCATGAATCAATTGCTGTGACCAATTTACTAGGCCTGAGTCACTGGTCTGTCCACCCCAGGTGTCTTGTGGTCAGCTCACCTGAACAGCACGGACTGAGACCCAAGAAAAACTGATGCACTGTTACTAAAAAAGTGAGGAAGTGAGGCTGAGTAGGCAAAACAGCAGATGTCCATTACAGGAAAGATCTCCAAAATGTAACCTCACTCATTTTTTCTGTATGTGTAACTCTGTGTGAACTTAGCGCCTGCCCCAAGGGTGGCATTTACTTAGACTGTGATGAAAATAGAGACCCTGGATTTGTGCAGTGCTCTGTCTTCCCCCCTCTCTTTCTGCTACCACGATTTCTCCAACTTCTGGTTGTATCAGGTTTCAGCTAAGGGAGGGAAGACATGACTTAACGCATAGGCTTCCATAGAGATTCCATACTGGGACTTCAAATAGGTCACACTACTGGTGAGTCCCAGCACACAGATCCTAGTGCCAAGATACTCATGCTGTTGATTCAGAACTTCCAGACATACATGTGCTTCCTCTGACAGGGAAGGCTGCTACTACCTATATCTTCTGAATTGGTTCATATTAATCATAGGTCATGTGTACCACTGGTAACAATAGTCATCGTTTAGTGAATGTTTACAAGTGAGAACACTGCCTATTCATAAGCTTGAAATTATCTGTGAATTTGGGAATGTGTGCCAGCCGTAAGCTGACCAGACATACTTACTGGTCATTAATCAACAGGGTTTTGTTTCCTTATCCCTATGTTTGACTGAGACAAATTCCTCTCCCTACATCACTCAAATGTGGATACAGAAGTCTTCTCCCCTTCCTATTTATAACCTCAAAAGGTTGCAATTTGGACTGGAGGTAAGGAGGAGATAAAGTACTTACAAACTACTTGTGGAATTCCCCCAGTCCCCTCCACCCCCTGCTTTTTCCCTGTGTCTTGACCAAAAATCACAGAGTACCTTGATCACACTATGACACAACCAGCAGCAGGCTTTTCCCAGCAGGCTTGACACCAGGGCTTTGAACATTCCCAGGCCCTCATACAGGTATCAAGGTTTACGAGGAAGAAACTGGTCCTAGCCTTAGCCCAAATCCTTAAACCTTTATATAAACTCCATGCCCTGACCTCCTCACAGCAGACATAACTAGATAGAACACCGTTGTCTCTTGCTGTTTGTTGCAAAGATTGCTACAGCCTTCTCTGTGCCTAAGTTTTTCTAATCAATGCTTTGGATGGATCAAAAAGAAAAAAAAGAATTTATAACTAAAAGGAAAATATTGTGTACTATATATTATATATAGCATATATAATATATAATCTGTATAAAATACATGTAACATATAATCCATTGTATGTTATATGTAATTTTTATGGAAATACAACAAATTATAAGTATAATAATTATGTATGTTACATATATATATATTTTTTCACGTTTTTAACTTGAGGTTTAAGTACCTGTGATCTTTTTTTTTTTTTTTTTTTTTTGAGACAGAATCTAGCTCTGTCATCCAGGCTGCAGGGCAGTGGCTTGATCTCGGCTCACTGCAAGCTCCACCCCCTGGGTTCACGCCATTCTCCTGCCTCAGCCTCCAGAATAGCTGGGACTCTAGGCGCCCGCCACCACGCCCGGCTAATTTTTTGTGTTTTTAGTAGAGATGGGGTTTCACCATGTTAGCCAGGATGGTCTCGATCTCCTGACCTTGTGATCCGCCTGCCTCGGCCTCCCATAGTGCTGGGATTACAGGCATGAGCCACCGCGCCCAGCCTATCTGTGATCTTAACCAATTTATCTTGCCTTTTCTGATGCATGACTAAGAACTTATGGGGAATTCAAATAGATCACTAATATAAAGACAATTTAAAGTGCTTGACTTGCCAGTGTTCTTATAGCAAAACTTTCATAAAGTTTATGACACTTCTTTGATTTCTAAGGTTTTAGGGGTACAGGCATATCTTATTATAGAGTATTTTTCCTCTTTCATTTAAAGATTTAATTTACTACGCATCATTTCCAAGCTCCTTGACCTTTTCTGGATCCCCACCACCACCTGCCCTAATGGATACTGACACCAGCTGTGAATATGTATAATATAAACTGGCCAAAACACATGGCCTGGGCAGGTTAATAACTTGCTGCCCCTTCAAACTGATATTATTTAAATTTGTATTTAACACTTGAACACTGTCATAGGCTGATCCTAAAATGAACCCCAATAATCCATGCCTCTTGGTAGTTATGCCCTGTGTAATCTCCTCCCCATGAGTGTGGGCTGACCTAGCAACTTGCTTTTAACTACTATAAAATAGCAACAGTGATGGGCTGTCATTTCTGTGATGGTGTTACATAAGAGTTTTACTTCTGTTTTATTAACAGACCCTCTCAATGCCTTCTCAGCTTGCATACTTTGATGAAACAAGCAGCTGGGTTAAGAGATGTCCATGTCGCAAGGAAATGAGGGCAGCCTCCATCAACAGCCAGCAAACAACTGAGGCTCTCAGTCTGACAGCCCATGAGTAACTGAATCCTGCCAACAAGCATGCAAGCTTGGAAGCAGATCCTTCCCCAGTCAAGCTTTTGAATGCAACCTCAGCCCCTGCTGACACTTAATGGTGCCTTGTGAGGGCCCTGTAGGCAGTGGAGCAAGCTAAGCTGTACCTGGATTCATGACCCACACAAACTGGGAGGCAACAAATGTGTGTTGTTTTACACCACAAAATTTGTGGTAATTTGTTACACAGTGACAGATTAATACAAGTACTGAGTGGGGAAGGTTGCATATACCATTCAGCCAAAGCTCTCTTGTTAACTGGAACCACCCTAATTACAAGATAATTTAATGAATGACTGTGTTACCTGAACACACCCTTCAGAGACCCCATCACTTGCATGAGTCAGAGCTCTATGGGCTTCAAGTGACAGAAATCCATTCTAATTAGCTTAAGTAAAAAAGGGATTTGTTGATTTACATACCTGAGAGGCCAAGGGTGTACCAAGCACCCTCAATTTCAGATCTACTAAAAAGGACTCTGACTGGCCCTTTTTAGATACATGCCAATCATTAAAGATTTAATGTATCTATAATAAGATACTATATAATAAGATATTAGGACCAATCATTGTGTCTAGTTGGATAGAGTTCTCTGAGTGGTTGGCTTGGGTTTCATGCCTACCCTTGCGGTGGAGAAGGGGAGAAGAACATTACATTTGAAAGCCTTATCATGTAATATACAGATAGTTACCCAAAGAAATTTTTTTTTTTTTTTGCTCTAAAAAGGCGAGAATGTACACAGGGCAGGCAGGCAAAACAACAGCTGTCTACTATACTGCCTACTACCCAGCTGGGAGGCAAAGTGACTCCATCTTGGATGCTAACCTGCCATGTTGACTTCTGATTAGCCACAATCCTGTGAATATCTCCTGATTCCTACTTTATTTACTGTTTGTGTATAAGAACATGTCAACCTTGATGTTATCACACACATTTTTGCCTGTTTGGGAGGGTCGCCTTTAATTGTCTTGCTGGAGCATGTATACCATTTTCCTGTCATATTCATATATAAGCCTTGGGTCAGCAGAGTAACAGTGCAAAGATTTACCTGTCTTGTGGCTGCCTAAGACCACACTTCTATCTGTAAGTTCCCCCAATAAAACACTCTTTGCCAACAAACTGGATTTGTCTGTCTTGTTCTTTGGTTTCTCAGCTCCTTTGGCACTTGAGGGCCAATTTGTATATATGGCCCTTTCACAGAACATCAGCATCTCATGAAAATATTGCTTCCCATCACATACAAACTTCTCTTCCAAAGACATTCTGGTAAATGTGGAATATTGGGTCTCTTTAGAATTCCAGTGATTTTAGACATTTTTTATTGAATTATATAATATTCACATATCCTAAGAGTACAAATAGATGAATTTTCACGAACTGAGTTCATCTTAAACCACCATCCAGATGAAGGCACATTACCGTTATGGGATCTTTGGGATGTCGCTTTTCTGGCTGGAAACCTCTGTGGCCGTTGGTGCCTTTGCCTGAGTTCTTGTCCTGCATCCAGGAAGAATGAAGTATGCAGACAAGTGGAGGGTGAACAAGATAAAGAGGAGCTTTATTGAGTGTGAGAATAGCTCAGAGGAGACCTGCAGTGGGTAGCACCTCTCTGTAGGCAGGCTGTCCCACCGAGTAATCGGCTCTCAGCAGAAAGGAGGCCCTGGAGAGGGTGGCCTCTCTCTGCCAGCTGGTCATCCTGTCACCTCTGCAGCTCTTAGCAGAGAGGGTAGCTCCTCGGTGCATCTGGTCACCTCATATCCCGCTATCAGCAGAGACAGTAGCTCATCTCTACAGAATGGTCATGCCATCATCTCTCTATTCTCTGCCCTGCTCTGGCTGAGCCTGGGGTTTTTATGGACCTCAGAGGGGAGGAAGTGCACAGCAACTGGTCCATGGGCAACCATGGATGGGCCAGAAAAGGCACCACAGGTCCCCACTCTGGTACGTGGGTCTGGAAGCCCTGCCCTCAGCCTTTGGGACCTCCCTGGTCTGAAGGTGGAGCCTTATGGAGGACCCATCTCCTTCTGCCCAGGAATCTGTCTGCCTCCTGCTGTTGTTCATGGCTGCCTAGACTCAGCCCCAACGTTGTTCCAAGATTGGAGCCAGCACCAACAGCAGGGAAAAACTAGGCAGCAGGACAGGTTCTTTGGAGCCTGCAAGGGCAGGGGGCCTTCCTAGGCCCACAATAGTGCAGGGATGCCTGAGGCTGCAGCCTGGCCCAGGAGGGTGGGGCTCCCACCTGCTCCGTGGAGTTGGAGGCTTGGGTCTGCAGCGGTGGTTTGGGTGGCTGCAGCGGTACTCCAGGAGCTCCTGCCCTAATTTGCAAGGGGTGGGGCTCTTGCTTGTCCCCGGCTCCTGCCGACTCCATGGAACATGCAGCCCCAGGCTGCCTGCCATCTGCAGCCAGTGTGATGACAGCAGTAAGCCATCTGGAGTGGCCACTGCCATCATTACTGACACCACAGAAGCCCTGCTTTATGCTTCTTTTCTGTTCTTATCCACATCCCTCTCCCCCATTCCAGGACAACCACTGTCCTGACTTCTACCAACATTGATTAGTGTTTCCTACTTTTATATTTTATGTGAAGGGAACAATACCACATTCTCTGTTTTGTATTTGGCTTTTTTGCTTAACATTATGTTTCTAAGTTTCATCCATATTGTTGTAGTTCTAGATTTGTTCACATTTCTGCATAGAATTCCATCGTGTGAATATATGACAATTTATTTATCCATTCTACCGTCTATGGGCACTTGGGAAATTTCCACTTGGGGACTATTATTTAAAGTGCTGCTACAAACATGTTAGTGCTTGTCTTTCTGTGAACACATGTATGCATTGGCATACACATATGAGAATTTCTGGGTCTTAGGGATGGCATATGTTCAGCTTTAGTAGATGCTGCCAAACTGTTTTCCCAAGAGGTTGTATTAACTTACAATGCTACCGATAGCATATGTGGATTCTGGTTGCTGCACATCTTTGTCAAGACGTGGCATTTTACATCTTTTTTATTTTAACCATTCTGGTGGGTAAGTACTAATATCATCCCATTATGGTTTTAATTTGCAATTCCCTGATGACTGATGAAGAGGAACACTTTTTAATAAACATTTTAGCTATTTGAATATCCTCTTGTTTTTTTGTAAATCTTTTGGTAATTGTTCTGTTGAGTGTCTTTTTTCTTATCGATTTGTAGAAATTCTTTATAAATTCTGGTTAGGAGTGACTCATCTAATATAATTATTGCAAATATTGTCTGCAACTTTATGGTCGCTTTTTCATCTTGATGGCTTTTGATGAACAGAGTTCTCAATTTTAACATAATCTATACTTTTTTCTACCTTTTATATTTAGTGTTTTATTGCGTCCTGTCTAAGAAAATGTGGCCACCTCCGAATTTAATTCCAGTGATGTCTTATCATATCTAAGTGATATTTTAAGGACCACACGTTCAGGCGACATCAATCATAGACAGTAAGACAGGTTGATAGTTCAGTTACCTTTGAAAGAGGCTTAATTTTTAAATTTCCATATAGAACCCAATAGCCAACAAATATGTCTTGGGATGTCACATTTCAGTAAAATATTGCTTCCACCTTCCTTATTTTTTTGAGTCACAGCTTAACCGTCAAGTTTAGAGGAAAACTCAAAATGTTCTTTACTCAACTTTTCCTTTTCTTTCAGAGACAGCTTGGCCTAAAGAAAAAAGCACCCATTTAGTACAATGGGCTTGTGTCTGATGCTATTTAATAGCAAATCACTTTCTGTCTCCTAACCATAGTAACCACGTCTGCAAAAGTTGAAGAATAATTCCTGCTATGTCAATATTGCAGTGTTGTTATGAAAATAACAACAATAACAATAGGATGAAAAAGTGCCTGCAATGCAGTGATACTTTATGAAGTAGCGCACTGCCAAGAATGTTGGTGAATAAGAGTGACTGTAACACAGAGTCTGAGGCTTATAGCCTATCGTGGTGACAGGAAGGTACCATAACCAAAATTTTCAAGGAGAAAGTTAATCTACCAGAGATTAACTCTTTTGATTATCTCTGGAGAAGTGTTCCTTCTTGTACCATTCTTCCAAAGCACAGCCAAAGGCTTTATAAGTTTATATGCAAATAATAAAATCACACAACCAAATCTGTAAAAGATTCAGCAGGTGAATGTCAATCTTTAATATGATACTAACATTTATACTGTACACAAACCTATGGCTCTGTTTTGTTAGTTCCTGCTCAGAATCTGACTACCTTTTTCACTGAATATTTTGGAAAGCTAACTACTCTTTCAAATCCTGCCTTTTGACCAGGTACAGTGGCTCATGCCTGTTATCTCACCTACTCTGGAGGCTGAGGTGGGAGGATCACTTGAGCCCAGGAGACTGCAGTGAGCTAGGATTGCACTACTGCCCTCCAGCCTGGGCAACAGAGTGAGAGTCTGTCTCAAAATAAAAATAAAAATAATAAAATTCTGCCACTGATTAAACCCATTTTCAAAAATTCTTTAAGCATTTCTGTGAGAGACAGTTTACAAGACCCATGAGAAAACCTGTTTACTTTATAGTGTTATTTTTAACCAAAAGTGGCATTATCCTTCTTGACATCAGACTTCACTTTGAAAGACTTTAGACTGTGTCTAAAATCACAGCCACCATCCAAGCAAGGTTGGCATCAGTCAAGTTGTTTACATACAAGTGCACAGACATAGGGTTTCTGGAGTTAAAAAAAAAACCAACCAACCAACCAAACCATCCCCCTCTTCCACCAAATTCCAGGACACCCAGTTAAATTTGAATTTCAGATAAACAGTGAATAATTTTTCATTATAATTTATGTCCCATGCTTATAACAAATTCAAATTAACTGGGCACTTGTATTTTGTCTGGCAGCCCGACCCAGGGCTGAAAATAATTCTAGAAGAAGAGTTTCTGAAACTGCTTTGTTAATGGCAGCATTATGAGACTAGAATATAGTCTCTCAAGGCAACAGCCCTCATTTACACATCTAAATTATGAGATCCTTTTTTAAGAAAGGGGATCACCTGATCTTTCTGTAAGACTTCATTACATTGTAGTCAAGAAAAGGACACATTAGCAGGTAGCAAGCAAAAAAGTATGTGAATTTCATTAGTGTTCATTGTTTGTTACACCTTGACCAGGCTCTTAAATTAGCAAATAAGCAGTTCCTTATAACCTTTCCAAAATCTACCTATGTTTATTTAAGTTGAGTCAGATCAACTGGTTTTACTCAAATATTGTAAGGAATAATGAATAAAACAAATAGAAAAGTTATGCTACCACAACAACAAACAAAAAGGGAAATTCCCCATTGAAGATTGGTCTGTGAGGACCACTTCCTGGTCTTAACTTTGCTTCCTCTGACTCCATTGGTAGAGAGGTACGCAAATTTCTAAGGGAGCACCCTAGTGCCTCATAACTCTTTGGTTTAACCATCATCTAGTAATAGCCACCTGTCATTAAAAAACCCAAGCAGTGAAACACTGCCAACACATGGAAGGCGTATAGAACTGAGAGGGCTGAGGCTGTCAGGCATGGGAACAGGTATTTTTGTATCCTTTCAAATATTTCAGTAGTGCTTATTATATAGTCAGTGTCTTCCTGACACAGTATGCCTTCTATTCTCAACATGAATTTCCTTAGAGTCACTTTTCTTTGTGCTTTTGATAGTTTCCAGTTTTATTTTTATTTATTTATTTATATATATATATTTATTTATTTTCTATTTATTTTATTATTATTATACTTTAAGTTTTAGGGTACATGTGCACAATGTGCAGGTTAGTTACATATGTATACATGTGCCATGCTGGTGTGCTGCACCCATTAACTCGTCATTTAGCATTAGGTATATCTCCTAATGTTATCCCTCCCCCTTCCCCCCACCCCACAACAGTCCCCAGAGTGTGCTGTTCCCCTTCCTGTTTTATTTTTAAAAGGGAGAACTCACCTTTCTGTAAAAGAACATCAATAGAAGAATTTTGCCAGAAAGAAAGAAAGGCAAGACAGAGTCTTTTCTAATTCTGTTAATGGAAATGTCTTTTTTAAAAAATACACAGGCTTTCTTTGATTAGTCAATTTTTTTCCCCAAGAGTTGTATCTCACTGAGTACAGTTTTTTTATTCAAGAGTTGTATCTCACAGTGAGAAAGAAAGAAAGAAAGAAAGAAAGAAGGAAAAAAACTTGAAATAAAGAAACTTGAAAGAAGGTTGAGAATTGTTACTTATTTGCAAATCTTGAGTTTTGGCCTGAGAGTGGAGAGTAATTGGAACATTGAAGATGAAAAAATTTCTAAGAGATTAAAAAAAAAAACAAGAAAAGAAAAAAGAAAAGAAAGAGAAACAACTATTAATTCTAAGAAAAGCACAAGGTTACATAAAAAAGCCAATTTCTTCTTAGCACATTGTGTGACTTAGCTGTGAATAATATTTATATAATCAAAAATAAAATATGTGTTGACCATTTCTCTAACAAAAAATTATGACATATCTCTCTTGGGGAATTATGGAACAGGAAGTGTGTGTATATGTGTGTGAAGGTAGGGAAAGGAGGGGGCTAGGTAAGAGAGCTAAATTTCCCTAGCAGGAAATTAACAGAAAATACCTAAGCTTTAAAACATCAGGAAATAGCTATCATACATAGCTACGTAGACATATAGTGGTCAATATTAAAAAGAAACAACTAAAATAATATAATGTACTTTTTTTTTTTTTTTTTTTTTTTTGCTGGTGAGTGGAAATCAGAGGTAGGGACACTATTGCTGTTTTGGTTAAAAGCCTTATAGCCTTATTTGGCTGTTTTGCTGATATACACGTATTAGCCTAATACAATTAAAATTTTAATAAAATCAGAGACCCTTCCAAGAAACTAATATTCAAAAAAACAAATATCAAAAGTAAAAAAATTAATAAAACAAGAGGAAACAATTGTCTGGGGCCAGGGTAGGGTACTACTCCTAGTTCCAAGCCAGTTTTTAAATAAATGGACTTTAGGAACATAACCTGTTCATAAGGATGGACTTTCCACATTTCAAACCCAGTAATGGTAGAATAACTGCCTTAGGAGATTCTAGATACAGCCTTTCTTTCCGCCAACTTGCCCCACTGTTCGACTGTTTCTCATCATGCTGGGGGTGAACAGCATCCTCTCGGATGCTTGTAAAGCAATGGCCTGAACAGAGCTAATGTTTTTAGGTCCATGTAACTCCATTTTCCTAGACATAAAGTTGAGAGTTAAGTTTTGAGGCCTAATGGTCCCTTTCCTAATCTGAGAATGAGTTGGAAAGCTCAGCTCTCCTTCCTTTCTCTGGGCTGCTCCTTTCCAGGTGAAGGGGTTTGTGATGTTGTAAGCGAGGAGATTTGTCAGATTAAGCACACAGGGTGCCATGGAAGGTAAATTAAATTGACGATAGATTCAGCTTAATAAGACTTTGCAAACTTTCCAAATTCTTCAGTCAAGCTTCAAATTTCCAGGGAAAAGTGAAAGCTCTTAATTTACTGGGTTTAGGTTGGTCTGCCCAAGTTTTCCACTTGAGTAGTAAAATCCCTCCAACTTCTAGAATTCGAAGAGCAGCCAGGGCTGAGCTGGGAGCATTTCTCCCATCTGTGATAGGCCAAGCTTCTCAGGAATCAATTATCCTTCTTTTGGCATCAAACTCCCATTAGCCAATGACAGTTCCAACATAACCACCTGGTCCAGGTGGCTACACTTAGGAGAAGAAAGTAGGGGGTAGGGGGAAAGACCCCCACAGTGCCTTTGAGCAGAGCTCTTGCAATGTGAAGAGATACTTCTTGCACCTTTAGAGGAAAGGAAATTCCGAACATTTGCTTTCTGCTGTTGTTCCTTCTTCTCATCTTAGGGGTTCTGAGCCCATTTGCTTCAGTATAAAGATAGTTCTATGCTAGTTCAGTCACAGAGAGGGCTGGACCAGACCCTTGCCAGAATCTCCAGAGACAAGTGCCCATGCCATACAGAGCCCAAGAGTTAAGAATACCCTTGCTACTCTGGTGCCACATTGGTATGACATCTCCCTTAGGCATTCCTTAGTCCTTGCAGTAGAAGAAGCCCACCTTATCTTAAACCTGACATGCAAAAACTGAGTGATAAAGTAAATTAAAGAATGAGTATCTGTTTTGAAGTATGATCTTTACAAAAGGGTTCACCAAAGACTGCTTAGATTATTAGATTGATCAAAAAATCAATTTATGATACATCTTTTTCAGATGCGTATTATATAAAACAAAAGTGCTAAGACTGGGTATAACTGCTAGCAACAACAATACAAGTAGCTAGAACCAAAAGCATGCACCACCATGCCCAGCTGATTTTTTAATTTTATTTTAGAGATGGGGTCTCACTATGTTGCCCAGGCTGGTCTCAAACTTCTGGACTCAAGTGATCCTCCTACCTCAAGCATCCCAAAGTGCTGGGATTACAGCTATTTTATATATATATATATATATATATATATATATATATATATATATATATATATACATATATACACACATATATATATACACATACACATATATATGTATATATATACATATATATATATACACACACATAATTTACTTTTCTCATGAGCCTTGTCTGCGTGATTAGAATATAAGATCCATGAAGTCAAGACTGGTGTGACACATTTCTTTTTATCTTAGTCCCTGATATAGTTTGGATGTTATCCCACCCAAATCTCATATTGAAATGTAATCCCCAATGTTGAAGGTGGGGCCTGTTGGGAGGTGATTGGATGAATGATGGGGGCCGATCTCTCAGGAATGATTTAGTACTTTCCCCTTTGTACTGTTCTCGTGATAGTGAGTAAGTGCTCACAAGATCTGGTTGTTTAAAAGTGAGTGGCATCTCTCTCCAACTCTCTTGGTCCTGATTTCCTCATGTGATATGCCTGCTTCCATTTTGCGTTCCGCCATGATTCTAACTTTCCTGAAGCCTTCCCAGAAGCTATGCTTCCTGTATTTGCCTTCTGCCATGATTGTAAGTTTCCTGAAGCTTTCCCAGAAGCTGATGCAGAAGCTATGCTTTCTGTACAGCCTGCAGAAGCATGAGCCCATTAAACCTCTTTTCTTCTTAATTACTCAGTCTCAATTATTTATATTAGCAATGCAAGAACAGACTAATACAGTCCTTAGCCCAGATCTTACACATAATAGGTATTCAATGTACACTGTGTGTTGTTGATATTCACAAATTACTTCCTCTCTTTCTACAAAATGTTGAATAATACCTCCATCAGAAAAACCTGGGTTAAAGTAAGGGTATTTTTGTCTATCTGCAAAAAGATAAACATATTCTAATTTTTCTATAATGATTGCGGGTAGAGATAATCTCTGCCCTCAACAACACTCTTCCCTCATAGAGGGAAATGAAACTACAAATGTATTTGAATATAATAATAGTGAAGGAAATAATGTATGCTGTGGTCCGTTTCCAAGACAAAGTGCCTTGAATCGGTTTAGGTCAGCAAACCACAGAAGAAATAGGATATACTAGGCCCCTGCTTGGATAGCCAATGCCTGCTTGTCACCACTTCCCCTTAGTTGCCCTCACCCAAACCAAAGAAGTTTAGTCTGAAATGAAAGCTTACTAGCCTGCAAAATAGCTCGTTTTTTCTGTTCTTATTAGCCTACCCAGCTACTTAGGTCATAAGTCAAATACTTGAGTCCCTAAGCTAACTAGGATTGCAATGTATTGTGGGCTGCAACAAAATGCAGCAGGACAACCCTAAAGAAAACACCTAAAGCCACTACCCAACAACCGATAGGCAATGTCCAGGAAGACTGTGACCCCATAGTACTCAGCCTGTGAGGAACCGGGGGAAGGGACCTGTGCATTAGGGAATAAATTGCTTTTTGTAACTGTGCTGGGTGTGCCTGCCCACCGGACAGCCAATCTTGCAAGACCATCACGAAAAATCTCACTTTTACTGTTCTCTGGGTCTCTGAGTCCATTCTTTGGGCTTGGATGGTGAGTTTGTTTCTCACAATAGCAACAAATGCAACAACAACAGAAGCTAATTTTTATTGGGCACTTACTATATGCCAGGATCTGCTTAAAGCACTTTACATGTGTTAGCTTATTCAATCCTAAAAATAATTCTTCTAATCACATGCCTCCACATTGTCTTAAGAAACTCATCCTGTGTTCAAAAGCTGGATAATTTTCCAATTTTACAGAATCAGGTTGACATACTCTACAATCCTAGTCAGCATGATAAAGTGACACTCATACATTCATTTGAAAGACTTTAGGGAAATAGTTACTACATTGGCACAGAGATGTGGTGCCTCAACTCTGTCATGAAATTAGGACTTGTATGTGTTACAAGAAGAGGTGTGGATGAACTAAAGAAATTGTTTCTATGAGTAGAGATTTTGAAACAGAGAGTCCACTGGATCCCAAGTCACTGCTGTGTGAACTCACTCACCACACGGGAATTCTCCAAGTACCATCCTGCCTGACTCATTAATCTTATGAAGCACAGAGTGATCACACATGCCCCTGAAATGACTGTATGTAAAGTAAATTCAGGCTGTAACACACAAAGTTTTCAAGGTTGGCCTCATAGCACTGTAGATTCCCCCAGCAGATGGGCAGAGGAAGGAAACTTACTCTGTCTGAGATTCTCTCGTATTTCCAGGGCAACAAATCATGCGTAATGAAAACAAAGCAAAGTCAGTACCAGCCCAGGGCCAGCCATCACCCCACCCAAACCAGAAGGGCAGGAGCCTAATTCATGAAATGTGCTGTGCTTCTTCCTCCGGCCAGCCAGGCTCGGGGTTTCCTGATGTGTTCCTGGAACCAGAGCTAATGGAATCAGGAAAGCATGTTACTTTGCCACTGCCAGTCATTGCAAGTACAACAAAATAAATATTGCTTTAAAGAAAACAATTATCATAAAGACAATTAGTAATGAAAACAGTTATGCCTTCCTTTGTTTTTGAGACAGGGTCTCACTCTGTCACCCAGGCTGGAGTACAGTGGCACAATCTCTGCTCACTGCAACCTCCGCCTCCCCATTCAAGCAATTTTCGTGTCTCAACCTCCCGAGTAGTTGGGACTACAGGTATGCATCACCACATCTGGCTAATTTTTGTATTTTTTGGTAGAGACGGGGTTTCAACCATGTTGGTCAGGGTGGTCTCGAACTGCTGATCTCAAGGGATCAGCCCACTTCAGCCTTTCAAAGTGCTGGGATTACCAGCGTGAGCCACCGTGCCCGACCCAGTTCCGCCTTTCTAAATTGGCCTCTTAATATTTTAGAACATTTCATTCCTCTGGCCTTGAGTGAAGAATAGAAACTACAGAGGGAAGGATTTGGAGTGGCTAATGTTGGCAGAAGTGAGAATCAGAATTATGGAACTGCAAAGTCCTATGACCTTCCATTTACTGAAGAGGAAACAGAAGCACAGCAAGAGTGCTCAAGAGACTTACCTAATGCCACTCCACACAGTAAGTACTGGAATCCGGGACTTGGACTGCCAATTCCATGTGCTTTCATTTGTGACATTACTTTTTTTTTTTTTAAAAAAAAAGAACAATGTAATGTTTCAATAAAATTTAAAATTTTGGTTAAAAATCACCTATAATCATAACCTTCTGATAACTATTATCATTCTTGTATGTTTCCTTCCAACATTATTTTCATACATTTAACATAATCATAGCCATTAACCATATGTGTTTCTGTTTTTTTTGTTTGTTTGTTTGTTTGTTTTTGAGACAGAGTCTCGCTCTGTTGCCCAGGCTGGAGTGCGGTGGCGTGATTTTGGCTTACTGCAACCTCGGACTCTCAGGTTCAACGGGTTCAAGCAATTCTCCTGTCTCAGCCTCCCGAGTAGTCGGGACTACAGGTGCCTACCACCATGCCTGGCTAATTTTTGTATTTTTAGCAGAGACGAGATTTCACCATATTGCTCAGACCGGTCTCAAACTCCTGACCAAAACGAAGTGTTTTTTTAACCTACAATTTAAGTAAATGTTTAATGTTTATTTATAATTTATTTATTAAATGTTTACATTCACCAGGCACTATTCTAAATAAAACAATGTTGCTGTCCTCACATAATGAAGATTCTGGAGGGGTCAACATAGAATACGTACATAACCAAGTAATGTACAACATTCCACCATGATGAAGATAATTTGTTCCTAAATAAAGGTCCTCGTGGGTGAATTCTCATAGGCTGAAAATGTACCTAACATTCATTTTGACAGAAAAGACACTCTTTTCTCTTAAGCCCCCAAATTAACACCTATTTATGTTAAAATAACATCAATCCCATTAAAACAGGTACAATTATCTCAAAGGTAAATGGTTATCATAGGACTGATGTCTGTGCTCATAAAGCATCAAAGCAACCATATGATTCTCTGCGTTTATGTAATTAAATGTTTAATGAAAAAACAAAAACAAAAACATGAGCTCTTTTTTGTGGCACCTTGGAGGCAATTAGCTGCTTCAGGATGAAGCTAAATATCTCCTCCCCAGCCACTGGCTGACAGACACTCATTGGATTGGACAACGAATGGCAATTTTGTACTTATGAGAAGCATATGGCACAGAGGTTGCTGCCGACGCTCTGGAAGAGTTATGTGGTCCGAGTCAGTGGTGGGACCAACGAACAAGGTTTCCTCATGAAGCAGTGTGTCCTGACCCATGGCTGGGTCTGCCTACTGCTACTGAGTAGGGGCATTCCTGTTATAGACCAAGGAGAACTGGAGAAAGAAAGTGCGAATCTGTTTGGGGTTTCATTGTGCATGCCAATCTGAGCATTCTCCAGTTGGTTATCTTAAAAAAAAAAAAAAAAAGGAGGGAAGGATACTCCTGGACTGACTGATACTATGGTGTCATGTTGCTGGGGGCCCAAAAGAGCTAACAGAAATGCAAACTTTTCAGTCTCTCTAAAGAAGACAATGCCCCCCACCCATATGTTGCCAGAAAGCCCTTAAACAAAGAGAGTAAGATACTGAGGACCAAAGCACCCAAGATTCAGCATCTTGTTACTCTACATGTCCTGCAATACAAACACTGGTATTGCTCAGAAGAAACAGCATACTAAGAAAAATAAGAAAGAGCCACAAAATATGTTAAACTTTTGGCCAAGAGAATGAAGGAGACTAAAGAAAAACTCCAGGAGCAGATTACCAGAGACACAGGTTGTCCCCTCTGTAAGCTTCTACTTCTGAGTCTAGTCAAAAATAAGATTTTTTGACTTACTTAACAAATGAGTAAGATCATACCACCCCCAGCAAAATAATCAATAAAGACTAAGGACATTGATGAAAATGATGGAGAAGATGATGACTTCCATGAGTACTTTAAAGGAGAAACTTAAAGCAACTTGTATAATTTTTAAGACTGCAGAGCTGACATGTGGTAACTTATGCTGAATCTGCTCAGTAGCTTCCCACAGCCCCCAAATCTGAATCACATTCCTTCAATGTGAAGAATGCCTCATAAGCTAAAGTTGAGGAACTAAATAAACTGATTAAGTCTCTGTCTTATGACACCTCCCACCCCCTATCACAGTTCTATCCAGGGCAGCATTGACTAGCGTAATAGCAGGGTGTGATATGTGGTAGGACAGATAGGATGGGGAGGACAGGGAATGATGTTAGGTGGAGATGGGGGAATGACAAGGAGTCTGGTGTGAGGGAGCCCACTGAGGGAGGGCTAGGTGGTAGAAGCTAATGCTGGCCAGGTAGCTAGGTGCTAGATTAGAGAGCACCTTGCTAGCCACACTGAAGACCTGAGTACTTTGGAAGCCAGTGGAAACTTCTGAGCAAGGAGTGACACAATCAGACTCACATGTGAGAAGGAGACTGTGGGTGAGGGAGATAAGTTAGGTGACTATTGTGGGGTTCAACTGAAAGAGGAGGTAAAAGCATGGGTCAGGGTTACAATGGTGCAGACAGAGAGAAATAGTTATAGTTTATCTGTAGTTTGAATATAAAACCAACCGGATTCCCTTTGAATTGAATATGATACATCAGGGAAAAAGAGGAATCAATCTTAGTGCATACTCTATGTCAGGCCTTGTTCCTATGTTTTACATATATTCATAACAATAAAAATAATATCAAATGCCTTTCTAATACCTTCCCTATGCCAGATTCTATATGCTTTAATCTACTTTCACCCACATCACCCTTACAGCAATCCCATAGGGTAGGCACTATTATCATTTCCATTTTCTGATGAGAAACTGAGGCACAGACAGGAAGGGCAATGCACACGGGAAATGCTGGAGCTGATTTTAGACCCCAGACGTTCTGGCTGCAGAGTTGAGATTCACAATCACTGCAAACACTGCATTCCATGGTCACAAGGTTTTGGTCCGAGCAGTTGAGTGGGTGATGTTGCTATCGACCAAGACAGGAATACCTGAGGCAGAGCAGGTTTGGGGGAGTGGATAGCGAAGGCCTGGGTTTTTGGCCATGCTAAGTTTGGGATGCCTGTTAGACCTCTAAGTGGAAATGTTGTGTGGCCATAGGGTGTGAAGAATCTGGAGTTTAGGAAAGGAGCCAGAACTGGAGATAGCTGAGCTATATGGAATGTTCAGCTCATAAACAGAAGTTAAAGCTGCGGGACAGGATGAAAGTACTGAGGAAGACTAAGTCCTGGTCACTCCAGCATTCACAGTCCAGAAATAGGAGGAGCTCCAGCAAAAGAGATTGGGAAGGAGTGACCTGTAAGGCTGGAGGAAACCAGGAGAGTGTGCTGGAAGGTAAAAAATTTCTAGGAGGGAATGATCCACTCTGTGAAATGCTGCTGAGAAGTCCAGCAAAGGGAGGATGCTGCCAGATGTCATGATGCTCAGTTTAATTGTTGCATACAACTTCTTCAAGTGGAAGATTTCTCTTTTTATCTACTCTTGCATTTTCAACCCCTTCACATATAGCTCACAAAGTAGAGGAAGAGAGCTCATCTAACTTCAACGTGAAGTTGTTAATTTGAATTCAGTTTAAATATTTATTGGGTGTCAGGTATGGTACTAGGCCACAGAGATTCAGGGGTAAGTGAATCACAGAGTTCTTGCTTTTTTTTTTTTTTTTTTTTTTAGACAAGGTCTCGCTCTGTCACCCAGGCTGGAATACAGTGGCAATCACGGTTCACGGCAACTTCTATCTCCTGGGGCTCAAGCAATCTTCCCACCTAAGCCTCCCAAGTAGCTGGGATTATAGGTACATGCCACCACATGGGTATTTATTTTATTTTTTGTAGAGATGGGGTCTTGCCATGTGGCCCAGGCTGGTCTCTAACTCCTGGCCTCAAGTGATTTTCCCACCTTGGCCTCCCAATGTGCTGGGATTATAGGCATGAGTCACTATGCTGGGAGGGTTCTTGCTCTAGACAATGGACTAAGCAATGAGAAGGAGGAGGGGAGGGAAAATAGGAGGAGGAGAATGATGAGGAGGGGTGCTGGGGAGGAGGGGAAAGGAGAGGAGAGGGAGAAGGAAAGGAAAGGGAGAAGGGAGGAGGAAGAAGTGGAGAAAGAAGAATACCATGATAATATTAATATTAACATTTGGAGGTTGCCTAATGAACTCAGCCAGAACACCCCATAGAAAAGCCCAATGGTTGACACACCTCCGCTTAACAGGCCATAAAGTACTAGGGGGAGAATAAAGGTTTTTTCACATATGCTCATTCTCAAAATAATGATCTCCTGTGCATGCTTTCTCAGGACGCTACTGGATGATATGCACGGCCAAGACAAGGGAGTATCCAAAGAAGAAACATGAGATTCAGGCAATAAAGAATCAGTAGGATACAGGCCAGAATAATTCCCACCATATTTTAAACTGAGATCCCAAGACAACCACTGTGCACCAGGTCTAGATAACAATCAGTCCACATTGATTGCCTGATTTTCAAAACATATTAAGTGGAGGTTTACGCTCTTGGGGAAGAGTTTGGGAAGGAGATTATGGGGGAAGGTTGCAGGGGGTGTTTCATTTTTGATTTTGTTTCTGAGTATGTAGACATTCCCTTAGTTCCCCAGTGTTCAATACAGAGGCCGCCTCACAGTTACATCAGTGTTCCCTGTCCGGAGTCTCCTGTTAAGTTCTGTGAGTAAGACTTCAGTCTTCTGCTAGGCTAGGGGAGGGACAGTTGCCCAGCTGCACAGGGTAGGCAAGGGGATAGGTGAAATGTCCCTTCATACAGATTTGCAACCAACTCTGTTTTTTAAGTCTCTATCCCAACATAGGCCCTGCTTCAAGAGCTATCACAACATCCAATTCCTGCTCCTTTTGGGGCTTCTGAGATACAAATAAGCCTGCTTCTAAGACCTTCTCATGCTGCTGTCTTGAATTTCAGCTTTCTCTGCTTTTCTAAGTGAGTCTCTTCTTATTCACCTGCTTTTTGGATCCCAGAATTATATGAGTGTTTTGTTTTTTGTCTCTTACTCTCTTTATCCTTATGACTAGAGTCATTTTTGTGAAGTTTGGAAGGGAACAAAAGGTAAAATATGTGCTCAATCTGCCACACTGTTTAAAAAGTGGTTTTCTTTTTAAATTACCAAATATATGCATACAGTTTAATATATATTATAAAGTGAATGATCATTAACCAACACTCAAATCAAGAAATAAACATTGCTAGCTTCCCTAAAGCCCCCCATATGTCCCCACCTGATTACAACTAGTTCTCTCCCTTTAGATGTGACACCATCCTACCTTTTATGATTACTGCTTCCTTCTTTTCCTTTACAGTTTTACCACCTATGTATCCATTGTGAAACAACTGAGTTTAGCTTTGCCTGCTTTTGAATTTTATGTAAATAGAGACATATGGTGCATATTCTTTTGTGTTTGGTTTCTTTTACTCAGCTCTGTAAAATTCAACCACATCATCATTACATATATCCACTTTGGTTATACACGGATACCACAGTCTATCCATGTTACTGTGGATGTACTTCTGAGTTGTTTCTAGTTTGGAGTAAATCTTAATGCTATGAATATTCTTGTACACACTATTTGTGCACATATACACACGTTTCATTTGGTATGCCACAAGAAGTGGAAATTCTGTGGCACAGTGCATAAACATCTTCATCCTTCTAGATATTATCCGTTGTTTTCCACAGTGCTTGTACCAGCAGTCTATGCAAGTTCCCAGTGCTCCACGTTTGTGCCAACATTGGTATTGTCTGACTTCAGTGGTGGCTGTACAACCTAACGTGTTCAGCTGGAAATACCTTGTTAAGTTTTCCATGTACCTTCTATCGCTTCATCACTGCACTTTTGGAAAGAGCTTCTAAAACTCCTTTCTTATAGAGGGCAGACCCATAAGGCAACCTACATGTTCCATTGCTTTTTCTTAGAGAAGATTTCAGGTAGAGCTTCTGACAACCTGCTCCAATTGGGACTAGCTGCTCACTAATTCTGCCTCAATCATCCGTTTCCTGAATCTCATGTCTTTTTTTTTTCTGCATTTTTCCCGTTTTCATAGAGCACATCTTCCAGAAGCTTCATGAGAAATGATGTGTAAGGAAATACTATTTTTGAGACCTTGCATATTTGAAAATATCTTTATTCTCCACTCATAGTAAATAGTTTGGGTAGAGAATTTTAGGTTGGAAATAATTTTTCATAAAAAACTTTGAAGGCATTTTTATTTTCCTCTAGCTTTCGATGTTGCTGTTGAGAAGTCTGATGCCATTCTGATTTCTGATCTTTGTATATGACCTATTTTTTTTTCCCTCTCTATGGAAGCTTTTAGGATTGTCTCTGTGTTTCTGACATTTCACAACAGAAGTGAATTGTTAAATTCACTACACACTTGGTGAGCAATTTCAGTATGAAGAATATGTTCTTAAGATTTTTGGAAATTTTCCTGAATTTTCCTTTGATAATTGCCTTCCCTCCACTCTTTCTCTAGAATTCCTAGAGTCATGTTTTCAACCTCCAGCATTAAACCTCTAATTTTCTTTTCTTTCCACTTTTATTTTTCATCTCTGGGTATTTTTGTTCCACTTTATAGAAGCTTTCCTTAATTTTATCTCCTAACCCTTCCACTAATTCTGCTCCTATATTTTTTAGTTTCCAAGAGCTCCTTCTTATTCTTTATATGTGACATTTTAATAGGAAACTCTTCACATTTAATGAAAGCAAAATTGTCCTCCTTTTTTAGAAAATGGTAACTAGTTTTAAAATGTTTTCTTTTGCCTCTGCATTTACTGTTTTCTCAATGTTTCTTTTACAGTTTATTTTGGACTCTGTCTCCTATGTGAAAGGTTTTTTCCAAGTGGCTAGTGATCCCTAACTGACCAGTTCATGTGAAGGGGAGAGGCACCATGAGCTAATCAGAAACTTATGCGGAGGGGGGACATACAGATTAGAGGGTCTCACTTTAGGATAACCAGGTGGGAGCCCTGTCTTTTTATAGCCTCTAAATGCCAGTTTTTGTTTTGTTTTGTTTTTTGTCTATTCTTTTGGGCTGCTTGGTTTTTCTAGAAAGGAATTCTCTCCAATCCTGCCTAAAATAGTGTAAGTCTGGTATTTAGCATTCTGGGAGCCTGGTAGGGGAAAGGGTGGATGGGTCAGGGATGGTGGAGTGTTGTCTCACTCTTCATTAGGCGAACTTCTCTGATTTTTATTTTCCAGTAAAATGCCTTGCTCTAGCCCTTAGCTGTGACTAGTGCCCTTAAGCCAGAGTTTTTTGGTTTTTGTTTAGTTTAACCTCTCCAGAAAGGGTATCTTTAGTTTTCTGTCAAGAAGAAGGGAGGAGCAGTTACCTGGCTGCCCAGTCTAGGAGAGGGGAAAGGATGTGGTCTCTAAGAACTCCGTATATGAGTCCTTGGGTTTTTCATTCTACCTCATATCTCTGCCTTTAGAGGTATACAGCATATCTGATTTTGGATATTTCTTAGGGGATGTATTAGTCCGTTTTCACGCTGCTGATAAAGACATACCCTAGACTGGGTAATTCATACAGAAAAAGAGACTTAATGGGCTCACAGTTCCACGTGGCTGGGGAGGCCTCACAATCATGGTGGAAGGTGAAAGGCAGGTCTTACATGGCCCCAGGGAGAATGAGAGAGAAAGAGAGAGAGAGAGAAAGAGAGAGAGAGAATCAAGCAAAAGGGGTTTCCCCTTATAAAACCATCAGATTTCTTGAGACTTATTCACTAACATGAGAACAGTATGGGGGAACTGTCCCTATGATTCAATTATCTCTCACCAGGTCCCTCCCACAACATGTGGGAATTATCAGAGCTACAATTCAAGATGAGATTTGGGTGGGGACTCAGCCAAACCATATCAGGGAGCACTATAGCACAGATTGTTTTGTTCTTGTTGCCTTTCATCTTTTATGGTATTTAACAAATGAAGAAGGCTAAAATTGAAGTTAATTTCCACTTGTTTGTCTGCATTCATTCTTCCAAAATTGTATTGAATACAGTCGATAAATTGTATTTATCTGCAGTCACCCCTTGTCTCCTTCTCTTTGTCCCTATAAGCTAAACACCTTTTTTATTCCTTTAATGCCATTTTAGTGGAGTATATACAATCCATACATTTTCCTAGGTATTTTTCTTTCTTCATTCATACTTTCTATATCCAAAAGAGGATTTGAGCTTGTTGCAATAAAATATACATATGCAAAAAAGTTGAAATTTGGGAAAAGTAAAAAATATCAAGTAGTAAAAGAAAGGAAACACCTGTGGTGGAAATCTAGGCTAAGGATATAGGCCGTGACTGTACAAAGGTTGGCCCTTACTAAACACCTTGGCAGTTCTGCTAAAAGGAGGAACAGGAGGAATTTCTCAGCCCTCATTATCTAACAGGAAGCACTCCAGGGCATCAGATAAAACTTCTGCTAAGTTTACTGAGTGAGTTGATTCTGTAACTGAATAAAAGTTCTTGGTGCTCCAACTTGGAATTGATTCTACTGAAGAGATTAGAGTGAGACCCAGATAAGAAAAATAAATAAATAAAGATAGATGTGAGGGGTAGGGATGCTAAGTCTTGATTGATTGGCATCTTTCCCAACTCAAGCACTGTGATGACACCATCTGTTGTTACTCACTCTATATTCCCAATTTATTCAGGGTTTCTAGGTGGAAGGACATTAAGAAAGTACCCTGTAGAGGAATTCTTATAGTCTTCTCTTTCTTTTCCATTTCAACAGGATATTCTCAGAGCCCTCTAGCAACTGTGACTGTGATTTCAAGGCAAGAAGTAAACAGACAGTAGGGAATTATGTTAGGAGTATATATTCCTTTACTTTTCCTCTCAAAGAGAGAGAAAATAGGCTTTTTTTTTTTTCCTGATAAGAAAGTGTATGAGTAAGCCTAGATTCAGGGCCCAATAAGATCATGCTCAGATTTTCAAATTACAGTTTTAGAAATTTTGGGGGAAATTCTTGATGCCAAAAGGCATTGTGAAATAGTATCAATACAATTGCAGGTTTAGCATTTTCTTTATGCAATAAACAGTACAGGGCTCTGGGGCTTTACAAAGATGAGCAAGCAACAGTCCCTTTTCCCAAGGAGCTTACAGTGTCTCACAGGAGATAATAAAATGACACAAGTGATTAATAGAGGAGAGAGCTTCAGAATGTCTAGCCAGCTACACATGTCTAGCCACCTGCCTACATGGAGACCCAGTCCCCTTTTCCCACCCACAAGGTGAATCTGGGAAGCCACAAACAGGAACCCTGCCCTTCTAACTGCAGCTGATTAAATTAGAGGTCAAGAGATACGTGACCTAAGGAAAACCAATTGGATTTCCTCTCCAAAGATTTAAAATTAGAATTCAAAGGTGCTAATCAGTCTCTGCTGTCCACTGATTTAAGGGCGTAGAAGCACTGGCTTGGATATTTCTGACCAGGCACCAGTGGCAATGCAGAGAAAACACATCTGGAGAGAAAGAGGCATGCAGAGTGGCTTTCCAGTCCTGCTTTTGGCCTCATGGGATCCATGAGATACTCCCATATTAAAAGTTTTGATTCAAACAACTGTAATACAATACTACTGTGAAGACTATGAAATATATGCTAAGGGGGCTCAAAGAGGGAGAGAAAGCACATATTATTGTGGAGCAGGTGGGATTAGAAATAGTGAAATATTACATGAAAAATTTTTACGACTGAGTTCACCTTAAATGATGGGTAAGATTCTAACAGGAGGAGATAGGTTGAGAGCATTAATTAGTGAAAGAACCATATGGGGGAGAGAGAAACCAGGTGTGTATGTTCCAAGGTGCCTGGGGGTGGTTAGGTTTTATGATGAAAATTAAATAGCTCTTGGAGTAGATTCTATCTTTGCATCAGCTATGACGCAAGTCAGCATATTCTAGGTCCTTTCTCCACTTGGAAAGAATTACTGCCAATTATCAGTCCATTTCCATTGGCTTCCCTCTAACTACTTTGCTTCAAAAAAAATGAAAAGTTCATTTATTCCTATAGTTCTATAAAAGAAATCTACTCAAAAAGATGTGAAATGACTTATAATGCAATACTGTAATTTTTTATATAAACTTCATCTTTGTTTCCTTGTTACAGGATAAGTGGTAAGTAAATATTGCCTAGTAATGTGACATGAGTAACAGAAAATACAAACTTATTTTCGCCCTAGGGAAGCCTGCTTACTTTTCTTGACCCTCTTCTCAATATCTACCTATAATCTTCAGATATAGCAAAGGGCCAGCAACCACTTTTCTGGGAAAAAAAGATATTTTGCCAAACTTTGAAAACACACCAAAATATGGGACTGAAAAATAGTGCATATATATCAATTGAGTGCAGTGGTCTGATCATAGTTCACTGCAGCCTCGAACTCTTGGCCTTAAGGGATCCTCCTGCCTCAGCCTCACAAAATGCTGGGATTACTGGTGCCTTGCCCTATTGTTTAAACTAACATTTTTCATAAAATACTAAATGTGAATATCTTCCAAAACTTGAAAGAACTATGCAGTTATAAAGCATTATAAAAATAGGCATATTAGATATTTTTATATGTTTTTAAGTTCATTGATTAGCGAGAGGAATAAAACTGAACTCAGTAGAAAAGTTTTGGAGAGAAACAAAAAAGTGAGGATTTTTACCTTATAGCTAACATTATCTACCTCATTTAGAGAAGGATCTTGTTTTTATACTATAATCCTTTTAGACAACAAGCCAATGAAATTTTAAATTCAAAGGCAACTCAAATGATTCTTGACAAGGGTGACAAGACTTTTCAATGGAAAAGGGTAGTATTTTAAGCAAATAGTACTAGGAAAACTGAATATCTACATGCAGAAGAATCAAGTTGGACCCTTACCTAACACAGTATACAAAAATTAACTCAAAATGGACCAAAGACTTTTTAAGACCTAAAATGATACAATTCTTAGAAGAAAACATAGGTCAAGTCTTGAAGATATTAGAGTTGGCAATGATTTCTTGGATATGACACCAAAGGAACAGGGCACAAAAGTCAATAAATTGGATTGCATAATGATTTAAAAATTTTGTGCATCAAAAGACACTATCAACAGAGGAAAATGATAACCCACAAAATGGGAGAAAATATTCACCAACCATATACCTGATAAGCGATTAATATCCAGAATATGTAGAGAAATCTTACAATTCAACAAAAAACAATTTAAAATGGGCAAAATACTTAATAAACACTTCTCCAAAGAAGATATGCAAATGGCAATAAGCACATGAAAAGGTGCCCAACATCACTAATTATTAGTGAAATGCAAATCAAAACTACAAGATACCACCTCACACCCATAGGATGGCTACTATTTTTTTTAAAAAGAAAATAACAAGTGCTGACAAGGGTGTGGAGAAATTAGAATGCTTGTGCACTGTTGGTGGGAATGTCAAATGTTACAGCCACTGTGGAAAACAGTATGGCAGTTCTTGAAAAAAAAAATAGAATTAGTGTATGATCCAGCAATTCCACTTTTAGGTATATGCTCAAAAGAATAGAAAGTAAGGATTTATGAAACATTTGTATATTCATGTTCTAGCAGCATTATTCTCAATAGCAAAAACATGGAAGTAACCGAAGTGTCCACTGACAGATGAATGGATAAGCAAAATGTGGTATATCCATACAATGGAATATAACTCAGTCTTAAAAAGGAAGGAGATTCTGACCTATGCTACAATGTGGATGAATCTTGAGAGTATTATGCTAAGTTAAATAAACTAGTCACAAGAAGACAAATGCTGTATGATTACACTTATATGAGGTATTTTGAGTATTCAAAACCACAGAGACAAAGTAGAATGGTGGTTGTAGGGGGTTAGGGGATGGGTCAATGGAGAGTTAGTGTTTAATGGATATAGAATTTAAGTTTTACAAGATGAAGAGTTATGGAGTTGGACGTTGGTGATGGTTGCATGACATTATGAATGTGTTTAATGCTACTGAATTGTACACTTTAAAATGGTTAAGATAGTAGATTTCATCTTATGTGTATTTACCACAATGAAAAATATTGGGAAGGCCAGGTGCGGTGGCTCACGCCTATAATCCCAGCACTTTGGGAGGCCGAGGTGTGTGGATCACCTGAGGTCAGGAGTTTGAGACCAGCCTGGCCAAAATGGTGAAACCCCATCTCTACTAAAAATACGAAAATTAGCCAGGCATGGTGGCAGGCACCTGTAGTCCCAGCTATTTGGGAGCCTGAGGCAGGAGAATGGCTTGAACCCGAGAGGGGAAGGTTGTAGTGACCCAGGATCGCACCATTGCACTCCAGCCTGGGTGACAGAGAGATACTCCATCTCAAAAAAAAGAGGGGGGGGAAAGTAAGTCATATTTCAAAATATACTCAAGAAATATTTTCTTCAAAGGATCTGAGCAGCCAAGTAAGGGGCAGTCCACTGTGTCAAGATGCCATACCGTTCTGGTGCACTGTGTGTCTCTCCATTCTGGGTCTGCCTCTGCCTTCCACTTCACCGTGCTTCTGCCTCAGTGGTCCTGGTGCCAGTGGTCTTCTAAGTAGCTCCCTAGAAGAGAACAGCTGTTTGCCACAACAAGGGAAAAACTGGAGACTATCAACTTGAAGTAGAGAAGGTAACAGTAGGAACTGGTTATTGTCATAGTGTTTTTAAATCTGAGAACTTTTAACTTTGCCAACTAAGGATGATTGATGGGGAAAGAGTAAAATATCTGGGAAACTGGTCTCTGAGAAAGAAATTTGTTCGGTGGAGGTTGTGGGTGAGATGGATGCGGCAGAGACTGCTACTATCCCCTAGGTTCCATTCTCTCCTTCTTTAGAAATAGGACCTTCAGTTTTTAGTTCAGCATGTGGTCCTCTGGTACAAAGGCTACATTTCCCAGTCTCCCTTGCAACTACATGTGGTCATGTGACTAAGTTTTGTCCAATGGGATGTAAGTGGAACTGCCTTGTAAAATTGATGGTAAAAGTCCTTAAAGGGCATAGCTATGCCCCATCAGCCCTTTCCTTTTTCATACTACAGTGGAAGTCCAATGTGAGGATAGCAGAACTGTTAAGAGAGGAGTTTTAATCCCAAACAACTTTCTATGGCCTCATCCCCTGACCTACTCCAATCCTGGGCTACCTATTTCTGTACTTTAAATTGAAAGAGAATACATTTGCATCTTGTTTAAGCTATTGTTATTTTGGTTTCTGTCACTCAGCCAAACTCAATACTACTTGATAAAATTGGTAAAAAAAAATGATAAATTAGAAAACTGCTTTATGTCTAATGAAGCTTTAAAATAAAAAGTACTTCCTCATATGGGTTCTCTGTTTTTCCTCCAAAATGTCTATGAAGACACAGAAAAAGAGGAAATTTACAACATTAGAAATTAGGACCAGTGCAACTTAGTTGAGAGAATTTTCTAATAATTCCTTCTTTTGTCTATTCATTTGTTCAGCATGTTTATTAAAAAGTACCCCTCATGTGCTAGGCTGTTCTAGGCCCAGGGAATATAGTGGTGAACAAAACAGATAAAGTTCTTGTCTTCATGGACCTTCTATTCTAGTGGGAGAACAGAGACCACCATCAAGATAAAAAAAATAAATATAATGTCAGTTTGTATATGTAGATGAAGAAAAACAAAGCAAAGGAAAGGAGTAGAAAATGATAGACACAAATTGTGAATTGAGTGGTCAGAGAGGGCCTCTTGGAGGAGGGTGACATCTGAGCAGATCCCTGAATGAAATGACAGTGGGAGTTCTGGTGATATCTGGAAGAAGAGCATTCAAAGCAGCGAGAACAACACGTGCAAAGGCCCTGAGACAGAAACAGGCTTGGCAGATTCCAGAAATGGTAAGGAAGACGATGTGCTTAGAGAAGAGTAAGTGGATGAAAAGAAGTGGTAAGAAGAGATGTCAGAGCTTGTCAGGGGACAGACAGTGTAGGATAAATTGACAGGAGATAAGTTGATTAAAAATCATACTTTGTGTCCACTCTGAAAAGAAAATGTTGTGAAATGATGGGAAGACCTCTTGTCCCTCCATTACAATCTACAATGGGTTCAGAATCATAACACCTACTCTCATGAGAGAGATGGAGTATTAGTCCATTTTCATGCTGCTGATAAAGACATACTTGAGACTGGGTAATTTATAAAGAAAAAGAGGTTTAATGGACTCACAGTTCCATGTGGCTAGGGAGGCCTCTCAATCATGGTGGAAGGTAAAAGGCATGTCTTACATGGTGGCAGACAAGAGAGAATGAGAGCCAAGTGAAAGGGGTTTCCCCTTATAAAACCATCAGATCTCATGAGACTTTTTCACCACCACAAGAACTGTATGGGGGAAACCACCCCCTTGATTCAATTATCTCCTACTGGGTCCCTCCCATAACACATGGGAATTATGGGAGCTATAATTCAAAATGAGATTTGGGAGAGGACACAGCCAAACCATATCATTCTACTCCTGGCCCCTCCCAAATCTCATGTCCTCACATTTCAAAACCAGTCATGCCTTCCCGACAGTCCCTCAAAGTCTTATTTCAGCATTAACTCAAAAGTCCACTGTCTAAAGTGTCATCTGAGACAAGGCAAGTCCCTTCCACCTATGAGCCTGTAAAATCAAGAAGCAAGTCAGTTACTTCCTAGATACAATGGGGGTACTGGCATTGGATAAATATACCCATTCCAAATGGGAGAAATTGACCAAATAAAGGAGCTAAAGGCCCCATGCAAGTCCAAAATCCAGTGGGGCTGTCAAATCTTAAAACTCCCAAATGATCTTTTTTGACTCCATGTTTCACATGCAGGTCACACTGGTGCAAGAGGTGGGTTCCCATGGTCTAAGGCAGCTCCACCTCTGTGGCTTTGCAGGGTACAGCCTCTCTCTTGGCTGCTTTCACAGGCTGGCATTGTCTGTGGCTTTCTCAGGCACATGGCACAAGTTGTTGGTGGATCTACAATTCTGGGGTCTGCAGGATGGTGGCCCTTTTCTCACAGTTCCACTGCGCAGTGCCCCCGTGGGGACTCTGTGTGGTGGCGTCAACCCCACATTTCCCTTCTGCACTGCCCTAGCAGGTGTTCTCCATGAGGGCCCTGCCCCTGCAGCAAACTTCTGCCTGGACATCCAGATGTTTTCATGCATCTCTGAAATCTAGGCAGAGGTTCCCAAACCTCAATTCTTGACTTCTGTGCACAAGCAGGCACAACACCACATGGTAGCTGCCAAAGCTTGGGGCTTGCACCCTCTGAAGCCATAGCCCAAGCTGTACCTTGGCCCCTTCTAGCCATGGCTGGAGCAGCTAGAACACAAGACACCAAGTCCCTAGGCTAGACACAGCAGGGGGTCCTGGGCCTGACCCACAAACCATTTTTCCTCCTAGGCCTCTGGGCCTGTGATGGGAAAGGCTGCTGCAAAGTTCTCTGACATGGCCTGGAGACATTTTCCCCATTGTCTTGGAGATTAACATTTGGTTCCTCATTACTTATGCAAATTTCTGCAGCAGGCTTGAGTTTCTCCCCAGAAAATGGGTTTTTCCTTTCTATTGCATCATCAGGCTGTAAATTTTCCAAACTTTCATGCTCTGCTTCCTTTTTAAAACTGAATGCTTTCAACGTCACCCAAGTCACCTCTTGAATGCTTTGCTGCTTAGATATTTCTTCTACCAGATACCCTAGATCATCTTCCTCAAGTTCAAAGTTCCACAAATCTCCAGGGCAGGGGCAAAATGCCATCAGTCTCTTTGCTAAAACATAGGAAGAGTCACCTTCACTTCAGTTCCCAACAAGTTTCTCATCTCCATCTGAGACCACCTCAGCCTGGATTTCATTGTCCATATCATTATCAGCATTTTTGTCAAAGCCGTTCAACAAGTCTTTAGGAAGTTCCAAATTTCCCCACATTTTCCTGTCTTCCGAGTCCTCCAAACTGTTCCAACCTCTGTCTGTTGCCAAGTTCCAAAGTCTCTTCCACATTTTCAGGTATTTTTACAGCAGCACTACACTGTACCAGTACAAACTTACTGTATTAGTCCATTTTCACACTGCTAATAAAGACAAACTCGAGACTGGGTAATTTATAAAGAAAAAGAGGTTTAATGGACTCACAGTTCCACACGGCTGGGGAGACCTCACAATCAGAAGGAGAACGGTATGGGGGAAACCACCTCAATGATTCAATTATCTCCCACTAGGTACCTCCCACAACATGTGGGAATTATGGGAGCTACAATTCAAAATGAGATTTGGGTGGGGACAGAGCCCAACCATATCAGTTGGGCAGCCAGCCATCTGTTGTTGGGTGATTTTTACCAAAGTGCATCTTTCTCTGTACAATCAGAGGCTTCCACCTCCAGAGAATGTGTTATCTTAATCCTCTGGCTGGATGCTTATGAGGATAGAGTAAACTGGCAATGTGCAGTGAATCTTGGGAGGGGTCATCCTTACAAATAAAGCACTACAGTTTGGTAGAGATGGAAGAACTTCAGATGCAGTGGATGCTGTAACCGATGGCTTTTATGATGGTATTTCATGGTGATAGTGTGAGAACGCCAGACAGAGGGAACAGGTGACAATATTGTCTCTGTCCAAAAGAGTCATAGTAAATGCAAATCTGCTTATCATGCTATTGAGTTAGGTACTAAACTTTGCTATGCCATCCAGTTGTAAAACCTAGAGCCCCAAAGAAGAGAATAATAAGATAGAAAACAACACAACTGATCTTTTGGCTAACACTAAGTCTGGAAATTACCCTTCCATTTGAGATGATTGCCAGAAAAATCATCAATATATATCCTATGAAAAACTCCTGAGGGGCAGAGGAATGGGATCAATGCTTCAAAGACTCAGAGAAAGAAAATCACTATAAAAATTATTTGCTCCTAGAATGTAAAAAATATTTTAAGAAAACTGCTTGGCATTCTAAAGGTGAAAAGACTTTAGAATGAGATAAAAGGGAGAAGATTACTTTTAAAAATTCAGCGACATTAAAAATGTAATGACAGAAGTAAAATCTACATCGGGAGTAGGAATGTAGACTCCTGTAGCATTACTATGACAGACACCAGAGTCAATGACATGAAAGACAAACTTAAGATCTTTTCAGGTATGTGGTAAAAGAAAAAAGGATTCAAGTGAATGATATAGAGGACTGGGGCTGGGCATGGTGGCTCACGTCTGTAATCCCAGCACTTCGGGAGGCCAAGATGGGCGGATCACGAGGTCAGGAGATAGGGACCATCCTGGCCAACATGGTGAAACCCTGTCTCTACTGAAAATACAAAAATCAGCCGGGCGTGGTGGTGTGCACCTGTAGTCTCAGCTACTCAGGAGGCTGAGGCAGGAGGATCGCTTGAACCTGGGAGGTGGAGGTTGTAGTGAGCCAAGCTTACACCGCTGCACTCCAGCCTGGGCAACAGAGTGAGACTACATCTCAAAAAAAAAAAAAAAAAAAGAAGAAGAATATAGAGGACTGGATAGATTTATTTAAGAATTATACATTTCTGAGGAAGGTACTAGAAGAATTAGAACAACAATAATTAAAGATATCACTTTAAAAAACAAGACCTGACTATTCAAATTGAAAGGACTCACCATTCTAGATGATAGTAATGAAAAGAGGGCTATTCTAGAAATACCCTGGCAAAGGTTTGGGAATGCAAGTATAAAGAAAAAAATCACATCTATTAGTATTCTGTCATAAAGCAAGTAATTTATGAGGAAACAAAAATCTAGCTGTTCTCAGATAGCTCTCCAGTAAGAAATGCCAGAAGACAACAGAAAAAATACTTAAAATTTTTTGAAGAAAAAGACTATGACCTAAGAATTTTCTCAGCTGAATTTTTTTTCTCATATGTGAAGACAACAAATGAACAATCCCATATATTCAAAGGCTCAGGAAATAGAGCATTCATGTATTCTTCATGAAAATATTATTTGGAGACATACATCAGACACCCGAAAGATGTGAAAGAAGAATAGGGTATGGATTACACATAGTTCATGGCATTATGTAAATGTTATAAAGCAAGATGACATAGCTTGGGAAAACAAAAGCTGTGTCTAATAGCAGTACTTCCAAGCCATAACTTACAGTAGCCCAATTCTCAATAAATTGGAAGGCAGCTAAACAATCATACAGTGCTAGTATTTTATAGTGTCAGGGTCTATTCACATATAATCTCATTTAACCCATTTTAATTCCGTGAGATAAAAACCAATATCCCCATCTAAGATATGGGAAACTAAGACGTAGAAGAAAGCACTTGGCTAAGATATCATGGCTCGTAGGTGGCAGTCAAGAGGTGAGTTTGCAGTCTACAGATTTAACCTCAGACTATTCTGCTTCTAACATGACTATAGAAATGTATTGATCATTAGCTGCCTGAAGTTCTGTTCTTAACTCTAGGTGTCCAAAAGAAGATGAATTTTGTTTAGATAGCATTTTCCCATATCTAGGGCTGTTGGCTTTAAAGAAGTTCCCAGAAGTGAATCCAATTCCCAGAAGGATCAAGGTGGATTCTTTTGTGTGTTACTCTAACAGGTTGCTTTATATATATATATAAGTTATATAATATACACATATAATTTATGTATTATATATAAGTATGTATAACATCATATGTAATATATAAATATAGTACATTTCACACTGGTAGGACGTAATTCCAAACCACATATTTGTTTAACCAATTGAATTACTTGGATTTAGTTTCTATTTCCCTCTTTATTTCCTTCTGAAAATATTATACAAATAACATCAGTTTACAAAAAATAAAATCTGATATAGCTTTTTTATCATACACTAGGCTAGACTAAATGCATTCTGTGGATTGTTTACCTAGGACCAGATGGTATATTATAAAGTTGTATACAAATGAACAAGGACTGCCTGAAATGGATTGATAGCTGAGCACATTTGGCTGGAGCGTCTATTTTAGAAGGAAAACCTGAGAATCATATTATTTGAGTGTGATTCATGTGTTAATAGTATTTCAAGACAAGCCACTTAAAATATGTCCTGAGTGGTGATGCTGGAAATGATCTTTTCTTCAGTGTTTTCAAGTGTCTTCATTTAAGTGTACACATTTTGCCTACCTATAACACGTATCTACACATTGTGATTAAGAGAGCAAACTCTGAAATCAGACCTAGATTAAAGATCTTAATCTCTGCCAGTTGATTGGGCAAGTGACTTAATCATTCGACAGTAATTTCTGCATTTGAAAATGCCTATCTCAAGGGTAATGAGAATTACACTGGTTCACCAAAAGAATTACACTGACTAATATAAAACGTGCCAAGCATGTATGTGTCACATGAAGGCTCATTAAAAAGCGGATATTATTGTTAATCTTCCAATAACTACTATTTCCAACAACAGGCTGAAGGGGCTCAGAAACGTTTGTTGAGTAAAAACACAAGGAAACAGTAGCACAGATTTCCTGCTCTCCTTTACGATCGATGACCTGTCTAAGGACTGTGATCTCTGTTCACTACAGATTGTCACCTGCATTAATCTACTGTCACCCATTAACCTATCAAATAAGGCAGTCTAAAAACTCCAGGCGTCCCTTTCCGTAAGGACCCGGACTGTTGAACTGGAAAGCTAAAATTCAAGGCGTGACAATTGCCCTTTGTCCCACATTCCTCCACCGGTCGCCTGCTTATTTAAATGGTGCGTCCCCTCGGGTACCACTTGAACAAAACCTGCCCAGAGCGCTCCCTGTGTAGATTCGCTGGAAGCAGCTGGAGGCTCCAGTTCTCATCTGCTCAGGTGTCCCCGGCGCCTTGGCGAACTCGGCCACTCCAGTTCCTCACGTGGTGAGCACTCAGGGCAGCGGGTCGATTTTCCGAGGTCCCATACCTGGGTTTGAGGGGCGCGGCTCGCAGCGGCGGGTGCAGGGGCGACTGCCAGCCCTCACCCCGCCTCGGGGTGCGTTCGGAGGCCGACACCTGGAGGACGCCTCCAGTCCCCGCGGGACGCCACGCCTGCGCGCCAGGGATCCGGGATAAGAAGTGCGCGCCGGGCTCCGGCTGCGCGCCGCGGGGCCACCAGTTTGCGCGCAGGGCTCAGGCGACCGTGCGGCCATGGACACGCCACGGGGCATCGGCACCTTCGTGGTGTGGGACTACGTGGTGTTCGCGGGCATGCTGGTCATCTCGGCCGCCATCGGCATCTACTACGCCTTCGCTGGGGGCGGCCAGCAGACCTCCAAGGACTTCCTGATGGGCGGCCGCAGAATGACCGCAGTGCCCGTGGCGCTGTCCCTCACCGCTAGCTTCATGTCAGCCGTCACTGTCCTGGGCACCCCCTCCGAGGTCTACCGTTTTGGGGCCATTTTTAGCATCTTTGCCTTCACCTACTTCTTTGTGGTGGTCATCAGCGCGGAGGTCTTCCTCCCGGTGTTCTACAAACTGGGAATTACCAGCACCTACGAGGTAAGGGGCAGGGTGGGCTGGGACCATGCAGGGCGCGGGGGAAGGGGACTCTGCAGACCTCTGGAGGCGTTTTCTTGGGGGCAGACTGTCACTGCCACATCGAAATCTCTCCCCGTCCATCGTCATCATCACCCTCCCTTCACTCCTCCCCGTCCCCCGATCTTCACCTGGCATCTTTCCCTTCTACTGAGAGGCGTCCTCTAAGGGTGAAAAAATTCTTGGGATTTACTCTCCTGGGCTTAGTGAAAAAAAGAGGCTTCCAAAGTGAACGGATTGCAACAGTAGTGCTCGCTATGGTCCTTTCTACCTTTAGCATCTTTGATTCCCAGGCAAGGGGAAAGATTTTTGGGGAAGGTAAGTTCTTCAGGTCTCAGGCCCTGCTTCTTGAAAGGAATACTCTTGTTCCAGGTCCTCAGCCCCATTCACTCTTCCAAGATAGTTGGTAAAGAATTTGTACTCCCCTTCCTTCCCCTTCCACACCCACCCCCTTTCCACTGAAACAGGCACCCAAGTGGCTAAGGTGTACCAGTACCTGTATTTCGGACCAGATTCTACCACTTACTAGCTGGGTGACCTTGGGTGACTTACCCAACCTTTTGTGCCTATTCCTCAAAAATAAAATAATATCACCTACCTCATCCAGTTGGGAGGATTAAATGAGATGATGCAAGGTGTAGCATTTAGAATAGAGTTTGACACAGAGTAAGTGCCAGATAGGTATTGGCCATAATTACTGTGGTGGTGCTAGTTGTGATGGTGGTAGTTATCTTGGGATCAGTAGGAAAATTAGGCAGCAAGGTTCTCAAACAGCTCTGCCTTCTCTATGGAAAGACAATTAAGGAAAACTGTCTTTCCTCTATTGCACAGGTCCCCTGGCTATAGGTTTTCTCAAGTTGTCTGCAAGAAAGGGCTTTGAAAAGATGATGCACGTTTAGTTTAAAGAGCTGTTGAATGGGAGGTGGGGGCGGGATCAAAGCTCAGGGGAGTGGCGGGGCCCAGTTCAGTGCCTTCAGTGGTCTCCCTCACCCAGCACTGGTCCTTGAGCTACATGGGACAAGCCTGCAGAAGTTTCCTCTCTATTAGGCCATTACCCAGAGGACTCCAATCCTGAGATTCTGGCAGGTGGTTTCCTAGTGAGGCTGGTTCAACTGGTGCTGGGGACAGGGCCTTAACGGCACAACAAACATTGGTGACACACTCTGCCTGGGCTCTAGTGACATCTTCCAGGGCGAGGCACCCCTGGGCAGCATTGCCTTCCATTCACTCTGGGGCTGTGTTTGGGAGAGCTCAATAATTATCCCAGAAGTGAGCAGGATGCAGTTTCTCAGGTTTGCTCAGAAGTGACAAACTGGCGAAATTCCCCAGACCAAATTCACTTCTCAGTCATTTTTTTTTTTTACTTCTCCTTATAGTGAGAAGAAATAAAATATAATTTCAGACTATGACTTCTTTCGAGAACTCAAAAGGCTGGTAACACTGGGCCCATGCTCCCTGTGGCCACAGGAACTCAAGTTTATAGCTATTGCTCTCACTCTCTATTAAACTTCTATATTGAAGTCTTATCTTTGTGTTTTCATGGTTACTGTTTTTTTGGTAGAGAAATTTTTATCTGCATTTATGTCTTTATCAAAAAATGTGAAAGGCAAAATGGACAGGGGTAAAGGGATCTCTTGTTTCCAGGGAGATGTAAGAAAACATATATCTTAGTGGGTGGGAGGAATATTCCAACATGTTAATATGTGAACACCTGGCCACTGTCACTTATGTATGTTACCTGATGGAACCTGGAGGCATCTGAGTCTGTGAGCTGTGATCTATAGCTAACCAATTCCCAAACTTGGAAAGGGTTTGAAGAATCTGGCAGGAGGACTTCAGTCCCCACACATGAATGCTGCTCTCATAACCACTGACCCATGCCTCTTCGGGGCTACAACATTAACTCAAGCAGAAACAGATTTCCCTCATGCTTGCAGTGGTAGAGGCTAAGTTAGCAGGGGTTCCAGCTAAAAATGTCAAAAAGCAAAAGTTCATTGAATGCTGAACACATGCCAGGCACTGGGCTGCATTGCATGTTTTACATACATTATCTGACTCACATTCAGAACAATCCTTATGAGGCAAGTACTATCAAGAGCCCCATTTTGTGGACAGAGACTCAGAGTAAGTTAAGCTACTAGGAATGTGAAGCAGCGTAGACATATGCCTAGCAGCATACTGGCTGCTTCTGAAGGCTCTGATGAGTCTGTTATAACCCCAAGCAATGCTTACGCCAGTGCAGAGAGAACAAGGGAAGCAATATAGGACACGTGAAGTTGTGGGCACACTGCAGGCATCCACCTCCAGGGTGCCAGGCAGTTGGGAACGGGGAAGTTAGGCAACATGCTAAGACCCTCCCAATTGGTCATGGCAAAGACTTTCCTGTGGAGTATATTGTTTATTGTTTTATGCTGAGAGGTACAGAATCTATACAGAATATGCTGTACAGTGTTGAGTGATTGATACCCTGGCATTCTTGCTCAAGTATGAAATCTCTCCCTGTTGACATTTCTTTAGTGAAAATTAGCTGTTCACAAGCATTTTTTTTCATCCATCACTGCCTTCAAAATGTAGTCCTGATAGGTGTTTAGCAACTTCCAGACCCAAGTATAATGCAGGAATCCAATTTAATCCACCAATTCTTCAAGATCCTTCTGGAGCCAACTAAATCTGTGTTTTAAATTGAGTTGCTTAGACCTTATGTTTCTTTGTTATTTATATATTTATTCATATCAACAGAAGCAATTCAAAGTTCTGAGGACCACGAGAGATCTTGATTAATTTAGGCACCTATCATTACTCTGTAATTATGTCTAGAAGTCTTACAAGTATTCCCTAAGGCTGCTGCACAGTGACTTGGGCATCTGGTCCAGTCTCCGGGTATTTCTTCAGCAGCCTAGTAATTGATGGCTGAGATCATAATAGACTTCTTGGTTCTGTCTTGAGTTGGTCCTTGGGCTTAAATCACAGGTTTCCCTGGATCAGTTGATTAACTTACTTGCTTCAGTTTGGTTCAATTTATTTGGGTCTCCAGCAATTTGGATTCATGTACCTAGAAAAAACAAAGACTTCTCTTCTATTGATGTCCATTCACATGTTTAGTGATTCATAGAGATTTACAAAACAAACAAACCAAAAATAAACTTCTAAAGAAATATAATAATACTGCCTTGTTCCCAGACTTAATAAACTTCTCCAGTCTTCTAAAAAGGCTTCCAAAATATCCCTGAATGATTTTGACACTTGTAATTTATTGAGATTCAATTTTCTCCAGGCCCATTGATTTGGATACCAATAGGTTCTTAATATCTTACTTTTTGAGTTTACATTTCCCCATCCATTTATGTCACTGAATAGTCTCCAAACCCTGCAAAATGAGAGGGAAACAAATTATTATTATGCCCCTCATTTTAAAGAGAAAGAACCTGACATTTGGAGAATGATTGCCACAAGCTGATGGAGTCAGGCGTGGGACTGGGTCAAGGGCTGGAACTCTTCCTCCAGTGTACTACAAGGCACTGTGTATTTTTGTCACCGATCAGTGATCTGGGAGTGAGGTCTTACTCTGTGTTAGTTTCACCCATTCACTTATTGAGTCTTAAATATGTAGTCAGATTATTTACTTATATATGCAGAAAAATGTGCACAGATTTTGGCATCAAAGGTTTTAAATGTGTACTGTGGCCCTGGCAAGTTTGCAAGGTTTTCAACTTGATGTTCTATCTGAGGCCCAGTGTTCTTGTCTCTAACATGGGTTTATACACAGTACCTGGCTCATAGAGTTGTTGGGAGGACCATGCACACAGCAAGTACTCTGTATGTGTTAGCCATGATCACGGGGCAAAAAAATCAGATGTCTTTTCCTCTGATTATTACCTAATGCCAGTTTTTCCTTCCTCTTCTTTTCTACTCTATGAAGATTGTTGTCAGCCTTAAACTTCTTAGTAATTATATTCAAGTTAAAGAAAATCTTAGCTCCCAGCTCTGAAATTCTATGATCCTAACTCTGTAATATGTATATTATAATACATTATATAACATAGTAGACAAGCAGACTATGTTATAAGACATAGCAGATTTCAAGTAGAATAGGAAAAATTGGCATGGTCATTGGCACTGAACAGAAACTGACTTGGGTGATTTAAGTTTAAAAAAACAATTGTTAGAAGGACATGGGGGTAGCTCATAGAACAGAGGGACAGGCTGAGTAAGCAAGCCTTGGAAAGGACAGAAACCGGGGCAGCCTTTTCAGGCCACTCTGTCAGGATCAGTCATTTTTTGTCTTTGTATCCTGCCTTTAAGATTCAAATACCCAATGGAAGGAAAAGCTGATTGGCTGAGCTGGGATCATGTGATTTCCTCTTGGTCAGAAGAGGCAGGGCAATTGGCTGACTATTCCATCACAATAGTCTGCAGTCAGAAAGGGTTGATGCCCCAGGTGAGCCAAGAAAAATGTATGGAGTAGATACCAAGAGAAAGAGAACAACAGATTGCTCGCTCTAAAAATACAGAAAGTAATTTCATTTATATGACATTCTGGAAAAGGCCAAACTAGAGAGGGAAAGCAGATCAGTGATTGCTAGGGTTTGGCGGGGGAGAAGAGGGCTTGATCATGAAGGGGAAGCCCGAGGGAGTTTTCTGGGTGATGGAACTGTCTTGTGTCCTGATTGTGACAGGGGTTACATGAATCAGTGTGTGTTAAAACCCATTGAACTGTACTCTAAAACAAAAGAGTCAATTTTGCTGTGTATAAATAAAAATAACACTAAAATAAAAATACAGAATACAAATCAGTTATGAAGTTGCTTTACATTTCTAAATTTAAATTTTCTTCTTGAGCTGCTGATTTTAAAAAAGGCATCCAGAGGATTCGCATAATTTTTTTTTTTGCAACAGTATTTAGAACTTCGATTTAACAAATGTGTTCGTCTCTGTGGAACAGTCCTCTTCATTGTTCAAACAGTAAGTAGCTCTCCATTTATTTTATCTTTTGTCAGCTAAAATGTTTTTAACCATGGCATCTGGATTAAGCTTACCTGGGAATCACATAAAAGACAAAAAAGAGATGTTGAAAAAATGAGGGAACAAAAAAGGAAAAACACTTGTCACTGTACAGCATCAACCCTTAAGATCATCAAACAGTGTTTCAGTAAATGCTTTACTTCCTGGGATTTAAGTGAATGTTAAATATTATACTGATAAAGCAACAGTCGGAAAATATGCTTCCCTTTATCTGACCTCCCTTCACCTCCACCAAGGTGACAGGAAGGGCATTACTACATGACAAAGATATTTGTTGCTGACAGTGGGAATTCTAACAAAAGGAAAACAAGTAGCATGTTCACAGTATTTCTGTAACATATTAATAGGTATGAAAAAATTAACTTCCATAGGAAGACAGTAGGAAATAATTTTCTTTGAAATCGTACTTTAAAAGTCAGTGCTCTTTTAAAAATTAGACTACAAGAACCAACTAAAGCAGTCCTTAGAGTGTAAAACAACAGAATCAAAACTCTGGAGGACTCTTTAAAGCCAAATACTCAATCCAGTAATTCAAGAACATGCGCTTATAGATCTACTGATTGACACAAAGGGAAAGCAAGGATTTGCCAAGTGGTCAGTGACAGAGAATGCTTTCCACTGTTCACCGTGCTTCTGGAAGATTGTAATGATCATTGTCATGACTATTTATATACACATTTTCCTCTTGTCAGTTAAGCACTTTAGGGCTGGGTTTGCTAATGGAGGTTGTGGAAGAGATTTGCATTCTTGTCTCTAATTGCAATTCCACTTCTCCAATCAAAAGCTACCTAAGGGCCAGCCGCGGTGGCTCATGCCTGTAATCCCAGCACTTTGGGAGGCCAAGGCAAGTGGATCACCTGAGGTCAGGAGTTCAAGACCAGCCTGGCCAACATGGTGAAACCCCATCTCTACAAAAATACAAAAATTAGCCAGGCATGAGGGCAGGTGCCTGTAATCCCAGCTACTGGGGAGGCTAAGGTGGGAGAATCACTTGAACCCAGGAGGCAGAAGTTGTAGTGAGCCGAGATCATGCCATTGCACCCCAGCCTGGGTGACAGGGCAAGACTCTGTTTCAAAAAAAAAAAGGAAAAAAAGCTGCCTTAGGATTTGCTGCAGTGAGACAGAGTGCCTTTGTAAATTATGTAACTTGACTCCATTTTATATCTTTGCAAATTATATAACTTAAATTTTATCAGTCCTTAACAACTGCAGTGTAAAAGGAAGGAATCCTTTGGTGTCTCTTAGAGACTTGAGCCTGGTAGCTTGCATTCACCAACTGTTCAGAACCTCATTGGATCTTTGTTAGAGATGCCAACAGAAATCAGAAGTAGGGATAAGTGTTAGGAAGGTGGCCTGTGGTCATGTTTTTAAATCTTCAACTTGGACAGAATAATGACTGTGGAAAGTTAGTTCATTTTTGCAAAAAGAGGGGAGCTTTACCACCTCCCATTTGAAGGACTTCATAGCTCTACTCATGTAATATAATCAAACATTCAAAGGTACTGAATAGATTTTTATTTTCATAATATGCTTTTATAGAATAATCATGGAATTTGCTTTTATGGGATATATTTGAAAGATCAAGTGCAATCAAAATTACATTTTGAGAAAAAGACCGTATTTATCTTACTCACTACTGTACCCCAGATCAATAAATAGTTAAGTGTATGAATGAAAATAATGAATAATATTAAAAAGATTGAATGTGGTTTTCATTGGCTTTCAGGATTTTTTTAGTGCAAATTTATACTTTTGTTTAATTTATGAACAGTAAAAGTTTAGAAATAGGCTTTCCAAATTTTTACTATTTTCTTGATTAATTATGCAGGGATTAACAGTTTGAAGACATAATTGAGGGGTCATCCTCTTTTATATTATTATTATTTATTTTTTTCTAATTATTTCAGATGTAGGAAATTTTATTTCAAGCTTGAGTTGGTGGATCAGTGACCATTTGCACTAAGCACCATATAAAAGTCCGTATTTTTACATAAGCCGGTCACAAAAAAATATTTGTAACTTATGACCGGTCATACCGTAAACAGAAGAGTCAACTTTACTTAAATATTTTGCAAGTTACAAACAAATTTTATTAGGTGTTTTGAAACTGTTGTTTTAAGTCATAATTGAAGTTATAGGAAAACAATCAATATTTTATAACTCAGACGTAATTCATGAATTTTATAATTCATATAATTCATTTGGCTTTCTTTCTCCCCCCTAGATTCTGTATACTGGAATTGTTATTTATGCCCCTGCCCTGGCTTTGAATCAAGGTACATTTTAGAGTTGCCAGTTAGGTAACTCACATTTTGGGGTTCACTTTCAACAAGCCTTATTTTCTCCTTGGGGAGATGGGGAGATGGAGGAATGCTTCTAGTAACCTGCATCAGCTTTACTTAGCGGGGCAGGATGGGTTCAGTGTCTACACTAGCTTCTTTGGGTTTTTGGATGGACAGCTCCAAAGTGTCTGTAGACCACAGAGGTGGACTTCTCCAGGTGGTACTTCTCTGGGATGTGCCCATCAGCCCATTCACTCCTTTAGAATTAAAGCTCCCTGTAGCCAAAGTCAGGATTGACGGCATCCCCTCTTGTGAATCTATAACCTGGAGCCCATCTCCAGGAAGCTTCCCTGTAATTCTGCTCAGGCCTGTTGTAAAATCTGGCAGGGAGAAAAGCTTTTCTTCTCCACACTTCTAATAAGGCCCAAAATGAAAGAGAAAGAGAGCCATGTGATTTGAATGATCAGACTGCTCCTAGTGACAAAAGGACAGATGTCTGTAGTGCCCTTACAAATAAATTTAGGAAGATTGTGCTGCTCAACAAAGTACCCATACTCTCTAGATTTGGGAAGATAAATGCAGTGAGGCTGGGATAGTTTATTGAAGCAAACGTTCATGCTAGTCATAGTTTCAAAAGGCTTTGGGGAAACACCATGCCCTTTGAATTCTTATCTATTCGAAGTGAATTTCTCTAAAACGTCCTTGTAAAATGGACATGTGGACTCTGTGATGGGAAGAATGTGGTACAATTCCTGGGGTTAAAATGACATGAAGAAAACCTACTAATTCCACACTCTGTTTTCTTGATTTTATGATAGACATGACAGTAGTTACCACCTGTTTCTGAAGTGAACAATATTATTACCAAGAGGAACTTCATGTGTAAGGTGCTCTTGAACTCTGAATTCTGGGCATGTTCCACATCGGTATTACCAACATCACAAGTGGATCATCTCATTTGTCGAGAACTGAGTTATAAACTTCATGAGTTACCTATTTAGGACTTAAGTGTAATTGAACATATTATGGTTTTAAAATGCAGTTCTGGGAATTACCAGAGGACTGACTTTAATCTGTGAAGAAATCAAGCATTCTGTTCTTATCAGGCTCAAACCACTCCCTGAGAGTAAATTAGAATGAAAGTGAAGGTGTTTTGATGACTAGAGTGTCAGTTGTGTGTTTTACTGTGACCAAAGCTGTAGGTACAGGCATAGACACAGAACTTAGTGTGCAATAGATGCTCAAAAAAGCTTATTTAACTGAATTGAAAATTAACATTCTCTAGGTCTAACCTCTTTTTTTCTTTTTTAAATTTTGGAAATCCTCATACAAATACTAAGAGAGAATAGAGCCCCTTAATGTGCTCATTCATCACTCTATGTTAATATTTATCAACTCATGGTCCATTTTAATTCACTCCCCCTTACCTCTAATAGATTATTTTGCTGCAAATATGTTATGTCATTTCATCTGTATTTCAGTATGTCCTTTAGAAATAAAGACTTTAAAAACCATAATCATACCATCATTGTACCTAAAATATTAATATTAATTTCTTAATTTCATATCAAGTCAGTGTTTACATTTCCCTGATTTTTTTTCAGTGTTTATAAGAATCAGGATCCAAATAAGCTTATGTGATTGCAATCAGTTGATGTCTCTTAAGTTTCCCTTTTCTGCTTTTTAAAATTGAAAACCAGTTTTTCTTTCTTTCTTTTTTCCTGACCACCTGATGCCTGTTGAGAAAACTAGTTTTTATTGAGGTATAGTTAACATACAATAAAATGCACAGAGCATGGGGAAGTGTACAGTTGGATGAGTTTTAGTAGTTGCCTAATAGCTTGTGTGACTACCACCCCGCTCAAGATATAGACTATTTCCGTCATCCACTCTCAGAAATTTTCCTTGCATGTCTTTCTAACAAATCTCCTATGGGCCCAAGAAATCATTTTCTGAGTTATGCTACCATAAACTAGTTTTCCCTGTTGTTAGATTTTATATAAGTGGAATCATATAGAGCCTTTTCATGTCTGGTTTCTTTTGCTCAGCAAAATGTTTTGAGATTCATTCATGCTGCTACATATATATCAGTAGTTCATTCCCTTTTTTTTTTTTTTTTTTTTTTTTTTTTTTTTTTTTTTTTTTTTTGCTGGTAGTACTTCATTTTATGCCTCTACCAACATTTTTTTATCCATTCTCTTGTTATAGACTTGGGTTGTTTCCAGTTTTAGGCTATAGTGAAGTAAGGGTGCCAAGAACATTCTTCTAAAGGTTTTGTGCATTTTGTTTTTCTTTTTCACACCTGTTTTCACTTCCATTGGAAATGAAATACATGGATGTAGTATAAAATTAAAAATATAATTCTATTTGGACCCAGCTGAGGATAGAAATGTGTGCAAATTTACAAGAAATTGCCAAACAGTTTTTCCAAGTGGCTATATCGTTTTCCATGTCCACTACGCAATATGTGAGAATTCTAGTCATTCCACATCCTTGCCAGCATTTGATATTATTCTTTTTTATTTCAGTCATTCTAGTGGGTATTACCTATTATTTTATTGTTGTTTCAGTTTTCACTTTCTATATGACTATTATGGCTTAGCTTATTATTAGACTATTATGGCTTAGCTTATTGGCTTCTGAAATAATAAAGTGAATAAAGACAAATAACCTAATAAAAAGTGAGCCAAAGACTTGAACACTTCACAAAAGCAGATATTCTTCTAATACATTACATGATATATCTATTCATTTACCTAGGCCTTTAAAAATTTCTCTTAGTGCTCACTTTGGCAGCATGTATACTAAAACTGGAACAATACAGAGAATATTAGCATGGCCCTTGCACAAAAATGATATGCAAATTTGTGAAGCATTCCATATTTTTTAAAAAAGGAAGAAAAGAAATAATAAAATAAAAAGTCTCTTAGTAATGTTTTGTAGCTTTGGATGTTGAGGTCTTTTACTATTTCTTAGATTTATTCCTAGATAATTGTTGTTTTTTATGCTATTGCAAATGTCATTGTTTTATTTTTCAATTATTCGTTGCAAGTGTATAAAAATACAACTGACTTTTATATGTTGATATTCCATCCTGAGAACTTGCTGAATTTGCTTTTTAAATCAAGCAGATTTTTGGTGATCCCTTAGGATTTTCATGTTGTTTATGAATAGTGACAATTTTACTTCTTTTCTAATCCTTATAGCTCTTAGTTCTCTTTCCTGTCTTATTGTAATGTTAATGTGAAAAGTTACATTGACTGAATTTTGAATATTAAACCAATTTTTGCATTCTTGGGATAAACCCTGCTTGCTCATAATGTATTATCCTTTTTATATATTACCGAATTCGATTTGCTAACATTTTGATAAGGCTTCATAAATGAATTGAAAAGTGTTCCCTCCTCCATTTTCTGAAATAGTTTATATAAAATTGTGTATTTATTTCTTACATGCTTGGTAGAAATCACCCTGAAGGCATCTGGGCCTACTCTTTGTTTTTGTAGAAAGATTTTGGTTTATGGATTCAGTTTATTTCGTAAATATAGAGTTATTCATATTTTAAAAGTCTTGTTGGGTCAGTTTTGGTAAATTGTATTTTTTAGGGAATGCTTCCATTTGGTCTAACTTATCAAATTCATTAGCATAAAACTGCATATAATACCCTCTTGTTATGCTTTTAATGTTTATAGTATCTATAGTGACATCCCTTCTAATTATTCCTAATATCGATAAGTTTTCTATCTTCTTATTTTGATATATCTTTCCAGTATTCTATTGATGTTTTAAATCTCTTCTAAGAATCAGTGTTTTGGCTCATTGATTTTCTTTGTTTTCTATTTCATTAATTTGTGCTATTTATTGTTTCTTTTCTTCTAATAACTTTGGGTTTTCTAGCTTCTTAAGGTAGGCGCTTAGGTCATTGATTTTAAATATTTCTTATTTCATAAAGCAAACATTTAAAGTTATTAATTTTTTTGAAACACTGCTTTATCTGCAGCCCATATATTTTGATACCTTGTGTTTTTATTTAGTTCTCAAAATATTTTCTAACTTCTCCTGTGATTTCTTTTGCCCATGGGTTATTTATAAGTGTATTGCTTAATTTTCAATATTTGAGGATTTTCTATCATGTCTTTTTGTTATTTATTCCTAAATTAATACTGCTTTGGTCAGAGAACTAATATGATTTTAATCATTTGAAATTTATGGATTTGTTTTATGGCCCAGGATCAGGTCTGTCTTGAACATTCCATATGCTCTCAAAAAGAATGTATATTGTGTGCTTTTTGGATGTAATGTTCTATAAGGTCAAAGGTTTAGTTGGCTAATAGTGTTATCACATCTTTGATATCTTTATGGAATTTGTTTTACTTGTTCTACCAATTGCTGAGAGAAGGATGCTAAAATCTCCAGATATAATTATCAATTTTTCTATTGCTGCTATTTCTCTGTCAATTTTTACTGAATGTATTGTGAGGCTCTTTTAAAGTCTCTTTTTAAATTTACAATCTCCCTTCTATTCCTTTTCATTTAAATTGCAACATATTTGCAGAAGAAACTGGGTTATTTGTTCTGTCCAGTTTTCCAGATTCTAGGTTTAACAATTACATCTGTATGGGGTCATTTAATGTTCACCATTCCTCTGTATTTCTTGTAAACTGGTAGTAGTTTACTAGTAGTAGTTAGATCTAGACTCTTTTTCAGACTCCACTTCAACTTTTTGGAAATCATATTTCATAGGCAATATCTATAAGTTTATTTCCTTCAGGAGTCCCAGAATGTCATTTGAAAAATTATCAGCAGCTATTGATGATCATTCTAGATTCATTATTTCATTGAGGCTTATAAAATGGAGTATTCTAGTTCTGTGAATTCTTCTTCATTAGTTAGATGGAATACTGCTATAAAGAGAAACTTCCTCTTATCAACTATTTGCTTTCTCTGAAAAATAGTTTGTATAGGAAAGGGAGGATAAATGTCAGATTTTTCCCCTTATGAATTTTAAAAATAATAAATTGGTTTCCTACTATCCCCCAAGGGTGACTGAGATTTTTAAAAAATTCTTACGAACTCATGGATTTAAAGGTTTGCTGTTATTTCATAGCATTATCGTTAGTATTATTATTGATGCTCAAATTGTCCCATTTTTATCCAGCCGGAGCCCCCTTAAGTTCCTCCTGATTTTAGCCTTGGCTGCATATTGGACTCACTTGCGGGGTGGGGGAGCTTTCAAAAATACCAATACCTCAGTCCCCATCACCAGAACTCTGAGTTAATTAGGCTGTTGAGTGGCCCAGTTATCAGGATTCCATAAATTTCCTCTGTTGATTTTAAGGTGCAGTCACAATTGAGAGCCATGGATGTAATAGTTTTAGAATAGCAACTCTAAGCCATAATGAATAATATAATGGCCTAACACAGTTAAAAATATTATTCTTTGTTGTTCTTTTTTCTTGGGTGTATCTCAGTAGGAATGTATGTTAAATTACTGTGTTAAATATTTTGTGACATGTTTCCTCTGTGTGGTAATGTCACAAACTTGATATACAGTTAGGTTCCATTTATTTCATTTTGCAATTGATTTTGAGGAGTTTTTTTTTCTAATTTAACTTTATATTTATGTGGAATATTTATGTGTTCCAAAGTGAAATCTATACATCAAAATATGTTTAAAGTAGCCTGACTTGTATCTCTGTCTTCTCTACCCTGTTTTCTCCCTCTCCTAGGAGTAATTTTTTGGCTTTGATTTATCCTTTAATTTTAGTATATGTACTGCTGAAACAAGCACAATTCTTTTCTTTTAAAAAAATGAAATAAAGTCCCCACTTCTTAGATAAATAGGAGCAAATTATAAAGACTTTTCTCCATCTAGATCCCATTTTGGTAGCACATATCTTAGTAACGCCTTCTTCAAGGACTGGTGAAATTGCGTGTTTACATGGACACACAGAGGAGAACAACACACAGTGGGGCCTATTGGAGGGTGGAAGGTGGGAGGAGGGAGAGGATCAGGAAAAACAACAAATGGTTTAATGGGTACTAGGCTTGATACCTGGGTGATGAAATAATCTGTACAAGGAACCCCCATGACACAAGATCACCTATGTAACAAACCTCCACATGTACATCTGAACTTAAAAGTTTTTTAAAAAGCATTACCGGCCAGGCGCGGTGGCTCACGCTTGTAATCCCAGCACTTTGGGAGGCTAAGGCAGGTGGATCACGAAGTCAGGCGATTGAGACCATCCTGTCCAACATGGTGAAACCCGTCTCTACTAAAAGTACAAAAAATTAGCTGGGCATGGTGCTGCGTGCCTGTAGTCCCAGCTACTCGAGAGGCTGAGTCAGGTGAATTGCTTGAACCCAGGAGGTGGAGATTGCAGTGAGCTGAGATCACACCACTGCACTCCAGCCTGGTAACAAAGCAAGACTTCGCCAAAAAAAAAAAAAAAAAAAAAAGGAATTACCATTACCTTTATTAAATTTCTGAAATCAGATCCGCAATCTGCAATGTTATAAAGATTACATTTGAATCCTTTCGTGTTGTCTTCATTTGAATCTATACATCATAGCAATTTGATATTGTCATTATATTGTCAGTATGATACATTATCCTCAAATTCAGGTATTTGCAACATTACATAAAAATAGAGTGTTTATTTGAACCGCGTCTAATCGGGAGAGAGATAAGAAATACCCATCACAGTATCAAGGAGTTTCTTAGCTTAATTACAATATAAACGCCTTTCCATGTATTGAATTAAGCCAGTGTCAGATCTGTGTGTCTGAGAGTAGAAAATTATCAAATACAATTTTAAACTCCATTTGTTTTTGAGACATTTATGAGATTTGGAGCTAGTTTTAGCTTTAGGCAAGTGGGTATAGAGGAAGGTGCCTGATAAATGATATAGCTTCCTTCTCTGATGATTTTTGAGGATTATTTTTATTGTGCATATTTCACAATTATATATGCATTCTATTTTTTTCTACAGTCACAGGATTTGATCTGTGGGGCGCGGTAGTGGCAACGGGGGTGGTCTGCACATTCTACTGCACACTGGTACGTCCAGGACATATTTCCCTTTTCACTCTACCCACTTGCTTTGCAAAATTGAAAATTCCAGTTGTTGTATACCGCAATCTTGTTTGTCCACACTTACTCTCCTATTCCCAACCTCCTGCAGTGTAACTTTTTTTGTGTGAGAAATAATCTGTAGTATAATTTGATCCTTTGTAGAAAATGGAGCATAACTGAAATTTTTTCTTTTATCTGATCCATTGCAATGGTTCCTAATCTTGTCTCTTGATTCATCTGTACTGTTGCCAAGTTATTATATTTGTGCTCATACTATTCCTCAGCTTAAAAACCTATCATAGGTCATAGGCACAGTGGCTCCCACCTGTAATACCAGCAATTTGGGAGGCCGAGGTGGAAGGATCACTGGAGCCCAGGAATTTGAGACCAGCCTGGGCAACAAAGTGAGACTCTGTCTCTACAAAAAAACAAAAAAAATTTTTTAAAATTAGGAGGCATGGTGGCATACACCTGTAGTCCCAGCTACTCAGGAGGCTGAGGTGGGAGGATCGCCTGAGCCCAGGAATTTGAGGCTGCAGTGAGCTGTGATTGCACCACCGCACTCCCGCTTGGGCAGCAAAGAAAACCCTGTCTCAAAACAAAAACAAATCTGTGATAACTTCCCCTTGCTTATAGGTAGGGGTGACAAAATATGCAAAATCAGTATGGCATGGCACTGATATTATTATGTGTGCTGGTCCGAGGCAGTGAGAAAATCTTATGGAATCCTTGACACTCTATGTCTTAACCCTTTAGGTGCTGGATCTTGTAGAAGATGGGGCCCTCAGCCAGGTGCTGGTTCTGCTTAGGTCATAGAGAAACTTGGGAAATTTCTTGTGGTGGCTAGTACAGATCACTTATAGTATATAACAGTGGAAATGACCATCTGAGTGAAAACCAATTAAATATCACCTCTGCCTGTAGGATAAAATTCATATTATTTACTAGTAATTTGACTCGGATTTTTCTTCCCAACAATCTCCCGACACCACTCCACTTTATTCTGTGGAATGTATCTGGCCCCATTCAGCATGCCATGTAGTTTCACTCCTTTATGTTTTTGCCCATGCTGTTTTCTCTGCTGGGCGGAACCTCCATCTTTGCCTCTGCTTATGTTTGAAGACTTGATTTAAATATATCCTTCTGTATGAAGATTCTCCCAACCTGACTGTTTCCCTTGAGTGCACTTCTTAGCCAACATTCATGTTTATATCATTTTTCTCCAGTATAGTGTATAAGTGTGTAGATGCTTAATAATGTCTAATAGAAGCATTAATCCTAATATACTTTCCCCTCAAAGGGTGGTCTTAAAGCAGTTATCTGGACAGATGTTTTTCAAGTTGGGATCATGGTGGCTGGATTTGCATCCGTGATTATACAGGCTGTGGTGATGCAAGGTGGAATCAGCACTATTTTAAATGATGCCTATGATGGTGGAAGATTAAATTTCTGGAAGTAAGTGTCTAGTACTTGGGTAACTGAACACATCTTTTGTATTCTATAAAAATAATCTCTTTATTGAAATAGTAGATTTACATTAAAAAACAAGCCAACAAATTGCTAAGGATGTGGTAGAGCAAATTGAAGCAGAGAAGTAAATACGTAAGGAGCCTCCCTCTGTTCTTTAAGGGATTAAACCTGTCAGATGGTACTTAGCTACATGGTGCTTAGAGCAATGTTTCCTTCTGAGAAGGGACTTAAAGCAAAAAAAGTATTTTCTTCCAGGTATTAAAGTCCAGAATAGGTTGAAAAGTGGGACAGGGTGATAAGGAAAGAGACAGTGGAAAGTTAAGAAAAGGCAGCTTCTGGCCAGGCACAGTGGCTCACACCTGTAATCCCAGCACTTTGGGAGGCCAAGGTGGGTGGATCACCTGAGGCCAGGAGTTCGAGACCAGCCTGGCCAACATGGCGAAACCCCATCTCTACTAAAAATACAAAAAATTAGCCAGGTGTGGTGGCAGGCACCTGTAATCCCAGTTGCTTGGGAAGCTGAGGCAGGATAATTGCTTGAACCCAGGAGGCAGAGGTTGCAGTGAGCCGAGATCACGCCACTGCACTTCAGCCTGTGCAACAGAGTGAGACTCTGTCTCAAAAAAAAAAAAAAAAAAGAGAAAAGGTAGCCTCTTAAGAGACAAACACTAGCATATTGGATTAGCACCTGCCATAAAAAAAAAAAAGAGACAGAGACAGACACTGAAAGACAGTGATTTCATTTTGACAATTCTTTGTTTTAAGCAACTTTGAGAGTTTCTCTTTTGATATTGCCCTGGCAATCTATAGTATATTAACATAGTAGCTTATGATTATGTATTATAATTCTATGTATGTGTATGTATTATATAATGAACATTATCTAATATGAAGTATTATTTCTAGAGAATTGACTAGGAAAGTTACAGTCTATGCTTCAAATGACAGTACAGCACATGATGTAACATGTTTTAAGCAGTTATTCAGTTTTCCTAAAGAAAGAACAATGAAGAGACTAGATATTTCATCCCAAGTATATCACACAATTCAAAAGAATATTGAAAACGCCTTCCGTTTTGGATCAATAGTGTTGTCCTTTTGCAATATGGAAAGGGACAACCCATGTTGTCTTGAATTAGCCTATCTTCTCTTTGAGATCGCAGCCCCGCTTTAACATAGGCAGTTTGAAGAAAAAAAAACCCATTTTGCACTTGGTGGCTCTTTTCTGGTCTTCTGAAAATAAGCACCAAAGTTTGAGAAAAAGCTTTTTCAGAAATTGGACAGGGTCAATGTGTTAATTTACAGGGATAAATTTTAGTGAATCAACTTTGACTATTTTCAATATTTCTTTCCTTCTTTTAGCTCAAGATTCAGATTCTAAGGAAAAGAGGCTCTAGTTGCCTAGCTTGGACCTTGGTTCCACCCCTTGGCCAGGGCAGAACAAGATATTTTGACTGATCGTCAATTGAGACTATTTAATGGAGAAATGGTAGTTTCCCCAAAGCAAACCTGGGTTGCTTTTACCAGAACAGGGAGGGGGGAAGTCCAGGAAGTGGAAACAACCAATGACTACTCTTGATTGCTCCCAAATCTCTTCCTGGTAGGCCAGGCTGAGGAGAGAGGGTATGGAACCAATCATTTTTCTGCAAGATAGCTGTCACTTTATATGAAGGATACATATATTGGAGCACAGAAGTGATAGCTTATACACATTAGTAAGAGATTTTTAAAAAAAGATTAAACATTTTTATGACCTTAGTTTTGAAAGTCATTAAGTAACAATAAAAAGCCTTATTTGTGTTTCATACTTTTCAAGAGTATCCCTTGTTATTCTGATATGTTTTGAGAATATGATAGACAAAGTATTGCTCAAGTTAAGATAAATGAAGAGAAGAAGGATATTGTATTGGTATTTTCTGTGTCGTCTGCCATTGGCCTATGTATTCTGTATGGCCTAAACCACTAAAGTGAGTGTTTTAAATCTTGTCATACTTCCCTCAGATAGCTTACTGGCTCCTTTTGGCTCTTCAGTTAGCTAATATAGTAGCTTCTCTCTCTTGGGGAGAAAGGGTCAACAGTCTTGAAACTCTTACACTTTGATATGAAATGTTAGACATGAAATAGAGGCTCTCACATTTCCATAAGAATGCCAGAATACACATACAATTAGAGCACTTAACTGATCTCAAATATAAGATTTGAAATGAATTTGCAAAATTTCATAATTTTAAGGAAGTCTCCATGAAAGCTAACTTTGCAGAAAGTTTTCTAGCTCATATTGTATATCAGAGATGAACAAAATCATTCCTTCCAGTAAAAAAGATTAAAAGATCTTTCAAACATGGAAGTTGAGCTTTCCCTGTGACAATGTTTTGGACTTATGTACATGATGTCATAAAGTGGCTTTAAACTATTAGTATTTAGCTTGCACGCACAGCATTTTAATAAAGCATGATTACAATGACATGCAGTTTTTAGAAAATGCAAAACTTGAAACTGCATTAATTGACTGATTTGTTGAACGTGAATATAGATTAGAACTATGATTACATGTGCTGGGAGAGGAATTCTATACACAAAATGTGTTGATTTCGTGTTCATTTTAGTGCCATCTCGTCTGCTGTGGTGCACTTAGGAATGTTTTTCTCTTTCTCTTTCTCTATGTTTCATGTTCTTCTCTGATTATATCATGTCAGATTTGTTTAAATGACAGTTTCCTTAGATCACAGGAGAACAAGTTATATAAATGCTCAGAAGGATTGCAACATTCATTTCCCCCAGTCTCTTCTAGTATTTTCAGATCTCTGAAAATAGTATTTTTTATTTCATTGAACTTAAGTTGGAAATATTTCTACCTTTTAAATTAATTAATAAATTTTTACATATTTATGTATGTGTTGTGTATATAAATGTGCATTGCTTGCTTCCAAATATAGTCTAAGAGAATTTTTTTTAGTCTCTGCTAATAGTTCAGATTTGTTTTCTGTTTCTTGTCATTTAGTTTTAATCCTAACCCTTTGCAAAGACACACCTTCTGGACAATTATTATAGGAGGGACCTTCACATGGACCAGCATCTACGGTGTCAACCAATCCCAGGTGCAGAGATATATTTCTTGTAAAAGCAGATTCCAGGCAAAACTGTAAGTCACACACCATGGTATATGAATCATTAATAACCATCAGTTGTCTTTATGGAAACTCTTTCATAAGTCACGTTTAGCTCCTTTATGTCTTTTGTGTCATGAAATTCCAAGAGATAAATGATATATTTGGTTACAAAAGGACCAAGAACAAATTGTTACTGTATGTTTTAAATCAGCTATTTGAAAATATTTATAGGAATTATTAATGAAAACAAATCAGCATTTATTGTGCATCTGTTTGCATAAGAACCCATGGGGGATAAATATATATGGCTTTTGTCTGAAGAAAATTAACCTCAAATTAGGAAAATACATGCAAGTATGTGAAAAAATAAAATAATACTGGAGATATGTAACAGTTTCATGAAATGATATAGCAATAGAGAAAATGTTCCAGAGTACATATAGTGCTTTATATTTCATTTTCAGACACAGTCATGGATTTATAACCCTGCTCTAATATTTGCTATTTGAGTGATCCTGGGCACATTCTGCAGTCTCTTTGAGCTGCAGTTTCTAAACTTGTAAAAGGAGCATAAGAAATACTATACACCTCATGGGAGGTGTCGTAAAATACTGTGTTTGGCATACGCATGGTAAAGGCCTAGTATATGTAAGTTCCTTTTTCCACTTCAACTGATGTGATGTGAAGGTGGAGGATGGATGAGAGATTCCTATTGAACTGGCAGAATGAATATGAAGAATGATCATAATTTGGGCAGGTGGAGAAGAGTAGGAAGGCATTCTAGGTAGGTGGAGTGATTTGGATGAACGCACAGAGGTAGGAAGGACAGCATGGTCCAGAACTCTCAAGCCCATCTTGGCTTGAGCAAAGAGTGTGGAATGGTGGCTGGTTCCTTCTCTGGAGGCCTCACATCACTGCAGTGCTCACCACTCCCTGTGCTGATAAATAGGCTGACTCTGCTGACATGCTTTTAGGGGCTTTAAAGCTCTAAGGAGATTGAATAAGAGTCCAGGGTGGATAGGGTGAGGGAAGGAGGACAATTCTATTTCTATTTAAAGGAGAAAATGAAAATATTGTGATGTCATATGTCAGAACTCAATATATTGAGAGTAAATTGGTTTAGAGATTACCTAAATCTTTGAAGAACTCACAGTGAAAAATCTATATGAATATGGATATAATAACCAGATATGGGATCCCCCCAAAATGAACTTAGGAATTCTGGTATTTTACGGAATATTGGAGGAATGTAATTTATAGATAGAGTAGTCTATTGTACTTTTAAATCTATACTAGAGCTGATACCTCTCCCAGAGTAATTGTGGACAAGCTCTTCTTCTCTTCCCTTGGGAACATGAAACCCAAAAAGCCCGACTTGATAACTTAAATAGCAGCATTAGAGCTTTCTTGATAAAAATCAATTCCCATAAGCATAGTAGATCTCCTGCATGAAGCAGACTCTCGAAACCCAGGGGACTCATTTTCGTCTGCCTTCTCACACTTACGCTATGGTAAGAATGAATCCCTGCTAAAAAACCAAGACCTACTGACATTGATTGACAAAAGACAGTATGAGATGTTGATAAGTGGTCAATCTGAATAGCATCAAAGTGAAATAAAACAATATATTAAACTCATATATAAGAGACAGGAGGTGTTTGGACAAGAGAGTATCTGGGCATAATTTTCTGGTGATTTGGAGATGAGCTAGCAATAGCAAAACATACTGCAATGTTAGTCAATTCAAGGGAGAAGGATAAATCTGATAAACCCACCTTTGATTCTTCCGGAAGCAGACTCTGAGGTTGAGGTTAGCATGGAAGAGTTTATCAGAGAATCGCTATATGTAGAAGGGAAGAAAAGGAAACAGGATTGACGAGAGGGAGACGCTGGACTGTAATGCAGTCTGAACAGAGGCCTCAAAGGGAGCTCTAGAGCTAGGGTGGCTCTTCAGACTAGTCCCATGTTAGGGTGAGGGGACTGGGCCTTTAAACCTCTGAATCCATTTGTCATTGGATGCAGACTTCCTGCGGGGGTTGGGAAGAAGGAGGCATGACTTCAGGGATGGTACCTCTTTTCCACCTCGGGCAGCTCATCACTGTCCACTACAGCACCAGTGGAAAAAATATGTAGCCATCTTAGCAAGAGAAATGTTTACTATTCAACTGATTATTAAGACATAGGATTCAATAACACTAACACTAATATCAATAACTAGTATTTAACAGGGGTTTATTATGTGTAAGTACCATGCTATATGATAATATACTGTTTCATTTAGTTTTATAACTTTGTGACATAGGCATTGCTATCCTACACTTCAGTGAAGAAACTGAAGATCAGAGAGGTTGAATTACTGGCCCAGGGTCACTTATGGTACAGCCAGGATTTATGCTCAGGACTGGCTCCAGTGCTGTGTGTAAACCTTTATTCTCTACTGGAGCACACACAGTATATTACAGTGCTGAATATTGTTTGAGAAGATACCTGTCCAAGGAATACAGATTTGCATTCCTACTTAATGTGTGGTCTTATAAACAACATTTAAACAAGTTTCATGAGTTACTGTGTAAATGTTAACAATGTTTAGCAGTTTACAATTGCATTACTTTTAAAAGGAAAATGAGTAATAGTTAATGCTCGATTGACTATTAAAATCTTTATTTCATGACAAGAAGACCTGAAGTAGTATAACTAGGTACCTTTATAAAGCTAACAATGCCCCTGGAGCTCCGACCACGAGCATACACTCTTTCATGGGGAAATCCCATCCATTCAAATATTTCCAAATACACTGTCGATTGATTGGTATCATAAGCAGAATATTAGGCTAGAATAAAATAAGTAGAGTTTTCGATAATCAAAAGATAATGTACATTTATTGAGTCTAATCATGAAGGTCTCTTTTGATCATGTAACAGGTTTCCTAATCTTTGGGACAGAAATTACAGTTGTCTTTTGCTGGTTTGTTTTCACTTCTTTAGGTCTCTCTACATCAATCTTGTGGGACTCTGGGCAATCCTCACATGCTCAGTGTTTTGTGGGCTCGCCCTATATTCCAGGTACCATGACTGTGATCCTTGGACAGCCAAGAAAGTGTCTGCACCAGACCAGGTTCAGTACCATGTCTTTCTTACAGGTGTATTAATAATATTCAAAAAGCTTATTAGTTGAGAGGAAAGAGCATTCATATTCTTGTAGAGAAACGGAAAGTGGACATGCCATCATCATCTTACATTTCTATAAAACTTTGTTAAGAATTTATTTTAGCAGATATAGCAAGAATGAAGAGTACTGCATCTAAAATGAAAATATGGAAATACCAGGAAAAAATCAAGCAGAGTGTTAAATAGGAATAGCTCAAGGTTGGGAGTAGGAATGTGAACACAGTTTTTTGTTGTTGTTGTTGTTTGTTTGTTTGTTTTTTAAACTACACAAACCATTGTACTATAGAACATTTTGTGGGTGTTTGTTAGAGCATTCATTTATAAGCAATTTATCTTCCAATTTTTTAAATGATGGAGAGATGGATCCAATAAGTGAATATTTACTGAGTACCAACTATGTGGTGAGATTCTGTGCCAAGAGCTTAACATGCTTCATTTAATTCTCACAACCCTGCAATCCTGATTTTACAGATGAGGAAATGCTTCTCAGAGAGGTTATATAACTTACCCAAGGTCACATTGCTAATAAGTAAGAATAACTATGAGCAGTTATCAAATACCCACCATGGGCCAGGCACTACCATAATGCTTCATATAAATTTCAACTTTTAATCTTCACAGTCACCCTCTGATGTAGGTTCTATGATTATCTGCCTTTCAAAGATGAGAGAACTCAGGCCTAGAGAAGTTAAGTGAATAACTAGCTAGTAACCTGGAGCCAGGATTTAAAACCAAGCAAGCTGCCACCAGAGTCCTAACTTTGAACCTCTGTGCCATTTATTGTCTTTCAAAAAGGGGAACTAGAATTCAAACACAGGATTGCCCAACCCTAAAGCCTGAGTTCTTGCCAAAATTATTTTCTAAGACTCACTTGCGGAACAAGTTCCTAGGGGATTCATTAGAATGAAAATAGATTGAATTTCTGTTGATGCAAATGCATCTCATGCTCCCAGAAAAATACAACTTGGTGGGCCGAGAAAATAAAAACACCCTGGAGCTGTTTCTCAACCCTATCTTAACTTATGCCCTCCTTTTGATAAACACACCCTCTCTGTTCTCTCAGAGAAGGTAAGAATCACGTTTACTATGAAGATGGAGGCACACTTGTTACATCCCCTCTAATAAAGAATATTTTGTGACTGTTATCAATCTGTATTGTCTGTAGTTTGTATCATGAAGACAATAACGACTTTAAAAAAAAGTTTGTAATATACTTTGCCTTTACCCTGGGCCAAAAAAAAAAAAAAAAAAATCCCTACGGCTTCCTACCTTTGAGACATCTTGTAGAATACATTCAGGGTGTCTTGCTTGCATACGCTTAGAGAGTCCGTGAAGATTTCTCCCCAACTGATATATTTCCAGGACTGTGTTAGTTAACAAGTTAATTCAATTAACACTTCACTGGGGATACCATGCAAATAAGACAGTGGAAGATCGTGTCAAAACCTTATCCTCGCTCAGTCGTGGTGGCTCACGCCTGTAATCTTAACACTTGGGAAGGCTGAGGCAGGCAAATCACTTGAGGTCAGGAGTTCGAGACCAGCCTGGTCAACATGGTAAAATCCGTCTCTATTAAAAATACAAAAATTAGCCGGGCGTGGTGGTGGGTTCCCATAATCCCAGCTACACAGGAGGCTGAGGCAGGAGAATTGCTTGAACCTGGGAGGTGGAGATTGCAGTGAGCCGAGATCGAGCCACTGCACTCCAACCTGGGTGAGAGAGGGAGACTGCCTTAAAACAAACAAACAAAAAATACAAAAAAACCCCTTATCCTCAAGAGAGCAAGGATATGTTTCTCTATGCTCTGCTGGCATTTGCCCAGAGGAAGCAGGCCAGTTTCTAGATATAGTTTTACTATTTTCCTCTCCATCAATCCTATTTCATTGGTTCTACCTATACTTGAGGGGGCCACTCAGATACGAAATAATTACACCACAGATTTTTGAGAAAGTTGAAGATAGGATAGAGGATTTTGGACCTTTTTATAACACTATAGATGGAACCTACTTTTGCTATTTGTGGGACATTGTTTAAAGTTAAACCTTTATGATATCTTGGAAAAATTGGGTCTTGATCTCATATAGGGATAAATGCTATTCCGTTTTTCTGAGAATAAAGATTGAGTAAGCTTTGGAAAAGTGGAGAACACAGTCCTAAAAGAACTGAAACAATCCTAATGTTGAAACATTTCTTTTCAACAGTGGAGGAAGTTCTTCCATATCCCATGAGCACACTATTGTTAAATGAAATTGAAGAGGCTATGGAAGCCGATAAAATAGGACATGTCATCTACTCTGTACTGTGGGAGAAGTAATCAATAAGGTTTTAGTGCAAATGAGAGGACACTCTTCGAGAAAATTGTCCACTTAGGACTCTTTTGATTCGGAAACTGATTTTGTAGAAAAACTGCCATGCAACAGAGTCCTGAAGTCACACACTTGATTATCCTAATTTGATATTTATTTTTTAAAATATAAGTTATCAAAAAGCAAGTTAGTATCAGGAAGTTTTTTAACAGAAGCAAGTTTAAGGGATTTCCTGAAGTCATTCTCCACCCATCATTATGTCTCGTACCTGATGCACCTAAAATTACATCTTCTGTCCTGGGCAGTGACTGAAGTTCACAAAATGGCCTTGAGTCATCAAGTAAAGTTAAGTGGATGCTGCTTACTTAAGCACAGAGGTGTGTCAAATATTTCCTTAAAGACAACTTATTATTCTCAAGAATAGCAACTACTTTGTTTTGAGCATTTATTATATTCCATATACTATACTATGAGTTTTACATAAATTATCTAAATTAACTTTTACAGCAACTCTATGAGGTTAGTATTATTACAACTATTCTATAGATGAGGAAACTGAGGCTCAGAACTTCAGTTACAAAAGCCGTATCTGTGTGAATCCAAAGCCTCTTTACTTAACTACTGTGCTATTCGTTTCTCTAAGTGTTAGTAGTTAAACAGTTTAATTTTAGGTATTTGAAAATTTCATTTGTGTGGAATAACTCCTTTCAGTTCCCGAAGGAGACAAGACAAATGATAAACTAGGCATTCATTAATTTTATTCAGTAGCGAAAGTACTTGGAAATAAATTTTGGAATTTTTCAGCTCATGCCTTATTTGGTACTGGACATTCTGCAAGATTATCCAGGACTTCCTGGACTTTTTGTGGCCTGTGCTTACAGTGGGACATTAAGGTATGAACTATGACTCTAATAACATATGATTTCCCTGTTGGGATCTTTCTTTTATTATTAGATACTTTAGCGGGATAATGTGGAGTTCTGGGCACAGACACAGATGGCCCAAAGTAGGCAATCTGCTGTATGTGTCCTCTCTGTGGTCTGACTTATCTCTGTGGACTAGCGTCCTGTTGTCATCGGCTCCACTTTTAACTAGGTCCCTGCTCTCTAATACACCACCATACATCCTATGATGTGATACCTATGGTCACAATAATGACGATCGGTTGATGGTAGCTTTCACTGGTGATCAAAAATGGGTGCCACAGTCTTGATTGAAAACACACATGGGGCTGAAGCGTGGTCAACTGGAAAATTAGAATGAAATCTTCCATTTACATGTTGAATAATATATACTGCCCAAAGAATCTTACATTTTGTGATCTATCATTGCCCTTTCTCCTTGCGTTTGTTCCAGAGAATTGTTATTATCAACATGTACAGTGTGTGTTAGTGGGGATTCAGGAAATTAATATTGTTGATATTTACAGCACATGGTAGGGAGGACTTATGACAGTCCTTTCTATGCACAAAGAAAAATACATTTTAAAGTTGTTATGCATAGGAATACGGAGTAATCTATGTAGACTCTTTTAGACACTGAGGATTAACAGCAAGTGGAAGCAACATGAACATATCCTTTCTCTTTTACTGTCAAGCCTGTAGATATTGCCTGAATATCATTTTTGGATGATAACAGTTTCAAGAAAGACAGTGCTGTGATTATTAAAAATAGCATAGTAGAGCCTGGTGTAGTGGCTCACGCCTGTAATCCCAGCACTTTGGGAGGTCAAGGCGGGTGGATCATGAGGTCAGGAGATCGAGACCATCCTGGCTAACACAGTGAAACCCTGTCTCTACTAAAAATACAAAAAATTAGCCAGGCTTGTTGGCGGGCGCCTGTAGTCCCAGCTACTTGGGAGGCTGAGGCAGGAGAATGGCGTGAACCCGGGAGGCAGAGCTTGCAGTGAGTCGAGATCATGCCATTGCACTCCAGCCTGGGCGACAGAGCGAGACTCCGTCTCAAAAAAAAAAAAAAAAAAAAAAAAAAAAGCATAGTAGAAATCAGGTTATATTTTAGAAGTGACAATTTGTTTCCCCCTTTCTCATTCCCACTTAAAGTATTATTAAAGGTAAAATATTATAAATCAAAAGTTTTATTTTCCCTTACAGCACAGTGTCCTCCAGTATTAATGCCTTAGCAGCAGTAACTGTGGAAGATCTAATCAAACCTTACTTCAGATCGCTCTCAGAAAGGTCTCTGTCTTGGATTTCCCAAGGAATGAGTAAGTTTCTGTTTTCATAATTCCATTTTAGCTCAGAGAGATGATTTTTTGAGACACAAAAATTTCTTTTCCACTGAAGCTACAGAGGAAGGACCTCTGAATATGACTGGATATCCACATATGTATGCCTATGACAATGCAGATTTTTAAAAAATGTTTGTATCAATGTTTAATGTTACCATATCTGTAATCAAGATTTGGGAGACACTTCAAACAATTAATTGTCAGTGAACCACAAAGGACAATTTCCAGGGGACCGATTTAGCTGTCCTTTTTTCCTGTGCCTTCATCCTATCCTAAATTTGTGTTAAAATTCTTAGCCACACACACAAAAAATTCAACTATTTTCCTTTTCAACTGTAGTCCACAGTTCTAAGAAATATCCCTAGTTTGTAACCAAGAGCCACACTTTTTCTGTTACCTAAGAAGGCACTGTCAGTTTCAGTTATGTTGTCTTCCCATAAACACTTCCCAAATGTTTACAGAGGATTAGATTAAATTAGATTAATAGATTAGATGAATTGAAGATAAAGAAACAGAGTGTTATGAATTTTGACTCGTCTTAGTTGTCTGTTCTGTCTGCTTATGTACACTGTCCTGGAGATGAACTATAAATTTGTGCAAGAAATTCTCAACTTCTGTTCTGTTCAATCGTAGAGCCTCATTAGGGGTTAAATACCAGCTTGAATAGAGTGGTTTAAGCATCTTCAGTTCCCAGATGTCTCAAATGTAATATCCAACTCAAAGAAATCTTGCCAATGTACTGCATTCTTCATTTTGACACCTTGAAATGCATGACTAACAAATTCCTTTTCGAGAAAGAATCTTTAACCTCAACACAATAACATCAATAGACTGTCAAAGAAATAGTAAATTATACCCCATTAGTAGCCATAATTCTATGTAAAATTGCCACAACTGTAGCCTGAAATGAGTCCTTAATTTATATCCTTCAGTATTCCCTAAATTTAAATAGCAATGCATCATTTTATTATGTACCCAATTTTAATCCTGGAACATAATTTCAGAATGATGCAATGCTTCCTAAAGGGTTTTTAGACTGGTTCATTATGGGATTATTGAAGCTGTGTGGTTTAGTAGAATGAATAGATGAATAGATGCTTTTGAAGCCAGACAAACCCAGTCTTGCTTTGTTAATTTACTAGCTGTTAACCTTGAGAAAATCCAGTTACCCATACAAGCCTCTATTTCTCTATATAGGAAATGGGCACACAAATACTTTGCAGAATTGGGTTTTGAGATAATGCATATAAAACGGGAGGCACTGGCTGGTGCTCATGGAATGATGTTGATGAATGACAAATCAACTCTGCTAATATAGACGAGACTTTCATTCATTTTAAAGGGTACTATGAAATCACAATCTTGAAGTATATGCAGTAAGGACATAGAGAAGAATGTGGCAGATGATTTGAATGTGTTTCCAATAACTTTGAATTCCCAAAATTATAATGGTGACTATTCATAACCTATCAAATGGAGAATCAAACCAAATATATTGAAAATATTATTTACATTAAAATTGAGAGGCGTAAAAATCATAGCAATGAGAACTCTTCAAAAAAATCAATTTAAAATTTTTCATTCAGATGCATTATTTACTCAATACGTTTAACAAAGGTATGAATGCTAAAATAAAATAGAAATAACATAAGGAATACAAAAATTTTATGATGGACAAATTTCCCATTCATTTTTTTTCTGTATATTGAGTTTTGCATTTGGGAAATTATATCAACTGATTTCAGGTGACTTTTGCTGAATGGAAGTATTAAAACAAAGGGGGTTTTTTTGCATGATATTTCCTATAATTTAAAAGGTAATACATGTACCTGGAGAAAATTTAGAAAATACTGAAAGTCAATAGAAAAAAATATTCCACAATCTGACCACCAGTGGTGGTTTGAAAACTTTTATAAAGAAGTTTGGGCTGAGTGTGGTGGCTCACACCTGTAATCCTAGCACTTTGGGAGGCCAAGGTGGGAGGATCACTTGAGCCCAGGAGTTTGAGGCCAGCCTGGGCAACATAGCGACACCCCGTCTCTATGAAAAAAAAATTTTTTTAAAGAAGTCTGGGGAAAACAACTTAGCATTAGGGCAGATGTGCTACTTATCCAGAAGTTGCCTTTCTTTGCTAGTTTAATAGGAAGGGCTTGAGGATACTGATGGAGATTATGAGGGGGCTAAAAGTCGTCCAACACCCCATAGTGTCCATTGCCACTTCCCAAGGGAAATGAATGCTTAAAGTCAGAAGAGTCTAATTTCTGTTTATTACTCCTTCTCTCACCTTGTACAGAGCAGAGCTGAATAGTATTCTATTTTTGGCAAGCTGAAAACAGAGACCTGAGCCTTTCTTTATATACAAATGTTTATGGATGATTAGATTAATAACACAATATAGTTCTTAGTTTTAAATACCTATAGTTTATTCCAGGAACTCTTTACTTATATAACCTACTGTTGTAACTAATCCTGGGACACAATGTAAGGGCTTCGTCCTCTTGAAACACTGCTGATCCTAGAGGAAAATAGCCATTTCCTTTATTCACTGGCTCTGATGTGTGTGGCCATTCTTCACCACAGTCATATTATCCACTTTGAATCAAAGGTGTGGTGGATTATTCTATTGAGAATTCTAATTCTCTGGGTGTGGATTTTACACTGGCTTTTATGTTGTCCATTTAGGTGTGGTGTATGGAGCCCTGTGTATTGGAATGGCTGCGCTGGCGTCACTTATGGGAGCTTTGTTGCAGGTGAGAGCTGGCCCCTGGAGGTTTAAGTCATAAATCACTAAATCTTTTTTCAATGTTGATGTGACCATCCTTCCAGACTTCTCTCGATATATATCGACACCTGGACATATCAAGTGGCAGGGATGACTACACTTTTTAATTTTTTTTAATTAAACTTTGTGTTTTGAGATAATTGTGGATTTACATGCAATTGTGAGATATAATACAGAGAGATCTCATATACTCTTTACTCAGTTTCCCTCAGTGGTAACATCTTGCAGTGGTAACATCTTGATAGTACAATATCAAACTCATATATTGACATTGATATAGCCAAGATACAAAACATTTCTATCACTACAAGAATCCTTGCTGTTGCCCATTTGTAGCCACAACCACTTCCCTTCTGCCCCTACTCCCTCCTTAATCCCTGGCAACAACTAATCTGTTTTCCATTTCTATAATTTTACCAGGTCAAGAATGCTACATACATGGAATTACATAGAATGTAACCTTTTTCACTTGGCATAATTCCCTGGAGATTCATCCAGGTTGTTGCGTATGTCAATAATCTGTCCTGTTTTATTATCAGATAGTATTCTCTGGTAGGGATGTATCACAGTTTGTTTACCTACTCAGCTGATGAAGGACATCTAAATTGTTTCCAGTTTTTGAGTATTACAAACAAATCTGTTACAAACATTACATAAAGGTTTTTGTGTGAGCATAAGTCTTCATTTCCCTGGGATAACTACCCAGGAGTGCAACTGTCAGGTGACTGCTAAATGTCTACTTTTAAAAGAAACTGCCAAACTATTTTCCAGAGCATGTCATTTTTATATCACTAGCATAGACAAATGGCCCAGTTTAAACCTCATTCTTTCCAGCATTTAGTGGTGTCTTTTTTTTTATATTAGCCATTCTGATAGGCATATAGTGATATCTCATTGTAGTGTTAATTTGCATTTCCCTAATGGCTAATGATGTTGAAAATGTTTTTCAGCGACTTATTTTTCATCTATGTATCTTCTTTCATACATTATCTCATAATGTCTTTTGCTCATGTTCTAATTCAATTGTTTGCTTTTTTTACTGGTGAGTTTTGAGTGTTCTTTATGTATTCTGTATACTAGCTCTTGGTCAGATGTGGTTTACAAATATTTTCTTACACAGTAGTTTGTCTTTTTATCCTCATAACAGGGTCTGTCAAAGTGCATTTTTTTTTTTAGTTTGGATAAAGTCTAGTTTATCAATTTGTCCTTTCATGGATTGTGTTTCTGGTGTAAAGTCTAAGAACTTTACCTAGCCCCAGCTTTTGAAGATTTTCTTCTATGTTTCTTTTCAAAGAGTTTTAGAGTTTTACATTTTATATTTAAGTCTACAATCCCTTTGGAGTTAATTTTGTATAAAATGTGAGACTTAGGTTGACATTCTCTTTTCCTCTATGGATGTGCAACCAGCACCATTTGTTGAAAAGGCTTTCTTCCATTGACCTGCCTTTACACCTTCGTAAAACGTCCATTAGGCATATTTGTGTGAGTCTATTTCTGAATTCTCTGTTTTCTTTCATTTATTTATGTGTCTGTACTTCTGCCAATACCACACAGCTTTATAATTTGATTATTTTGATTACTGCAGCTTTAAAATAAGTTTCAAGATCAGGTCGATCGATTCCTCCCACTGTATTCTTATTTTTCGAAATTGTTTTAGCTATTCTAGTTCTTTTGCCTTTCCATATGAAGTCTAGGATAATCTTGTCTGTATCTACAAAAAAAATCTTGCTTAAATATTGATAGCCTGAAAGCTTTTTATCCATTTGAGAAGAAATGACATCTTTACCATGTTGAATTTTCTAAAACATGAACATGGTATGTCTCTTCATTTATTTAGCTTTTCTATGCAAATCGTATTTTTTATGTTGATGTCTATGTGTTCAATGCTAAAATGTAGAAATAAAATTGATGTGTTTATATTTATCTTCAATCTTGTGACCTTGCTGAGCTCACTTATTAGTTCTGATAATTTTTTGCTTCTTTGTTTTATGGTTTAGTTTGTTTTGTTATATTCCTTGAGATATTCTACATAAACAGTCTTGTCATCTTCGAATGGGGCAGTTTTATTTCTTTCCTTCTGATCTGTATGAATGCCTTTTATTTCCTTATTGCACTGGCTTCAACTTCCATATCATGTTGAATAGAAGTAGTGAGAGTGGAAATCCTTACCCAGTTCCCCAATGTGAACAGGAAACTCTCTATTCCTATTCTCTATTCCTATTTTTTTCTGAGAGTTTTCACCATAAATGGCAGTTGAATTTTTTCAAATGCTTTTTCTGTAATCAATTTATATGATCATGTGATCTTCTTCTTTAGCCTGCTTACAGGATGGATTACATTGATTGGTTTTTTAATGCAGAACCAGCCTTGCATACCGGGAATAAACCTTGTTTGGTCATGGTGTGTAGTTATTTTTATATATTGCTGAATTATATGTGCTAATATTTTATTAAGAATTTTTACATCTATGTTCATGAAGGATATTGATCTGTAGTGGTGTGTGTGTGTGCATGCATGCGTGTGTGTGTGTGTGTGTGTGTGTGTGTGTGTGTATATACTGCCTTTGGTTTTGATAGCAGGGTTATACTAGCTTCATAAAATAAATTGGGAAGGATTCTGTTTTCTATTTTCTAGGAGAGATTGTCTAAAATTAGTGCTAATTCTTCCTTAATTATTTGGTAGAATTCTCTAGGGAAAGCATCTGGGCCTGGATTTTTTTTAGTTTCAAAATTATGAATTTAATTTCCTTAATAGTTACAGAGCTATTCAAATTATCCATTTCATATTCGATGAATTGTGACAATTTATGTTTTTGAGGAATTGTTCCATTTTATCTAAGTTTGCAAATTTATACATGTATAGTTGTTCATAGTAGTTCTGTACTATCCTTTGGCATCTGCAGGACCTGTAGTGATAGCCCCTGTTCCATTCCTAATATTGGTAATTTGTATCTTATTTTTTTCAGTCTTGCTACAGGTTTGTCAATTTCATTGATGTTTTCAAAGAACCAGCTTCTTTTTTTCATTGATTTTTCTGTGTTGTTTTTCTGTTTTCACTCATTGATTTTTAACTTTTATCTTTATGATTTCTTTTCTCCTTGCTTTGAGTTTTAATTTGCTGTTTTCGAGGTGGGATCTTAGATTACTGATTTGAATCTTCTCCTCTTTTCTAATGTGTGCATTTATTGCTGAAAATTTCCTTCTTGGCACCAGTTTAGCTGTGTTCCACAACTTTTGACATCTTGTATGTTTGTTTACATTCAGCTGAATGTATTTTTATGTTTTCTTTGAGATATTCTTTTGATTTATGGATTATTTAGAAGTATGGTACTTAGTTTGCAAGTATTCAAAGATTTTCCTGTTATCTTTCTGTTATTGATTACTAGTTTGATTCTATTGTGATCAGAGAACACACTCTTTATGATTTCAGTACTTTTAAACTTGTTGAGGTCTGTTTTATAACCTAGGATATGGTATTTTGGTATATGTTCCATGAGCACTTGAAAAGAATGTGTATTCTTTTTTTATTAGGTAGAGTGTTCCATAAATATCAATTACATTCTGTTTGTTGATGGTTGCTGATTTTCTGTTTGGTTGTTTTATCAATTGTTGAGAGAGGGGTGGTGAATTCTTCAACTATAATTGTGTATTTGTCTATTTCCCTTTTAGTTCTATCAGTTTTTGCTTTGCTTCATGCATTGGGTCTTAATGAAGGATTAACCTTTTTGTTATTATATAATGTGCCTATCTGTCTCTGAGAAATTTTTTTGCTGTGAGGTGTATTTATTTTATATTAATATAGTTACTTCTACTTTCCATTGATTAATGGTTGCATAGTATATTTTTCCATTTTTTCACTTTGAACCACCTATGTTGCTATATTAGAAGTGAGTTTTTTTGTAGACAGCACACAGTTGAGTCTTTTTTAAAAATCCATCCTGTCAATCTCTGTCTTTTCATTGGTGTACTTAGACCATTCACATTTAATATAATTATTGGTATGTTATGTTAGGGCTTAAGAATCAGTTTTTAGTTGTCTGTTTGGTATTTCTGTTTTTTGTTTTCTGCCTTCCTGTGAGTTGTTCTGTGGTTCCTTCTTTCTACCATTTCCTTTCTGTTTAGAAAACTTCTTTTAGCCATTCTTTTAGTGTTCCTTCACCTGAGAATGTCTTGAGTTTCCCCTTTATCCCCAAAGGATATTTTTGTTGGGTATATGATTCTGAGTTGCTAGTATTTTTTCCCCAGGAGTTAAAAAAATATTTTTCTACTTTCTTTTTGTCTCTATCATTTCTGATGATAAATCTGCTACTATTCTAATTGTTTTCCCTTACAGGTAAGGAGTCATTTCTTTCTGAATGCTCTCAGGTTTTTTTGTTTTGTTTTGTTTTGTTTTTTCTTTAGTTTTCAGAAGTTTAATTATGATGTATCTTGGTGTGTATTTCCTTGTTTTGAGTTTTTGATGTGTCTTGGCACGTGTTTCTTTCTTTTCCTATGTTTTTAGGGTTACTCAGCTTCTTGAATCTTGAATCAGCTTCTTTCATAAGTCTGAAAGAGATTTATGTCTCTTATCAAATTTGAGAAGTTCAGACATTAATTCTTTGAGTACTTTTCCACCCCATCTTCTTTCTCTTTTCCTCTGGGACTCTCATGACATGAATGTTAAATATTTTTGTTATAGTTCTACAGATCCCTGAAGTTTATTTTATATTTCTTCATTTCATTTCTCTCTATTGTTCAGTTTGGGTTATTTCTGTTGTTCTGTCATTCAGTTCACCGATCTTTTTCTCTGTTCCTTCTATACTGCTATTGTGCCCATTCATTTAAAATTTTTTATTTCAGTTATTGTATTTGTTCAGAGTAACAGTTTCATTTGGTTCTTCCTAATATCTTCTTTTTTTCCCTGAGATTTTTCTCTCTATATATATTTTTTCCCTCTATTTTTTCATTAGTTTCAAGTGAATTCTAATTGTTAAAGCATTTTTTAAATCATGGCTGTTTTAAATTTTTTATCAAATAATTCTGTTTCTGTAATCTTTATATTTAGTTTGAGATCTTCCTGGTTCTTTCTATGAAAAGTTAATTTCTGTTGAAACCTGGGCATTTCAATATTATGTGATGAAACTTTGAATCTTACCTTCTGTTTTAGCCAGCTTTCTCTGACACTACGTCAGTAGCGTAAGGGAGGGTGCCGCCTCATTACTTCAGGTGGAGGTAGAAGTCCAGAGGGAGGAGCTCCTTGTTATGCTGGATAGGGGTGTGTAGAATACTATGAGACATATTGTGGCTATAAGATTAATGATAGTGCATGAGGCCCACTGAAATATCTTGCAGGGCTGATACTACATGTCATGTAGGAATTTACAACCCTGGCTCAGGGATTTCCAGGAAAAAAAAGCCACCTCAGCACAGATGCAGCTTTCATAAACCTTAGAACAAAGCTTACTTTTACAATAATAGCTTAAATACCCTTTATGAAAGAAACAGCTGGTAACTAACCTGGACTAAATACAGGTATAAGAAAGGGAGAAGGACCCCCAAAGTCTGACAATGGTCTCTGGATGAAGACTCTCTGGTCAGTTCATGATCTGACCCCCTGACTGTATCTGGCCCATGACACCAGCTTATTCTCACTATCCATCTTCTAAGAGTGCTGCCAGAATAAACCGATTGAGCATTAGATGGTGCCTAAGACTCATCTTTGATGTGAAGTGAACAGAAAAGGAGACATCGCCCCTGGGGAAGCTGGTTAACTAGGTCCACCTACAACCTCTGAACACAACTGGCATTGAGGATAGGATAAGTAAGTGAGCAAGTAAGTAATGGCACCCATTTCTAAGGAAGGACTGGGAAAGGGTGACTGGGGACTGGTTCTGATCAAGAAGTCAAATGAAGCCCTCCGGAACACTCCGTAGTGTGTCTGGTAGTTTTTATTTTACTTTGTGGCCTGTTGCTGCCTTCTACATACTTTGTCTGTGCCTCTGTTGTGAAATTGCCACCATGAAAAACCTGCCAAAATTATTCTTAAGACCACTCTGGTCCCCAGTAACTGGGGACAGGCTCTAAGGAGGAGGAAGCAGAGGTGGAGGATGCCCCGGCTTGAAGAGCTAACCACTGGCTGGTGTGTCTCTGGCTCCTGCTGTGGGAGGGTTGCTCCTTGCCCCCAAGGATCTTGGCACTGTGATGCCACAGACCAAGAAGGCAAAGGTGAAGCTTACCTGCTGAAGGGTTATGTGCTGTTGCCCACCAGCTAGGGACTTAGAAGCATATTTCCCAATAGATCCTTGGACTAACACCACCAGTGAAGTCCACAAGAATCATCAAAGGGCATGTCGCAGCTGTTCCCAGCCCACCATGCACTCCAGCTGAGACAGTGTGGCTTCTCAAGGGGTGTGCCCCAGCCTGTGATGTCTGCTGAGTGTTGCTGGCAGCAGCCCATAGGCAACATGCCCAAGTCACGCGGGCTCACCTCAGAGTCGTGTCATTCTGCCTGGTCGATCCAGAGCCCTGTGAGCTGTGGAATGATGATCCTGGGTGTGCTGGCTTACCGCTGGCCACACCACAGGTGTCACCAGTCATCACTTGGGCTGAGAAAGCTGCTGCCACCTCCACAGCTGGCTGAGATGAGGAAGTGTGTCCTAGACACCATATGGTCCATGAAGAGGTTCACCCCTAATGTGGACAGAAATTCAAAGCCTGCTCAAAGACCTGGTGCAGGAACCCAAAGAGAAAGGCACCACCTGGCTGTGCTGTGTGTACCTGAGAGGAAGTGCTTTGCAACTCATAGGCCGAGAAATACAAATACAGCAGCCAGCGGCTATCTTTAAAGATAATAAGATCATTTCCTTATTTCAAGACCCTGTTGAGCTTATCCAGGCACAGAGTAGAGTGGGTAGACATAACTGTCCCTGCAGTCCGCTGCAGTGGCTATTCAGGCCTGGCAAATAGCACCCCCAGAATGAGCCTCTTTTCATCAAGGGCTGAAGGTGGCTGGTGCACACTGAGGAAGAAGGGGAGCCACTGTGGCGCTTAGGCATGCTCCAGTGAGTTTGCACAGCCGCCACTCCCATGGGACAGGGGCACAACTGGGAGACCTTGGAACAGACCACCTTGCACCCGGATGGTTTACAGATGTTTTTAAGGAGAGCCCATCATAAGCCAAACCAACTCTCCTGGCCCTGATGGCCACAGTCCCTGAAGTTAATTGAGCTCTGTAGGTCCTCATCACCCTGGAAAATGCTGAAGAATAGCTAAGAATCCCTAAGAAAACTTAGGGAACTCACCCTATACCACTCTTCAGGTCCAGGGTCCCTAGCGGGCTGCCTTCTTTGCACCTTTCAGACAGAACCATCCAACAGTGTTCACAACAGCACCTCGCTCCCTACCCACCACACAGGACCTTGCAGCCAGAGGTCTCACACTGGGCTCTGCTCTCCCTGGCCTTCTCACACCCCTCACCCACGGGATGAGGCCCAGTCCAGCTGTTCACAAGGGCAGAGTGACCTCTACTGGCAGATACGCTGAAGGGTGCTTCCAAATTGGCTCCTGTCTGGCAAGCCTCATGAATTCCTGCAAACTCTCCTTAATACCAATGTCGTCCAGTCATCCCACCCACTGACCTACCACCCATCTGGATGGCTGAGCATCAACTTCCACCTTTGGGAAGATGTCTTCACTGCTAACATTCCTGCCCTGTGTCCAGGATGACCCACCTGGACTGTCCCACCCACCCTACCTATATCCCTCCCTGGCAAGACCTTTACTGGTATATTTGCCTAGGGGTCTCTTGGGCCACCACTGTTCCTGCAGCCAGTGCCTCCTAGAGACACTTGGTGCCCCAGCTGTGCCTGACAGCCATCTGGAATGGACAACACCTTGAACTTTGGCTTCATCGGGCCGTGTTCAAGATCACGATTTTGGATCTTTGACAGCACCTCAGCACACACAGTGTCCCCAGACCTAATTGCTTAGTTCTGTGTCCTCCTTATCCTTCTGTTCCATTTTCACCTGTCATTGCTCTGTAATCAAGCAACTCTAAGCCTGCTACCACTGAGTCCATTCAACTCCTTTCACCTGCTCATGTAATCGTGTTTCCAAGCCCCAGTGTGCCCGTGTTCTTTTGCTGCTACTCCGGGTGGCCTGACTTTCCACATCCAACTGTGGCTTCTCCAGACCTATTCACCAATTACTTGGCACTGAGGTCACTGACAGCCTCCACCACATTTTGGCCACCCACTGAGCAGCTAACCTTCCAGCCTGCTGGGCATGCCTTCATTGGCCTGCCACACATCCATTGCTTCCCGTCCAGACTTGGTCGCTACCTGTCCTCCACTCTTCCCCCATCATTGGCGAGTCTGCCCCAAAGCCACAGCCGAACCCCATTCTCATGATCTCCCCTAACTGCTCAGCTGGACACTAGATCTACTGTATCCTCTCTGTGATGATACAGTTCATTTCCAGGTTTTTCCAAGGGCGCCACCAACTCCTACTCACCGTCCTACAGAAGATCCATTTCTCAAGATTTGACTGACCATGGAGCGCACTTTCAAACTTGGGCAGCCTCTCAATTATTGACCCCCTCAGGGTCAGGGGTGGAGTGTGGTATACAATGAGATATATTATGGCTATAAGATTAATGATAGGCATAAGGCCACTCAAGCAACTCAGAGGGTCAGTCCTATCTGTCAAACTTAGCAGTATGAAGCAACCTGGCCGGGGATTTCCAACCAGATTTCCAGGAGACCAGGTCACCTCAGCACGATGCAATTTTCACAAACCTTGGAACAAAGCTTACCCTTACAAGCATAGCTTAATCTCTCTTTGTGAACAAAACACCTGGTAACTGACCTGGATTGAATACAAGTATAAGAAAGGAGGAAGGATCCCCTAAACTCTGAGAAAGGTCTCTAGATGAAAACCCTCCTGGTCTGTCAGTCATCTAACCTGTGACTAAATCTGGCCCACGACACCATCCTGCTCCTGCTATTCTTCTGGTAAGAGCACTGCCAGAATAAAATGCATGAGCATCAGACGGTGTACAAGACTCAACAATGATGCAAAGCGAACTCAAGGGAAGAGGCTTCCCTGGGAAGCTGGTTAACTAGGACCACCCGAAACACGCGAGCACCACAGGGTGGAATTCACTGACATCATGGAGGAGGTGGCTTTGTCACTGCTGGGCCATGGTGAAAGTCCCGATTCTCCACTAGGCCTCCCATGTCATTGCCAGCAGGGAGGCAAAGGGTGCCTGGTGACAGTCTGGGGGGATGGAATCTAGGCTGGCATGGGTGTGGGTGGGGTGAACAGATTATTCTGTGGTGTTCGGATGGAATGGAGCGGTTGGGGTCTAAGAGTTTTCTATCTTCCTAGGCTGCTCCTTTCCTGGCCCTGTGTCTAGAGAGAGAACAGGATTTTGTGAGGGCTTTTTATCTTTTTAAAGTTTTTTTGCCTGTGTCTGTTGCCATTTCCAGGCTGGCTGGCTTCTTCAGTTCTCAGGCTGGGATACATGAAGCAAAAAGAAAACTTAGGGAACTCACCCTGTACCATTCTTCAGGTCCAGGGTCCCTAGCGGGCTGCCTTCTTTGCACCTTTCAGAGTCTTCTTATGTTTATTTTATATGGAATGTCAGGATTTTTAATTTTATTAGTAGGAGGAATAGAGAAACATATGTTTATCTTCTCAGAAGTAGAAATACTTCATTAAAAAAAATTTGTTTATTTACCTGAAGGGTCTTTCACCTCCTGTGGCGTTTGCTCTTCTGATTAGAGAGCATTTTTGTGTTGGAAAGCTCCCTCCTGTTCCTGTGGAGCTGTGGGCCTGGAGAGGACAGACCAATCTTTACAACAGTGTCTTCTTCCTGAACCCTGTGGGCACCTCACTGTCTTCAACACGCAGGCCTTGGCATAGACTTCTCCCTCTGCCTGCAACACCTTCCTCTCTACCTCGTCCACTGCCTAAGCCTTAGTTATTCTTCAGTTTTCATTTTAACACATTACTTATTTAAAGAGACTTTTCCTATTACCTGGATACATTTGCATTCCCTTCTGCTAAATGTTTCTAGAAGCACCTTGTACTTTCTTTATCATCTCCATTATCAAACTGTATTACAGTTATTTATTTAGTGTCTGTTTTACTGAATAGCCTGTAATTCATGAAGGTGGGGAAGATGACTTCGTTGTTCAATCCTGTATCAAATATCTGGTTCCTACTGCAGTGCCCAGGACAAAGCAAGACATTAACAACTTTAGCTTGAATATTAACTAATAATGTAGTTAGGCTCATAAATATCCTATTATCTGATGACCCCAAGTGCTCCCTGAAATTTCCTTGGCCACTTGGGCTGCTCCTCTGGGATCCTGGACCTCCCCTTGACCTAGAAACTTAAAGGCTAGTACTGGCACAGCAGGGGTCCTCCAGGATCTTTCTTCAGTCCTAAGGCTTGGGGCCATTCTGGTTGGTTGTTGTTTAGGACATAGCAGTTGTAAAATAGTTTGACCCCATCCCTGATTATATGAATGAATGAATTAGATCCAGAAGCTCCAAGCCTGCCCAGCACTCCTAAACCACAGCCAGTCATACAGAATTTGCTTTCTTCATAGTCTGCATTAGTGCCTGGAGCTCTTATTGTGGTTGATTCCCCTTTTTCCATATATCAGCTATGGCCTGATTATATACAATGACATGTTCTAGCAAAGTCATCATAACTCCAAGCCAGTTCATCCTTGCTTCATCTCTAGCCAAGGTCTTATTTCCTCTTGTAATCTTTTTTGGGTGTCTTTGTTATGTCTCCAAAACTGCTCACAGATCACACAGTCATCACTTGCTTTGTGGGTCATATGACGTCTTGCAGTGAAGTCTATCTCCCTTCTGACTGGACTGTGTGTAAACTGACTCAGGATCACATCCTTGAGTCCGCATCCTTTTAAACACTAGTTCTCCTCTCTACTCAGTACCACATCCTTTTCTTCTTCCATGAAGTAGGCCTATTTAAAACAACAACGACAACAAGAAGCACTATTTCCTCTAATATTTCCCTGACTTGGTATTTTCTCTTTGATTCATTCATTCTGCTCTATTAAACCCCTTTACTCTCTGGACAAACCAGTGATTCCCTGCTCTTCTTTTATGGTTGTGTCCATTCTTAAGAACTGGGCATTAGATTATTGGGAACGTATATCTCTTGGAAGCTTCATTTAGTTGCTTTGCCTCATGCGATGTTTGCACTGTAAATCTTTTTTACTATCATGGATTTGATATCTCTACATCAAAGCAAAGGTTGCAGTTATCTAATTAGATTTTAAATCTATTTCTACATGATTTGATCAGTCTTTTTAAAATCGTATTTCTCATTCTAGTTTCATCCTTAGGGAATCAAATCAGGAATGGCAAATGGGTTTCATCCTCCTCTCTGGTCACATAGCAGTACTCGTCCACCGTTATGAGAGGATTTTGAGATTATCAAAGCACAAAGGAGTGCTGTGATTTATAAACACCTGCAAGAGCAATGCTAAGAGGAGAGGTATCATTCATGATTTATACATTCACATAGGCACTACCATTGTCGCAGACCTCTCTATCTTCTTTGTGTTGTGTGGCCTTTTTTGAGGCTACTTGCAGAAACAGATGGATCCTTGAGACTGAGATGCAGAAACTTGTAAGTTCTAATGACTTCTTTTCCAGTGATAAGGCTATCATGACTGAAACTATGATTTTCAGAAGGAGGCCGAATACTTTAAGTCATTATCCTGATGAAATGACTTTGAAATATTTGAGTTTCGATTTGAGATTGCTAATTGCTGACGTTGTATTATTTTTGTAGGCAGCACTCAGCGTATTTGGTATGGTTGGTGGACCACTTATGGGCCTGTTCGCTTTGGGCATTTTGGTTCCCTTTGCCAACTCAATTGTAAGTACAAAGAATGAATATGCTTGAGGATTACTTTTTGAACTATACTAGCAGCTCTACACTTTTTTCTCAGTTGGTTCCTTTGAGATTTGTCATTAGCTACTTGTCTTGATGACTTAAATTATTTCTGTTGACTTTGGTGGAGTGTACAAGGAAGTACTATGTATGGGGACCCTAAATGTGTGAAGCTCAATGGAAACTTCCAGAACCATATAGGGCAATTTTAAATATTCATAATATAACTAAAGGAGCAACATTTTTATGCACGTACCTACTTGCCCTTCTCAAAAATTAATAGCTAGGATTTAAAAGAGATCAATAGGCTCAGAGATGAGAGATTTAAGGGCAGAAAACTTAGGATTTCTGTGAATAGCCATAGCACAGCAAAGAGAAGGAACACAATCTTACCACCTTGGCCAGGAATTTTCTACTCCTGACATTTAAAGCTGTAGCTCCCACAACATGATTTAGCCCCAAAGGGGTGATCATAATTGGGAATATTTTCCAGAAAGACGTAATATCTCTGTCCTTCTACCTAGACATATCTGTGCTTAGAAGTGCTAACTTTTGTTTGGAATAAATGAGCTAGAAATTATTTCTCTGAAACCCAGAAGAAAGTCCACTGGTTCAGTCTGGCTATAAGATGTAGTTCAGGAAAAACTGATAATGTATGTGCAGTCGCTTCAGATATAGAATAGCCATAGAACTCTGACTTCACATTTGGAATTCTATTTTCCTTATAAGGCATTAGGAATTGGTAAGGCAGATATTAATAAGGACTATTGTGGTTATTATTTATTATCCTCAATGAAATGTCATATGAAAAGCTGCTTTTGTAGGAATTAATCACAATGAAAGAGATTTGTTTGTGTCCACCTCAGAATGTTGAAGCTTGGATTAGATTCTTTGCGTGATGAAATGCATTAGTTTGTTAAGTATTAGAAAAATGTATTTAAAAATCAACTTTTGATATTTGGCATTTGTTGCCAGCGTGTATTTCCTCCGGAAGAGCTGTAGCTGACTAAGCTAACATGTCCTTTTCTGGGGGCGGTAACGGAAGAATAACATACTATTCTTCCTGCCATAAACAGTATCTTTTTTTTTTTTAAACCATGTCCAGGTTTTTCACCAGCAGATTATCTGCCTTCCTTAAAAGTGGCCTTTCTCACTCCTTTTTCTCTCCCTGCCTCAATACCTTTCATTCATTTATTCACTTGTTCATTTATTCAATAGATTTTTATGGGCTGAGCACTATCTTGGGAGGAGAGAGCGTTGAATGTTTCTGCCCTTGTGAGTTTTATAATTTCGTGCCATGTTGAACTTGGCTTTCTAATATTAATTTTGACATCAAAGCAAATTGTATTATTTTTCTTTTAAAGGCATTCTTGTTTTACAGGGAGCACTTGTTGGTCTGATGGCTGGATTTGCCATTTCTCTATGGGTTGGAATTGGAGCTCAAATATATCCTCCACTTCCTGAGAGAACATTGCCATTGCACCTTGATATCCAAGGCTGTAACAGCACCTACAATGAGACAAATTTGATGACAACCACAGAAATGCCATTTACTACTAGTGTTTTTCAAATATACAATGTTCAAAGGTATTGAATTAAGTTTTATTACATTATACTTTAAAAAATTTACGCAACAAGTAGAGAACCCCACTTGCTTTTTGTCTTGCTTACAACACTGTGATTTTGCCTAATTCTGAAATGAGTAAAACCCATGTGGTTAGCTATAGTATTTTCTGCAGCGGTAACAAAAAATGTCATATTTTCATAATTTCTCTAGAAATTTCTGCCTTGTCTACAGATCTAAGAAAACTTAAATATTAATGAGAAACTTCTGTTATGTGTAAACTCTCCTAAACACCAGCTCTTAGCTGCATGAAGAATTATCTTTGTCTTGGAAAAACTTTTAAAATGGAAAGCACAATTATAGAATAAATATTGCTTATATAGTCTTAGAAAGATAGATTTTACTGACCAAAAGCTACAATTATTTAAACATGTTAAATAACTGCCATTTGTTCAGTTGAAGATTCCAAATCTTTAAAGCATTAGAAGTGATTGCAGCTGTGATCTTCATGCTACAGATTTCAGTCATGCAGTACACTTTGGAGCCTCTAAATGCTGAAGTTGTCTGATTTAACGTACTGAAATAGTGGGTAGAGGCATGCTTTATTGTACAGTGAATGTGAGGTCAAGACTTTCTTTAGTGGATATATAAGTGTCCAGCTTTAAAGCACAAACCCTGTGAATACGTTCAAGGAATGCAAAGATGATGCCATTGCCCCTAGAGTATTGCCCCAGTGCCAGCTTATCTGGAATGACATCAATATAGTCATACCTTTGGGGTCAAGACACGGCATACCCCTCTTAAAATGGACACACTCCTGAGAGAAGGAACGTGATCATACATATAGCCATTATTAGCAATTTGTGTTCTGGAGAGAATTCAGCTATGAGAAAGCTAGCCAGTGGGACTTCCAGGGGCGTTCCAGGCAGGTAAGCTGTGTATGGTAGAGTGGAAAGGTAGTTCCAGAGCCTGAGGCGTATTTGAGGGAAGTTTTACTAGGTGAGGTGCTGTGGAGAGAGGGGCAAGGACATGTGGAGAGCAGTCTGGACAGGCATGAAAGCACTAATGGGAGGGGACTGGGAGAGTCATCAGAGTCAGAAAGGGAGAAAAGATTAATTGAAGGTTAAGTGAGAAGACACAGGATGTTCTTCTTGTTTTATGATTTTGCTTAGCGTTTTCCTAATTATGTAAATATTTGCCCTTAAAAGTCTAAGGCAAAATGGTTATTTGGATTCCTGAAACAAATAAATTAGCTGAAGTTTATTCTATGCCTGGTACCATAATAGTTTTATATGTTAGTTTACTTATCAAATATTTCAGCTAATAAACAAGAATTTTTGAGCATGGACTATGTACCCAGCACTGTGCTGGCCATTTATTTAGTATCCATGGAAGAAAATCTTCCTCTCCCAGCCACTGTTTCCTGCCTTCCAGAAAATTCTAATCTAGCAGGAGGGAATGTGCAAATATACGCAAAACAATAAACTCAGTAAGCATGCTAAGTATAAAAACTAAGACATAGTAAATAAAAAATACTTGATACATTTTTGTTAAAAGAGTGAGTACAAAGTTGGAGTGTAAGTTAGCATGAAGACTTCAGAGATATACTACTACTTCAAGAATGCATAGGTTTGGCTAGATGAAGGGGAAGATCTGGAAAGTCATTCTTGTCACAGAAAATGACCAGAAGGGAAATTGGACAAGAAAATAAATTAAAACATGCATTGTGGTAAGTAATATTCACAGGATATCATGGGAGCCAGAAGGAGGAAGTCTGCCTGACTGGAGTCAAGGAAACCTTCTTAGAGGAGAATTGCATGGGCTGGAGTTAGTCAGGTAGCAGGATTGAGCACAGGGACACAATCTGTATCGCAAGGAAGGAGGAGTGTGTGTCGCAGAATGAAGAAACGACCGGTGCAAAAGCATGAAGGACTGAAGAATCAGGGCATCTTAGGAAATCATCCTAGTTCCATAGGGCTGGAGCACAAGGGTTGTGAGCCACCCAGCTGAAGGTTGAATGTGTGATGCTTTGGTTGCCTAGATACAAATTGTTTCAATTGCCTAGATTCAGTTTTGATTTTTTTAAGTTTACAATATTTGATGGTTACATTGGTAGCTTGCTGTGGTTTTAATTTGTATTTCCCTTAAGATTAATGAAGTCAAATACATTTTCATTTGTTTGTTGGCCATTTGGATATTTACTTTTGCGACTTAGTTATTGAAGTCTTTAGTCCATCTGAAATGGATTCTCTGTCTTTTTCTTACTTACATAGAAGTTCATGACATATTCTAGATATGAGATATGTTTTGAAAATGTTTCTCTCCCATTCTATGGGTTACCTTTTTACTCTTTTAATGATACTTTTTTTGTCAGTCAAAATTTCTTAATTTTAATTTATTTCTGTTTCTCAGTTTTTTCCTATATGGTTAGTCCTTTATGTGTCTTGTTTAAGAAATCCTTGTCTACCCTGCAATCATAAAGATATTCCACTAATTTTTTATTTAAAAGCTTTATTGTTAACCATTTCCATTGAGGAAGTGTAATCCACTTTGGAATTGATTTCTGTGGGTGGTGTGATCAAGATTATTTTTCCCCATGTGGATACTCAGTTAACTAAACACCATTTATTGAAAAGACTCCCCTTTTGCCCCATTGAATGCACTGGCGATGAAAACGATGTTAACCAAGTAACTATTTTTCTGTGGGTCTATTTCTCAATTCTCTACTCTGTTCTATTTTGTCTGTCTTTGGCTCAATATCACACTCTCTTAATTTCATTAGCTCAACTCAATGTGTTCCCCTCCTTTCTGGGTTCTTGTCACCTCAAGTTCTCATTGTTTTGTTTTTGTTTTTGTTTGAGACGGAGTCTCAGTCTGTTGCCCAGGCTCGAGTTCAATGCAACCTCCACCTCTGGGTTCAAGTGATTTTTGTGCCTCAGCCTCCCAAGTAGCTGGGATTACAGGCATGTGCCACCACACCTGGCCAATTTTTGTATCTTTAGTAGAGATGGGGTTTCACCAGGTTGGCCAGACTGGTCTTGAACTCCTGACCTCAGGTTATCCACCTGCCTTGGTCTCCCAAAGTGCTGGGATTATAGGTGTGTGCCACCACCCCAGCCAAGTTCTCATTGTCTTGATCTCTCTGATAGCTTCAAAAACCTGCCTCCCTCCCCATGCCCCAGGTTTTATATATTGTTCTCAGCAGAATGATTGTTCTAAATCAAGCAGCTATCAAAACTGAAAGTGGAATCCTAGAGCAATCATTGTAGAAATGATCATAGAATGTTCATGTTACTCTTTCACTTAAAACATTGCAATGAGTGCCATTGCCTGTAGAGTAAAATTCCAACTCATGCCTGGTCCCACAAAAAGCCCCCTGCCTATCTTTCATCTTGTAATCACTGTCTTGCTCACTGTGCCTCAGTCAGCTGGTGTTTAGTCTCTGTTTTCCTCAAGAACATTTTGTTTCTCAGATCTCAGTTCAAATGTCATTTATTCCCAAAGGTTTTCTCTGACCACTTGTAGTGTAGTTCCTCCCTCTTCACCCTGTTAATAGCACATCATCTTGTTTTACTTTCCTTACAGCACTTTCTACTAGTGGAAATTATTATATTTATTAATTTGTTTATTGTATTTATCTCTCCATTAGAGTATAAACTATATGTTAGCAGGAATCTTATCTACTTTATTTTTAAAAAATAATTTCAACTTTTATTTTAGATACCTGTGCAGGTTTCTTACTTGGGTAAACTCTTGCCTGTCTCCCTTCACCCTCTGGTAGTCCCCAGTGTCTATTGTTCCCTTCTTTGTGTCCATAAGTAACCAACATTTAGCTCCTACTTATAAGTGAGAACATGTGGTATTTGGTTTTCTGTGCCTGCATTAATTTGCTTGGATAATGGCCTCCAGCTGCATCCATGTTGCTGAAAAGGACATGATTTTGTTCTTTTTTCATGGCTGCATGGTATTCCATGGTGTATATGTACCACATTTTCTTTATCCAGTCCACCATTGATGGGCACCTAGGTTGATTGCATGTCTTTGCTGTTGGGAATAGTGCTGCGATGAACATATAAGTGCACGTGTCTTTTTGGTAGAACAATTTATTTTCCTTTGGATGTATACCCAGTAGTGGGATTGCTGGGTCAAATGGTTTATCTACCTTATTTATGGCTGACTGTCCAATCACAAGAGCAGTGCCTGGGACATCATGCAGAATTGAATGAATAAACATGACCTTCAAGTATTTTAGTATATAGTCAAGGTGAAGTTTTGCTTTCAATTCCTGATCTGATAAGATAAAATTAGGACAGCAGGTTATGACATTAAAAACATTATTAAGTGTTATATTTTGACCTTGCCATGGGAATCACTGGTATATACTGGTAGTTGCTAGTGGCATTACATGAAATCTTACCGTTGTGTTTTTGCTCTCTTAGGACTCCACTGATGGATAACTGGTATTCTTTATCATATCTGTACTTCAGCACTGTTGGAACTTTGGTAACATTATTAGTGGGGATACTTGTCAGTTTATCAACAGGTAACTATCTAAACATTAGTATTGTTGTATTTACCTCTATATCAGTTTTTACTGTATCTGTTTTATAGCTATTTATGTTATTTTACTATGATCCTATTGCCAACTAGTTTAATTATTTCTTCTGTTTTACTCATGGGAAATCTGAAGGCCTAGACTTGAAAGCAGAAGACTCATTTCTATTTGAATCTTGGTTCTGCCCTTTAGGGGCTGCATGAACTTGGGCAAGTCACATAGCTACACTGAGCCTCAGCTTTCTTATGTATAAAATGAGGACAATAATAATCGACCTGCCCATCTCACAAGTTGCTGTAAGACAAAAATAAGATGCTTGAAAAGAACTTCATAACTGCTATGATGTTAGGGATTTTACACATATTTTTATAATAACCCAATATGCTGTGATCTTTACATGGTCCAGTATTCATTCTTTGTGAACTGTAAAGAAGCATACACAGGTTATATCTAAACATAGTGTGGAGGCTTTTTTTTCAGATATTTATCATTTTTTAAAAAGTGTGTTCATTTTTAAAAAATCAAATTGATACACATAGTATATAAATTGCTCTCTGGGATTGCTATAGAACGGTTATCTTGGGACTCCATTTTGTCCTCATTCTATGAATTCTCTTAGCCCCTGTTCCTGTGTTGGGTTTTCTACTGCCTATATTCATTACTTCTCATTCTCATTTACTCCCTTAATTGAATGAAACACATCCTATAGCATATTCTCAAGAAAGAGTAGACAAAAGAAGAGGTTTTGGAAACTTTGTGTGTCTGAAAAAAAATTATTTAATCTATCTTATGCTTGATTGATTGTTTGAGTAGAAATTGCTAGGGTTGAAAAGAACTTTTCTTTTTTCTGAGAGGATGTCTGAATTTTTTTCTAGCTTGCTATGTTGCTGTTGTGACAGCGCTCTGCTACCAGCTGACACTTTGTGTGTGTCCCATTTTCACAATGACTGCCTTGGCCTAGGCCTTCAGTAGGGCCCATTCAATCTGAAGATCCATGCCCTTCAGTTCTGGACATTTTCTTTTTTGTTTTCTTTTCTTCCTTTTTATTTCTATTTTTAATAATTTTCTGTGTTCTCTCTCTGAGAACTCCTATTAGTCAAACATTTGAATCAGAATCATGGACAGTTCCTCTAATTTTCTCGTTTTTTTCTCTCTTATTTTTCCTCTCCGTGTCTTTTAGGTCTACTATGTGAGATATTTTTTCACTTACTTTTCCAATAATTCTCAAAGGAGTGCTCTGATCCAATTTTGAGAATAGTCTGTAGGGGAACGAGGGCAGGGAAGAGGCTATTGCAGTAACCCAGGTGAGAGATCACAGTGCTGGGGCCGGGGTAGTGCGGAGTTGGTGAAACATGCTGGGCTCCCTGACTCCCTACATCCCCTCACATGTATGCATCCATAGCAGCCACGCCAGGGGAAGGGTGCAACTGCCTCCTTCAACATGTGTTACAACTAGTTGTGTTCAAGGATGTCTGATGTCTTTGTTTGCTCCATGCTACAAAGCTGCCAGCACTGTGCCACTTTACAGAATCCTGCTATCATTTTCTGTTTTTTGGCACTGAGATAGCACTGTCTCTCAAACTTCTGTGACACTTGTATTTATAATTATAAAATTTGTTGCTATTCATTATTTCTCAGTTGTTGGAAAATATTCTTTCTTTTCCAAAAGGACTGTGCTCTTTCTCAAAAATAAAATTCCCAGTACAGTAGGTTTATTAATTTGTTTGGTCCAGTTTGATATATTTTCAGACAGATTTTTGTTGTTGTTGTTGTTGCTGTTGAGATGGAATCTCGCTCTTTTGCCCAGGCTGGAGTACAGTGGTGCGATCTTGGCTCACTGTAACCTCTGCCTCCTGCGTTCAAGGGATTCTTCTGCCTCAGCTTCCCGAGTAGCTGGGACTACAGGCACGCACCACCACGCCCGGCTAATTTTTGTAATTTTAATAGAGATGGGGTTTCACCATATTGGCCAGGCTGGTCTCGAACTCCTGACCTCAGGTGATCTGCCCACCTTGGTCTCCCAAATTGTAGGGATTACAGGCGTGAGCCACCACCATGCCCAGTCTTAAGACAGATTTTCATCTTTTCCCAGCAGTTATTCAGTTGTTCAGATCTGGAATACACCTAACCAGTCTCCCTGTACTATTTGCCCTTTGGTCCTTATTTAGCTCATTTTTTAAAAGAAAGTGGAGTATCAGAGTAGCTCCTTTGAATACTCCTTTTTTTCTTTTAAATGCTTTGATTCTGAAAAACCATATACAGCTATATCTTTTGTTTCAAGAAGTAACACTCTACCTCAGTGACTGGGATCCAGTAATAGAAAACACTTCAACTTCATTAACTTCACAAATAACTTATTCCTACTTCACAGAAGCAGTGAGTACCTTGAAAACTATGAGAAGCACACAATTTTGATGCTCCCTGGGAAACAGATTTTAAAACCTATCGTAGTATACTAAAACTCCCATAAGAGTTCAGGCCTTACAGACTTGGTTGGCGTTTCAGCACTCCCCTGATTTTTACTATGCAGAAGGCTATGTTTTCATCAGGAAAATGGGGGCAAATAGTTTCCTAAGTAGATCACAAACTGTGGGCACAGAGATTGTTTTGTTTCTTTGTTTCTCTAGCACCTAGCAGCATCTCCAGCACACAGTAGGTACTCAATAACATTGAACGAATTCATTTAAAATTGATTCTATCTCCAGAACAGCAGAGGTTCCCATAATTAAAAGTCTAGTATTTGTACTAAAGTAGTGGTTCTTAAACTTTAGAGGGCATAAGGATCCTCTTGGAAATTTTATAAAAATCAGGCTTCAGGGGTCCTACCTGCAGAGGTCCTAATTTGGTCAGTCCAGGCTAGAGTCTGGGAATCTGCATTTTAAGTACATTCCTTGAATGATTTGGGGAAGGGTAGTTTGAGGACCACTCTTTGAGATACACAATTTTTAAAAGCATCCTCTTTGATCCACAAAAAATACCAAAGCAAAATAGAATTTTTTTTTTTTTTTTTGTAAAGAAAACCTTAGGGAAGAGGATTTGGATCAAACGTCAGTCAGCATACTAATTTTCACTTAAGTAATTTATTCAGCAGTTCCGAATTGCCTGCATTTCTTCATAGACATGTATATTTGTAGCCAACAAAGTGGGGAAAAGCAGCTCCACTGTCTGAAGCGGGGCAGATGGTTTGATATTTTACTGATGGCATGGAGGGTGCTTTTAAACCAGTTTTCCTACCAGCATTGGGCCAGATGACTGTTTCTCTAGTTGAGTACCAGATGAAGCAGTTGGCTTGCGTTTAAGCTCTATCTCACACACATATATATGATACATATATATATATATATATATATATATATATATATAGAGAGAGAGAGAGAGAGAGAGAGAGAGAGAGAGAGAGAGAGAGAGAGACTCATATTTATTATAGTGAGAGGCTTTCAAGACCTGGGGCTAATTAAGGAAAGGGGAATTGCGGGCTAAGTGATCAGTGCTTTTAAGTTTCCCTTTCTCTTTGTGTTTTTTGAATGTATGGAGTTGAACGTGAACAAGTTAAATGCCTGTATAATGGAATGTCTCTGTGTAGTTACTGGTGTCCTTTTTAACAACGTAAGTCATGTACATTTTTTTTTCCAGGAGGAAGAAAACAGAACTTAGACCCCAGATACATACTAACCAAAGAGGACTTTTTATCCAATTTTGATATTTTTAAGAAAGTGAGTTGGCTTTCATTTACCTTGAGTTAGGAAACTGGGCTTTATTACCTGGATAGAACACTAATTAGTTCTCAACCTCTTTCTTGAAAAGTGATGGACAAGGAAGGTATAGACCCTATATAATCTGATGATCTATATATGTTGGATAGCTCTCTATCCTATGATGATCTATATCTGTTTTATAGCTCCATATCCTCTGATACGCTATACCTATTGCTTATCTGTGTATCCTCTGATGAGCTATATCTGTTGCATATCCTCTTTCCTTTGATGATCTTTATCTGCTGTATATCTCTCTATCCTCTGATAACCTATATCTGTTGTATATCCCTCTATTCTCTGATGAGCTACACCTGTTGTATATCTATCTCTCTCTATCCTCTGATAACCTATATCTGTTGTATATCCCTCTATTCTCTGATGAGCTATACCTGTTGTATATCTCTCTATATCTGTCTATCCTCTGATAATCTATATCTATTGTATCTCTCTCTATATCTGTCTATCCTCTGATAACCTGTATCTGTTGTATATCTCTCTATATCTGTCTATCCTCTGATAACTTATATCTGTTATATCTCTCTATATATCTGTCTATCCTCTGATATTATAAATCTGTTGTATATCTATTGTCTGATGGGCTATTTTGTATCTATCTTCTGATAACCTGTATCTGTTGAATATCTCGGTATCCTCTGAGGAAGTATACCTGTTATATATTTCTCTCCCTCAGTAGATTAGAAAGCTGATGCAGAGAAATAAAAATAGTAGAAACAATTATTTAGAATTACATGAATGAAGAGCTTCTTTTTCTCCCCCTAATCACCATGTTAACATTTTCTTTTAGAAGAAGCATGTTTTGAGCTATAAATCACATCCAGTGGAAGATGGTGGAACTGATAATCCTGCTTTCAACCACATTGAATTGAACTCAGATCAGAGTGGCAAGAGCAATGGGACTCGTTTGTGAAGCTGCTCTGATACTAGATATCCTTAAATGATGTTTCAATTTTATATGTTTTCTAAGATAATTGGATCAGGTTTTCTTTGTGTGTGTGTGTGTGTTGTATCATGAGTGTTTGGGGGATAAGTTTTTGTTAAAACAAAGTCTGGACTATCTTCATTTACTACATCATTAATTGATGTTACTCTGGAGTTTAGAATTCTGGCATTGACATTTCCCTCTCTTTCCTTTATTTCGATGAAGCTATAATTGTGAAAATTGTAACTACATAGATGCTGAAAGGCTAATACACACATATGCACATGTATTTGATTGTCAAAGGTATATTCTTAAATTTGGGTATTATTGAAAATATTTTCCATGCCTTGGTGCTAGCATATAAGTTTGGAAGTTTGCCAACATCACAATTCATCTTGAAAAGAGCTTTTTTCCCTCCTACCACATACACCATTCTTAGGGAGCAATGAGGTAACAGGTCTGTGTTGTCTAGATCTTTGCTTTTTATCCCCCTATCAGTCCAGGGCATATACTAACCTGCAAACTGATTCTGAATCAGGAAGGTGGTAATCAATAAGTATTCTGGCTGGGAAAGACCGTGGGCCCAATGATCAAAGTCTTCTTGGTGCTGTTCATTAATTCTTGTGCCTTTTGGCTTGTTTTCTAGAGTTTCTGGGCTTTGGCTGCTGATACTGCCTTTCTTAGACTGTAATTTTTATCTGCATGCCCAGTTTCTGACCTATCAACTTGGGTTTTATTGTGCACTCTAACTGAGCTTGTCTTCATAATTTTCTGTTTATTGCCCTGGGCTTGGATATGTCTCAAGACACTCATGTGAATCATGCCACCCCAAATCCTGGCTTATCAAGTCCCAGACTATAAATTATGAACTCCCATTAGCTTGGTACTAACATATACTTGATGTAGGTATTTATGGACTTGATGATCCAAGAATATTATATTCTTCAAAATGGTTAAGCTCCATGGAGTTAGATGACTACACTTAATGCTATTAAGTTGAACTTTTGAATGTCAACTAATTTGCAATCAATTAAAGATACATATGCCTAGAAATTTTGAAATTTCGGTATATTTATCCAGTTAAAGGGCTAAATTATATAAGCAAACACTACTTTTTTTAAAACGTCTGGACTCAAAAAATGCTTTGTTCCATGTTTTAAAATTTTTAAGTAGCAGTCTCAAAGTTGCTTAGCTGTTTATTTTGCTATGTTCCTAGCTAAGAGTTTGGTTATAGGAGTTCATCAATAACTTATTTTTTGTACAGTTCCCACATTAGATACTGTTTAAAAGTTCTTTTTTAAACTCAATTTTTTTTAGAAACATAAGAGAAATATTTAGATACATACAAATGTTTTTATGATTAAATAATTTTATGCTTATTTTCTGATACGTGTTATTTAGGTAATCATGCCCTGTACATTTAGAGGTTGCTAACTGACAATGTTAAGAAATTTAAAAAAAAAAAAAAGCCTGGGCATGATGGCTCATGCTTGTAATCTGAACATTTGGGAGGCTGAGGCAGGAAGATCGCTTGAGGTCCAGAGTTTAAGTCCAGCCTGGAAACATAGTTAGACCTCATCTCTACAAAAATAAAAAATAAAAATAAAAAAAACTTAGCTAGGCATGTTGCCACATACTTGTAGTCCCAGTTATTAGGGAAGCTGAGGTGGGAGGATAGCTTAAGCCCAGGATTTCAAGGCTGCATTGAGCTATGATTACACCACTGCACTCCAGCCTGGGTAACAGAGTGAAATCTTGTCTCTGGGAAAAAAAAAAAAAAAAAAAAAAAAGAGAGAGAGAGAGGGAGATTTATATAACATTTAAATTAACTGCATAAACCTGGGCAATGTTCAAAACTCCATCTCTACAAAAAAACACAAGAATTAGCCAGGCACGGTGGTGTGTGTCTGTAGTCTCAGCTACTTAGGAGGCTGAGGTGGGAAGATTGCTAGAGCCAGGAGGTCGAGGCTGCACTGAGCTGTGATTGCGCTACTGTACTCCACCCTGGGTGATGAAGCCCTAACTCAATAAATAAATAAATAAATAAATAATACAAATAAATTAACTATATATTCATGTATTTCTTATGTGGATATATGTTATTTTTTTTTCCTGCTTTTCTTTTTTTTTATTTTTTTATTATACTTTAAGTTTTAGGGTACATGCGCACATTGTGCAGGTTAGTTACATATGTATACATGTGACATGCTGGTGCGCTGCACCCACTAACTCGTCATCTAGCATTAGGTATATCTCCCAATGCTATCCCTACCCCCTCCCCCAACCCTACCACAGTCCCCAGAGTGGATATTCCCCTTCCTGTGTCCATGTGATCTCATTGTTCAATTCCCACCTATGAGTGAGAATATGCGGTGTTTGGTTTTTTGTTCTTGCCATAGTTTACTGAGAATGATGATTTCCAATTTCATCCATGTCCCTACAAAGGACATGAACTCATCATTTTTTATGGCTGCATAGTATTCCATGGTGTATAAGTGCCACATTTTCTTAATCCAGTCTATCATTGTTGGACATTTGGGTTGGTTCCAAGTCTTTGCTATTGTGAATAATGCTGCAATAAACATACGTGTGCATGTGTCTTTATAGCAGCATGATTTATAGTGCTTTGGGTATATACCCAGTAATGGGATGGCTGGGTCAAATGGTATTTCTAGTTCTAGATCCCTGAGGAATCGCCACACTGACTTCCACAGTGGTTGAACTAGTTTACAGTCCCACCAACAGTGTAAAAGTGTTCCTGTTTCTCCACATCCTCCCCAGCACCTGTTGTTTCCTGACTTTTTAATCATTGCCATTCTAACTGGTGTGAGATGGTATCTCATTGTGGTTTTGATTTGTATTTCTCTGATGGCCAGTGATGATGAGCATTTCTTCATGTGTTTTTTGGCTGCATAAATGTCTTCTTTTGAGAAGTGTCTGTTCATGTCCTTCGCCCACTTTTTGATGGGGTTGTTTGTTTTTTCTTGTAAATTTGTTTGAGTTCATTGTAGATTCTGGATATTAGCCCTTTGTCAGATGAGTAGGTTGCAAAAATTTTCTCCCATTTTGCAGGTTGCCTGTTCACTCTGATGGTAGTTTCTTTTGCTGTGCAGAAGCTCTTTAGTTTAATTAGATCCCATTTGTCAATTTTGTCTTTTGTTGCCATTGCTTTTGGTGTTTTGGACATGAAGTCCTTGCCCATGCCTATGTCCTGAATGGTAATGCCTAGGTTTTCTTCTAGGGTTTTTATGGTTTTAGGTCTAACGTTTAAGTCTTTAATCCATCTTGAATTGATTTTTGTATAAGGTGTAAGGAAGGGATCCAGTTTCAGCTTTCTACATATGGCTAGCCAGTTTTCCCAGCACCATTTATTAAATAGGGAATCCTTTCCCCATTGCTTGTTTTTCTCAGGTTTGTCAAAGATCAGATAGTTGTAGATATGAGGCGTTATTTCTGAGGGCTCTGTTCTGTTCCATTGATCTATATCTCTGTTTTGGTACCAGTACCATGCTGTTTTGGTTACTGTAGCCTTGTAGTATAGTTTGAAGTGAGGTAGCGTGATGCCTCCAGCTTTGTTCTTTTGGCTTAAGATTGCCTTGGCAATGCGGGCTCTTTTTTGGTTCCATATGAACTTTAAAGTAGTTTTTTCCAATTCTGTGAAGAAAGTCATTGGTAGCTTTATGGGGATAGCATTGAATCTGTAAATTACCTTGGGCAGTATGGCCATTTTCACGATATTGATTCTTCCTACCCATGAGCATGGAATGTTCTTCCATTTGTTTGTATCCTCTTTTATTTCCTTGAGCAGTGGTTTGTAGTTCTCCTTGAAGAGGTCCTTCACGTCCCTTGTAAGTTGGATTCCTAGGTATTTTATTCTCTTTGAAGCAATTGTGAATGGGAGTTCACTCATGATTTGGCTCTCTGTTTGTCTGTTGTTGGTGTATAAGAATGCTTGTGATTTTGGTACATTCATTTTGTATCCTGAGACTTTGCTGAAGTTGCTTATCAGCTTAAGGAGATTTTGGGCTGAGTCAATGGGGTTTTCTAGATATACAATCATGTCGTCTGCAAACAGGGACAATTTGACTTCCTCTTTTCCTAATTGAATACCCTTTATTTCCTTCTCCTGCCTAATTGCCCTGGCCAGAACTTCCAACACTACGTTTAATAGGAGTGGTGAGAGAGGGCATCCCTGTCTTGTGCCAGTTTTCAAAGGGAATGCTTCCAGTTTTTGCCTATTCAGTATGATATTGGCTGTAGGTCTGTCATAGATAGCTCTTATTATTTTGAAATACATCCCATCAATACCTAATTTATTGAGAGTTTTTAGCATGAAGGGTTGTTGAATTTTGTCAAAGGCTTTTTCTGCATCTATTGAGATAATCATGTGGTTTTTGTCTTTGGCTCTGTTTATATACTGGATTACATTTATTGATTTGCATATATTGAACCAGCCTTGCATCCCAGGGATGAAGCCCACTTGATCATGGTGGATAAGCTTTTTGATGTGCTGCTGGATTCGTTTTGCCAGTATTTTATTGAGGATTTTTGCATCAATGTTCATCAAGGATATTGGTCTAAAATTCTCTCTTTTGGTTGTGTCTCTGCCCGGCTTTGTTATCAGAATGATGCTGGCCTCATAAAATGAGTTAGGGAGGATTCCCTCTTTTTCTATTGATTGGAATAGTTTCAGAAGGAATGGTACCAGTTCCTCCTTGTACCTCTGGTAGAATTCGGCTGTCAATCCATCTGGTCCTGGACTCTTTTTGGTTGGTAAACTATTGATTATTGCCACAATTTCAGCTCCTGTTATTGGTCTATTCAGAGATTCAACTTCTTCCTGGTTTAGTCTTGGGAGAGTGTATGTGTCGCGGAATTTATCCATTTCTTCTAGATTTTCTAGTTTATTTGCGTAGAGTTCTTTGTAGTATTCTCTGATGGTAGTTTGTATTTCTGTGGGATCGGTGGTGATATCCCCTTTATCATTTTTTATTGTGTCTATTTGATTCTTCTCTCTTTTTTTCTTTATTAGTCTTGCTAGCGGTCTATCAATTTTGTTGATCCTTTCAAAAAACCAGCTCCTGGATTCATTAATTTTGGAAGGGTTTTTTGTGTCTCTATTTCCTTCAGTTCTGCTCTGATTTTAGTTATTTCTTGCCTTCTGCTAGCTTTTGAATGTGTTTGCTCTTGCTTTTCTAGTTTTTTTTTTTTTTTTATTATACTCTAAGTTTTAGGGTACATGTGCACATTGTGCAGGTTAGTTACATATGTATACATGTGACATGCTGGTGCGCTGCACCCACCAACGTGTCATCTAGCATTAGGTATATCTCCCAATGCTATCCCTCCCCCCTCCCCCGACCCCACCACAGTCCCCAGAGTGTGATATTCCCCTTCCTGTGTCCATGTGATCTCATTGTTCAATTCCCACCTATGAGTGAGAATATGCGGTGTTTGGTTTTTTGTTCTTGCGATAGTTTACTGAGAATGATGGTTTCCAATTTCATCCATGTCCCTACAAAGGACATGAACTCATCATTTTTTATGGCTGTATAGTATTCCATGGTGTATATGTGCCACATTTTCTTAATCCAGTCTATCATTGTTGGACATTTGGGTTGGTTCCAAGTCTTTGCTATTGTGAATAGTGCCGCAATAAACATACGTGTGCATGTGTCTTTATAGCAGCATGATTTATAGTCCTTTGGGTATATACCCAGTAATGGGATGGCTGGGTCAAATGGTATTTCTAGTTCTAGATCCCTGAGGAATCGCCACACTGACTTCCACAATGGTTGAACTAGTTTACAGTCCCACCAACAGTGTAAAAGTGTTCCTATTTCTCCACATCCTCTCCAGCACCTGTTGTTTCCTGACTTTTTAATGATTGCCATTCTAACTGGTGTGAGATGATATCTCATAGTGGTTTTGATTTGCATTTCTCTGATGGCCAGTGATGATGAGCATTTCTTCATGTGTTTTTTGGCTGCATAAATGTCTTCTTTTGAGAAGTGTCTGTTCATGTCCTTCGCCCACTTTTTGATGGGGTTGTTTGTTTTTTTCTTGTAAATTTGTTTGAGTTCATTGTAGATTCTGGATATTAGCCCTTTGTCAGATGAGTAGGTTGCGAAAATTTTCTCCCATGTTGTAGGTTGCCTGTTCACTCTGATGGTAGTTTCTTTTGCTGTGCAGAAGCTCTTTAGTTTAATTAGATCCCATTTGTCAATTTTGTCTTTTGTTGCCATTGCTTTTGGTGTTTTGGACATGAAGTCCTTGCCCACGCCTATGTCCTGAATGGTAATGCCTAGGTTTTCTTCTAGGGTTTTTATGGTTTTAGGTCTAACGTTTAAATCTTTAATCCATCTTGAATTGATTTTTGTATAAGGTGTAAGGAAGGGATCCAGTTTCAGCTTTCTACATATGGCTAGCCAGTTTTCCCAGCACCATTTATTAAATAGGGAATCCTTTCCCCATTGCTTGTTTTTCTCAGGTTTGTCAAAGATCAGATAGTTGTAGATATGCGGCATTATTTCTGAGGGCTCTGTTCTGTTCCATTGATCTATATCTCTGTTTTGGTACCAGTACCATGCTGTTTTGGTTACTGTAGCCTTGTAGTATAGTTTGAAGTCAGGTAGTGTGATGCCTCCAGCTTTGTTCTTTTGGCTTAGTATTGACTTGGCGATGTGGGCTCTTTTTTGGTTCCATATGAACTTTAAAGTAGTTTTTTCCAATTCTGTGAAGAAAGTCATTGGTAGCTTGATGGGGATGGCATTGAATCTGTAAATTACCTTGGGCAGTATGGCCATTTTCACGATATTGATTCTTCCTACCCATAAGCATGGAATGTTCTTTCATTTGTTTGTGTCCTCTTTTATTTCCTTGAGCAGTGGTTTGTAGTTCTCCTTGAAGAGGTCCTTCACATCCCTTGTAAGTTGGATTCCTAGGTATTTTATTCTCTTTGAAGCAATTGTGAATGGGAGTTCACTCATGATTTGGCTCTCTGTTTGTCTGTTGTTGGTGTATAAGAATGCTTGTGATTTTTGTACATTGATTTTGTATCCTGAGACTTTGCTGAAGTTGCTTATCAGCTTAAGGAGATTTTGGGCTGAGACAATGGGGTTTTCTAGATAAACAATCATGTCGTCTGCAAACAGGGACAATTTGACTTCCTCTTTTCCTAATTGAATACCCTTTATTTCCTTCTCCTGCCTGATTGCCCTGGCCAGAACTTCCAACACTATGTTGAATAGGAGTGGTGAGAGAGGGCATCCCTGTCTTGTGCCAGTTTTCAAAGGGAATGCTTCCAGTTTTTGCCCATTCAGTATGATATTGGCTGTGGGTTTGTCATAGATAGCTCTTATTATTTTGAAATACGTCCCATCAATACCTAATTTATTGAGAGTTTTTAGCATGAAGGGTTGTTGAATTTTGTCAAAGGCTTTTTCTGCATCTATTGAGATAATCATGTGGTTTTTGTCTTTGGCTCTGTTTATATGCTGGATTACATTTATTGATTTGCGTATATTGAACCAGCCTTGCATCCCAGGGATGAAGCCCACTTGATCATGGTGGATAAGCTTTTTGATGTGCTGCTGGATTCGGTTTGCCAGTATTTTATTGAGGATTTTTTCATCAATGTTCATCAAGGATATTGGTCTAAAATTCTCTTTTTTGGTTGTGTCTCTGCCTGGCTTTGGTATCAGAATGATGCTGGCCTCATAAAATGAGTTAGGGAGGATTCCCTCTTTTTCTATTGATTGGAATAGTTTCAGAAGGAATGGTACCAGTTCCTCCTTGTACCTCTGGTAGAATTCGGCTGTGAATCCATCTGGTCCTGGACTCTTTTTGGTTGGTAAACTATTGATTATTGCCACAATTTCAGAGCCTGTTATTGGTCTATTCAGAGATTCAACTTCTTCCTGGTTTAGTCTTGGGAGAGTGTATGTGTCGAGGAATGTATCCAATTCTTCTAGATTTTCTAGTTTATTTGCGTAGAGTTGTTTGTAGTATTCTCTGATGGTAGTTTGTATTTCTGTGGGATCGGTGGTGATATCCCCTTTATCATTTTTTATTGTGTCTATTTGATTCTTCTTTTTTTCTTTATTAGTCTTGCTAGCGGTCTATCAATTTTGTTGATCCTTTCAAAAAACCAGCTCCTGGATTCATTGATTTTTTGAAGGGTTTTTTGTGTCTCTATTTCCTTCAGTTCTGCTCTGATTTTAGTTATTTCTTGCCTTCTGCTAGCTTTTGAATGTGTTTGCTCTTGCTTTTCTAGTTTTTTTAATTGTGATGTTAGGGTGTCAATTTTGGATCTTTCCTGCTTTCTCTTCTGGGCATTTAGTGCTGTAAATTTCCCTCTACACACTGCTTTGAATGCGTCCCAGAGATTCTGGTATGTTGTGTCTTTGTTCTCGTTGGTTTCAAAGAACATCTTTATTTCTGCCTTCATTTCGTTATGTATCCAGTAGTCATTCAGGAGCAGGTTGTTCAGTTTCCATGTAGTTGAGCGGTTTTGAGTGAGATTCTTAATCCTGAGTTCTAGTTTGATTGCACTGTGGTCTGAGAGATAGTTTGTTATAATCTCTGTTCTTTTACATTTGCTGAGGAGAGCTTTACTTCCAAGTATGTGGTCAATTTTGGAATAGGTGTGGTGTGATGCTGAAAAAAATGTATATTCTGTTGATTTGGGGTGGAGAGTTCTGTAGATGTCTATTAGGTCCGCTTGGTGCAGAGTTGAGTTCAATTCCTGGGTATCCTTGTTCACTTTCTGTCTCGTTGATCTGTCTAATGTTGACAGTGGGGTGTTAAAGTCTCCCATTATTAATGTGTGGGAGTCTAAGTCTTTTTGTAGGTCACTCAGGACTTGCTTTATGAATCTGGGTGCTCCTGTATTGGGTGTATATATATTTAGGATAGTTAGCTCTTCTTGTTGAATTGATCCCTTTACCATTATGTAACGGCCTTCTTTGTCTCTTTTGATCTTTGTTGGTTTAAAGTCTGTTTTATCCGAGACTAGGATTGCAACCCCTGCCTTTTTTTGTTTTCCATTTGCTTGGTAGATCTTCCTTCATCCTTTTATTTTGAGCCTATGTGTGTCTCTGCACGTGAGATGGGTTTCCTGAATACAGCACACTGATGGGTCTTGACTCTTTATCCAATTTGCCAGCCTGTGTCTTTTAATTGGAGCATTTAATCCATTTACATTTAAAGTTAATATTGTTATGTGTGAATTTGATCCTGTCATTATGATGTTAGCTGGTGATTTTGCTCGTTAGTTAATGCAGTTTCTTCCTAGTCTCGATGGTCTTTACATGTTGGCATGATTTTGCAGCGGCTGGTACCGGTTGTTCCTTTCCATGTTTAGCGCTTCCTTCAGGAGCTCTTTTAGGGCAGGCCTGGTGGTGACAAAATCTCTCAGCATTTGCTTGTCTGTAAAGTATTTTATTTCTTCTTCACTTATGAAGCTTAGTTTGGCTGGATATGAAATTCTGGGTTGAAAATTCTTTTCTTTAAGAATGTTGAATATTGGCCCCCACTCTCTTCTGGCTTATAGGGTTTCTGCCGAGAGATCTGCTGTTAGTCTGATGGGCTTCCCTTTGAGGGTAACCTGACCTTTCTCTCTGGCTGCCCTTAACATTTTTTCCTTCATTTCAACTTTGGTGAATCTGACAATTATGTGTCTTGGAGTTGCTCTTCTTGAGGAGTATCTTTGTGGCGTTCTCTGTATTTCCTGAATCTGAACGTTGGCCTGCCTTGCTAGATTGGGGAAGTTCTCCTGGATAATATCCTGCAGAGTGTTTTCCAACTTGGTTCCATTCTCCCCATCACTTTCCGGTACACCGATCAGACGTAGATTTGGTCTTTTCACATAGTCCCATATTTCTTGGAGGCTTTGCTCATTTCTTTTTATTCTTTTTTCTCTAAACTTCCCTTCTCGCTTCATTTCATTCATTTCATCTTCCATCGCTGATACCCTTTCTTCCAGTTGATCGCATCGGCTCCTGAGGCTTCTGCATTCTTCACATAGTTCTCGAGCCTTGGTTTTCAGCTCCATCAGCTCCTTTAAGCACTTCTCTGTATTGGTTATTCTAGTTATACATTCTTCTAAATTTTTTTCAAAGTTTTCAACTTCTTTGCCTTTGGTTTGAATGTCCTCCCATAGCTCAGAGTAATTTGATCGTCTGAAGCCTTCTTCTCTCAGCTCGTCAAAGTCATTCTCCATCCAGCTTTGTTCCGTTGCTGGTGAGGAACTGCGTTCCTTTGGAGGAGGAGAGGCGCTCTGCGTTTTAGAGTTTCCAGTTTTTCTGTTCTGTTTTTTCCCCATCTTTGTGGTTTTATCTACTTTTGGTCTTTGATGATGGTGATGTACAGATGGGTTTTTGGTGTGGATGTCCTTTCTGTTTGTTAGTTTTCCTTCTAACAGACAGGACCCTCAGCTGCAGGTCTGTTGGAATACCCTGCCCTGTGAGGTGTCAGTGTGCCCCTGCTGGGGGGTGCCTCCCAGTTAGGCTGCTCAGGGGTCAGGGACCCACTTGAGGAGGCAGTCTGCCCGTTCTCAGATCTCCAGCTGCGTGCTGGGAGAACCACTGCTCTCTACAAAGCTGTCAGACAGGGACATTTAATTCTGCAGAGGTTACTGCTGTCTTTTTGTTTGTCTGTGCCCTGCCCCCAGAGGTGGAGCCTACAGAGGCAGGCAGGCCTCCTTGAGCTGTGGTGGGCTCCACCCAGTTCGAGCTTCCCGGCTGTTTTGTTTACCTAATCAAGCCTGGGCAATGGCGGGCGCCCCTCCCCCAGCCTCGCTGCCGCCTTGCAGTTTGATCTCAGACTGCTGTGCTAGCAATCAGCGAGATTCCGTGGGCGTAGGACCCTCCGAGCCAGGTGCAGGATATAATCTCGTGGTGCGCCGTTTTTTAAGCCGGTCCGAAAAGCGCAATATTCGGGTGGGAGTGACCTGATTATCCAGGTGCGTCTGTCACCCCTTTTTTTGACTCGGAAAGGGAACTCCCTGTCCCCTTGCGCTTCCCAAGTGAGGCAATGCCTCGCCCTGCTTCGGCTTGCGCATGGTGCACGCACCCACTGACCCGCGCCCACTGTCTGGCACTCCCTAGTGAGATGAACCCGGTACCTCAGATGGAAATGCAGAAATCACCTGTCTTCTGCGTCGCTCACGCTGGGAGCTGTATACCGGAGCTGTTCCTCTTTGGCCATCTTGGCTCCTCCCCCGGTATTCCTTCTTTTCTTCCACTGTGAGAGTTACTTAAAGCTCGGCGTCCGTGATGGTCTAGGGGGCTTCTGAGGCGATCGGGCAGTGTCCGTCTTCAGCCGCTAAGCCGAGAAGATCTGGGAAGGAGTCAGTCAGAGAGCCTTGGGCCAGAGTTCCAGGGCCTCTGGGAGTGGCTGCCAGGTGAGTTGAACAGTCCGATTTTCAGTGGGGTCCCACACAGATGGGACATGGCTTAGGAGGAATCCCAGGCTGTGGGCATTCCTTGGCCCAGTGGCCAGATTCGATATATGTTATTTTTAAATCACTGTATTTGTAAGCAAATATCAAATTTAGGGAAGTCTTTCTACAATGTTTTAATAAGTAGAAAGATATGTTTGTTTTACATGAATGTGTTTTGAACTATGGTTATTTGTTTAATAATTCTAAATGCATATGTGTGTAAAATGCTTCAATTTTGGAAATCAAAGTCAGGCCATTTTTTTGTCTTACCTGATTGCCAGGGAGTTACGCCATGTATTCTTAATGAGAAACATGATGTTTCCATTCTTGTTCACTTTCCTTTAGACAGAATATATTTTTGTGACATTTAGAACTATCAATATTTTAGTTTTATAAACACAGGAGAATGCCTGATAGAATTCTTAAGAAAGCAATGTAATAGTATTAGCTCAAAATAATTTATCTTAATTTCTAAATTTTTAGATAAAACCAAATAAGGGTTAAATGTTAATCCATTGTCACTTAAATTACATAATCTGCTACTCTTAGTTATTTGAATGACAAAAACACCAGTGGGGGAAAATCCATACAAGTTGTCAATGTCTGTTTTGCTGTTGACAAGTTGTATACCCTTAAATTGACCCCTAATCTCCTCTAACAATGGTACATAGCACTAAGCTCCTACCTACCTCACAGAAATAATGTCAGTAGAAAAGATCAGGTTGAGTTCTTTGGCAGAATAGCACTTTACTAACTCAAATAGTGTTACTTAATATTTCAATATGATTGGGAATCAAAGTTTGAGACAAAAGTCATTTGCCAGTTTTAAAAAATAGAGCTGTTAATTTGCAATATCATGATGTAGAGATAGTGCCTTCTCTTAAAAATGTGTGTCATGGAAATAGTAAAATATATTTAGGAGTCAGCAGGATTATTCCAACAGAGGGAGTGTAAACTTTAAAGAAAAATATGATTCGGGAGGCTGAGGTGGGTGGATCATGAGGTCAGGAGTTCGAGACCAGCCTGGCCAACATAGTGAAACCCCGTCTCTACTAAAAATACAAAAATTAGCTGGGCATGGTGGCACACACCTGTAGTCCCAGCTACTCGGGAGGCTGAGGCAGGAGAATCGCTTGAACCTGGGAGGTGGAGGTTGTGGTGAGCCGAGATCACACCACTGCACTCCAGCCTGGGCAACAGAGCGAGATTCCATCTCAAAAAATACATATATATTTTTGACATATATAATATATATATGTCAGTAATATTCACCCCATAGAAAATGAAAATTTTATAGGAAAGATGTAAAACAGCATAAATTCACATTCATCTTATTAGTTGCTTATGCAATCATTTTCTCTCCAGATCATTGGTTCTCAAAGGGGACAATTTTGCCTCTCAGGGGATATTTGGAAATGTCTGGAGACATTTTTGGATGGCACTAGTGGTATCTAGTAGGTAGAATTTAGGGAAACTGGTAAACATCTCCTGAGGCCTGCAAGGGTGCTCTCCTCCTCCACAACAAAAAATTATCCAGCCTAAGATGTCCATAGTGTAGAGTTGGAGAAACCTTGCCCTGGAGAATAAGGTTGATTTTCTTGAAGTCACACAGCCTGGTTGTGTTTCTATAGGGAAACAGCCTGAAAATTCTATCTGAATGTTCTCATCTACAGGTAAGGATGAAAATGCCACTGGCATATCTAATATTATGATGCAGAACAATGACCATGTATTTTCACAGCATTATGAAATTATTAAGGACCATAGAATTGTGAATAATTATTTAAAGAAGTCTTAGGACAGTTTAGATTCTCCACATGCCTTCTAATATTGACACACATTAGGATGAAGGAAATATTAAATACATACATGTAAAGATTTTGAATTTTTTTTCAACTGAGCGTCCAGGATATAAATACAAGGAACAGGGAGGGGGTTGAGATGGCGGAAGTAACTCTGTATTGATTCTTATAGGAAATTCTGAGTTTTTCCATAAAGACAAAGAGTTTATTGAGTACATGAGCATTTAGTTACTGAAAATTCACTGTATGCTTTTCTAAGTTTTGAGCTTATTGTTTATGAAATCCTTGAGAAAGTTGAACATTTCAATGTAAAAACATGGTTGTGAATCTGAATTTTCAACTTGCTGATTAAACTCCCTGCAAGTTTCTTTGCAGTTGTCTGTTTTGGGGGGATAAATGTCAAATTGAATACAGTTAATTTTATCAGCCTTTACAAAAAGATACTTCCACCCTATTTACAACATAAAGGACTATTCCTAAGTGCTGTCTGTAGATTACAAAAAGTATAAACATGTAGAATTTTTGTCACAGAAGACTATTTTATTTTTAATGAATTAACACCGTATTGAAAAATAAAAAGTACAAAAAAGTACAAACTTTTCTGTCCCAATACATTATAAAACGTTTTATTTTAATAGCTTTAGAGGTACAGTTTTTGGTTACATGGGTGAATCGTATAGTGGTGAAGTGTGAAGGTTCAGTGCACTGGTCACCTGAGTAGTGTACATGGTGCCCAATAGATAGTTTTTCATTCCTCTTCCTCAGCCTCCCCACCTTCTGAGTCTCTAATGTCCATTATACCACTCTGTATGCCTTTGTGTACTCATAGCTTAGCTCCCACTTACAAATGAAAACATGTGGTATTTGCTTTTCCATTCCTGACTTATGTCACTTAGAATAATAGCCTCCGGTTCCATCTAAGTTGCTGCAATAGACATTATTTCATTCTTTTTTATCCCTGAGTAGTACTCCATGGTGTATGTGTATGTATATACATATATATATATATATATCTCACATTTCATATATATACTCACATTTTTTATCCACTCATCAGTTGATAGGCACTTAGGTTGATTCCATATCCTTGCAATTGTGAATCGTGCTGCGATAAACATGTGCATACAGGTGTCTTTTTGACATAGTGACTTCTTTTCCTTTAGGCAGATACCCAATAGTTGTTCCAATCCAATTTTTAATTGGGGTAATTTAATCTTTTAAAAGTTGGTCCAAGTTAATTGTTGATAATATCAGGACTTTAAAAGAGAAACAGAAGTTCTTAACCTGAGTGTTTTTTCTTTCTTTTGAAAAAATATCAGTTTGAAGTTTTAAATTTCTATTTTATATCTCAAAGCTATAGTTTTGCTTGTGGGGTATAAAATTAAGTGGACAACTAAGACAGAGAACTTAGGTGCCAAAGATGACCATGTTTATACTCAATCACCCAATTTGGAACCACATCATCAAAGAAGCAGTTGCCAGTGTTCCCCCTAGTGTGAAGTTTCCACTTCTCTCAGTTAAAGCACCTGTCTGTCATCTCATTTAAAGCACCTACTTACTTCCTACCTATTCAAGTCTTGATTAAGCAAAATGCAGATTTTCCATATACAGGAAATTTGGCATAACCTTTCACTTTAAAGGTCAAATCAGGTCTCCATCATTTAAATTCATCAAAGAAAGAATATTTTGAAGTTGTTGACTTTGTTACTCATTCCCATTTTGCAATCATGTATTGTTATTCCCTTCCTCATTTAAAAAGGCTTCTTTTACCCCTTACCCTTGTTTAGGCTGCACCACCAAAGGTCATTGGATATCAATGGATGGGATTCACTCCTGGAGCTCCAGACTCACTCACACATGTGCATCAAGGATTCAGGATTCTCTCCATTTCTGCTTTCCTTAACTTTCCAAAGCCAGACCTTTATTCTCTTCTGTATTAGGATCTGGTCTGTCACTGGGCTTTTCTCATTCTATTCTAGAGCTTCTTAAACTTCAGTGTTCATCAGAAGCACCTGGAGGAGCTGGTTAAAACACAGATTGCTGGGCTTCACCCCAGAGTGTCTGATTTAACAGCTCTCAGGTGGGTCCTGAGAATTTACCTTTCTCAAAATTTTCCTGAGGATGATGGTGCTTCTGGTCTGGGAGTCACACTTTGGAAACTACTGTTCCAGTCCACAGTTGTCTCTTTGGAAACCGAATCTGATGATTCACTCCTCTGCTTGAAGATCTCTATGACTACAGAATAAAAGCCCCATCCCTTAGCCTGATGGGCTTCTCAGAAGTATTTATTGGTACCCTCCTTCACATGTTACATAGGCTTGTCACATTGAGCTTCTCATATGTGCTAAATATACCACCATTTTCTTGCCTTCTTGTTATTTTACATGCTATCCTCTTTGTCTAGGCTACCCATCCTCTGTCTACTTCTCAGATCTTTGAAAAACACCTGCTCAGTTGTTAGAACCCAGCTTACCTATCACTTCTCTAACTCTTGACACATTCCATGGGTGATCGTGATCTTATACTTACCTCCGGCTCTAGTCATTTTGTTGTACTGTACATGTATTAATGTACACAGCTATCTCTTAGGTGGCACATAGTCTCTATTCCTGATGTTTCCATCCAGGTGGATGAACTGTCCATTAGAGTAACTTTCTGGATCTCTCTCTGCCCCTTTCCTGCTTATTCTCCCTATGTAAACAGGAAGTGACTTTTGTGATCAGTAAGTCTGAGAGAGGAATCAGACATGTATATCTTAGTCCTTTCCACTTCCATTTCTTTTTGGCATCTGCCTGCTTAAAGAATATGCATGATCTATGCCTTACAACTCCTTGCTCCCATGATCTCTTTGACCTCTATTACTCCATGCCAGGTCTTGCCATTCCTTAAAAACATGTTCCCACCTCACGGTCATGTGCATTGCTTACAACACCCTACTCAATATCCATTTGGCTCACTCTTTCAGCTCCTACAGGTCTTTATTCAGATGTCATCTTCTAGGTGAGGTATTCTCTGATCTCTATTTAAAATTGCAACTTTCCTCCGCCATGCATCCTATCCCCCTTGCTTGCTTTATTTCTCTCCCATCTCTATTATCATTGAACACACAATATTTTACTTGTTTGTTGTATGTCATTCCCCAATAAAATAAAAACTCCAAGAGGTGAGGATTTTTGCTGGTTCTGTTTAGTAATTTCTCTAGCAGATGTAGAACATGGAAGGCACTCAATACAAATTGGAATACATGCTTTTGGTCATGAGATAAGGGTTAGTGATAAAAATAGCCTGCTTCCATAGGGATGCTTGGGGTCTTGACACCAGCCGGTGACTAGATATGTGTAATTCTCAGATTTAGTGTTAGGGAAACTTTGTTGACTTGTAGTTAGTCATGTCTTCCAATCATCCATTACCAATAATATTAGTAATATTGTAATAAATAAGAGACTCATCTCTACCATCACTGAGTTTATTGTCTAATACAGAAAATGGGCAAAATACAAGTAGTTACAGTAAAGTGTTGTAACCTGAACACAGATGTGCCTGCTCGCCACTTGAAAACTAAAATAAAGAGAGAAGAGAGTTGGTGGGAGGAAACGCAGGTTTATTTGGAGAACCAGCAGACCAAGAAGATGATAAACTGTTGTCCTAAAGTACCATCTTAAGTCAGTACAAATTGCAGATTATTTTTATGTTAAGAACAGGGGGAAGGAAAGGTGGGTGGGATCAAGAGGTGACTGACAACTGCAGACATCTGGGCACCAACAAGGGTCTGAGGAGGTTGAGAACTTCTATTTCCTTGGTCAGGTCACAATGCTCTTATAAATATTTAACAAAACATAGTTGTTTACATACTTTCCCTTTAATCACAAAGTTAGTTTCAAAAACTACATGATTGTTTCTTTGCATATGATATGGTTTGTATTTATGTCCCCACTCAAATTTCATGTGGAATTGTAATCCCTACTGTTGGAGAAGAGGCCTGCTGGAAGTTGATTGGATCATGAGGCCGACTTCCCCATTGCTGTTCTTGTGATAATGAATGAGTTCTCATGAGATCCGGTTGTTTAGAAGTGTGTAGCACCTCCCCTTTTGCTCTTTTGCCTCCTGCTCCAGCCATGTAAGATGTGCCTCCTTCCTCTTTGCCTTCTGCCATGATTGTAAGTTTCCTGAGGCCTCCTCAGCCATGCTTTCTGTACAGCCTGCAGAATCATGAGCCAATTAAACCTCTTTGCTTTATAAATTACCCAGTCTCAGGTAGTTTCTTACATTTAATAGCAATGCGAGAACGGACTAATTCAGCATATTATCTCACTGCTCTAAAATGATCCTAACCTACATGCAGGAATGGGTAAAGGCTCCTTAAACAAAAATGGAGTTATATATGTTAGTTCTTTTGCTGTTTCACTGTTACAGTGTGGTAAGTATTGCAATTGGAGCATTGCATGTGCTATAATCCAAACACGTGCTAAGTGACATAAGTATCAACGAGGGAGTAACAGGGATGGACAAAAAGGGACCAAATCCAGCTATAGAATACTTTCCTGACTAGATGAGGAATAAGCTCAGATTTGAAAGATGTATAGTCATTAGCTAAGCAAAGGAAAGGAAAAGAAGAAGTGGTTTAGGCAAAGGGAACCACATGTTCTAAAGCCTAGAGGACTGAGGGATCATGGTGCATAAGAAGAGTATGTATATAGGGTAGAGTGAATGATAACATGGGCACCAGCCAGACTATGGGAAGTCATGCTTGAGGTTTTAGACTTTATCCTTATGGGGATAAGAAACCACTGAAGAGTTGTAGGAAGAGACGTACGATATGATCAAATTTGGATTTCTGAAAGTTCAGTTCACCATAGCTATAAAGTGAAGAATGGATGGGTGGAAGGGAGTATGCCTGAGGATCAGGAGACTATTTAGGAGTCTGTGTTGTAGTCTTTGTGAGAGAAAATGGTGGCCTAGATTATGATGGTGGTAATGAGGATGAAGAAAGATAGATACATGTGAGAGGATTGAATTGACAGGACTTGGTACATTATTGGAAAGAAAGATGTCAGAAATTACTTATGTTTTTCTGCTTAAGCATTTTGGGTGGACATGGAGCCATTCAAAAGGTAGTTACCATAGAAAACTTGGTGTAGGATAGGATGCTCAGTTTCAGACCTATTGGGTTCCAGCAGCAATTCTCAACCTAGGGAAGTTCTTAAAAATAAAATAAATTAAATCTGTGAGTTATTAGTGATACTAAAATCATAATCAATTTGTAACCATTCCATTTATCCTTTTCTTCTCCTTCTTCTGCTCCTTCTTCATCATTGTCCTCATCTCCTTCTCCTTCTACTATTGTTTTATTCATGTTGGGGTTCCATAGACTATTAGTAGCTGATTATTTGTGGGAAGGGAAGGTATTTGAGTGTCTTACTAATTTTCTTTTATTAGGTTGGTACAAAAGTAATTGCAGTTTTTGTTAATATTATTTTTCTGACATATTTTCCAGAAACTTCAAATTTTCTGCTAAATTTTTCAGAACATTTGTTAATCTGAAAATATTAGATTAACTCTCATATGACAATTTATCTGGTTAACAAATTTTAGTTTGAGAGTTCACCCAACATTTTTAAATATTCTTCCATTATCTTTTAGTATCTATTCCTGATGTTGAGATGTTTGCTGTCTGCCTAGTTGTTATCCCTTGGAGATACAGTAGCCTTTGATATATGTGGATAATTGGTTCTAGGTCTCCCAACGTAACCAAAATTTGCATATACTCAAGTCCTGTATTCAGCCCTGCAGAACTCGTGTATACAAAAAGTTGACTCTCCATATATGCAAGTTTCACCTCCTGCAAATACTTCATTTTTGGTATATTTTCGATCTGCATTCATTTGAAAAAAAATCCATGTAAAAGTGGAACCTTCCAGTTCAAACCTGTGTTGTTCCAAGGGGCAACTGTAATCTCTCTTTTCTTTGTGAAAGCATTTAAAATTTACTCCTTATTGTGCTTTTTCTCTAGTTTTGCCACAATGAGTCTAGGTATGAATTTGTTTTTATTTCCTCCTTGGGACTTTTGTTTCTTCAATGTAGAATCATACCTTTAATATTGGAAATATTTTTGGTATTATGTCTGAATATTTCCCCTTTCCCATATTTTTTCTATTCTGTACCTCTTTAATTCCTGTTAGTTGTATGTTGTACCTTTTAAATCCTGTCCTTCGTATCTCCTAATTTGGTTCATCTTTTCCATCTTTTTGTATTTATGTGATGCATCCTGGACAATTTTCTCAGATATTTTCTTTCATTCCCCTTCCCAGCTGTTTCTAATCTGCTATTAATTTGTCCATACAGTTCTCCATTTCAGTGACTTAACTTTTTTTCATTTCTAGAGTTGGATATGCTTCTTTTTCAAAATTTGCTATTCTTTAATTCATAATATTGGATTTTTTCATTATTATTTTCAATCATTATTTTATTACTCCAATAATTTTAACCATATTTATGACCCCTTAATTTTGTTATATTATCTGAAGTTAGTGGGGTGCTAGTTCTTTTATTTGTTCATTTGCACACTCTCTGTCTTGGTGGTTCCTTTTCTTATGTAGTTGATCTTTTTTATCTGGGAGTTTATCTTCAGAAGAGGCTGCATTTTTTCTAGTGACAGTTCCTTGGGCTGTGGTTAATGAAAGAGTCCCTACATAGTTTCAAATTAGATTTTGCTGTGTCCTAGTTGTTTCAATGGCCTTCAAACAATTTTACATTATCATCTCAGGTTAGGGCTTTTCTCTTAGGTTCGTAATATAAATTTGCATCCTAGACCCATGGCACAAAACTTAAGCACAGGGCTTAAATTTTGATGCCTCAAGTAACTTTTGTTTGTTTTCCATCCAAAGAGTTGGCTAGAAGCAAACTTTCTTAATATTTAATTAAGGCTTTTGGTATGCTTTTAAAAATCCCCTTTTAAGTGATCAGGCAGTTCTTTAAGATATCAGGCTTTTGATGATACCTGGAATCAAGTTCTAGCTTCTTTACATTCTGTAGGCAGAAACCTCATTTTTCCTCCCATGAAAACATAAGAACTCAGCAGATCTACACCTGCACTTATTCCTCAACATCTCCTGGCTTCATTTCTTTGCTTTGATTTCCTTTTCAATTCTGGGATTGGAGCTTTTCTTTTATTCTTATAAATTTGACTATGCATTAAAATGTTTATTTTGTGACATTTTACCCAGAATTTCAATGGTTTTGTAGCAGCCAGGAAAGTCTAGCTCTCTGTTATGATTCTTTTAACTTGTTCAGTCCTGGGTTGTGGAGGTATGAGGAGCTATCCATCACACATGGCAATTTCAAAGCAACATGCAAAATACAATAATATAAGCGGAACACATGAAAGCTGGAGGACAGTGAGAGATTTTTGGTTTTGCATAATAGCTTTACTGAGACATAATTAACATGCCATACAACTCACTCATTTATGTGCAACTCAATGGTTTTTGTATTTACAGAGTTGTACAATTATCACCACAATCTTAGAAAATTTTCATTACCCCCAGAAGAAACCCCATATCCATTTGTATTCAGTCTCCATTTTGTCCCATTCACTCCCTTTAGCCCTAGGCAACCACTAATCTACTTTCTGTCTCTGTAGATTTGTCTATTCTGAACACTTCATATACATAAAATTACATTCTATGTGGTCTTCTGTGATTGGCTCCTTTCATGTAGCATAATGTTTTCAAGGTTTATCTATGTAGCATGTATCAGTATTTCATTCATTTTTATGGCCTAATAAAATCATGCACCACATAATGACCTTTTGGTCAATGACAGACCTCACACTTGACAGTGGTCCCATAAGATTATAATGCAGTTGAAAAATTCCTATTGCCTAGTGACATCACAGCCGTTGTAATATCATACAGTCATAAAGCAACTCATTACCTTTTCTGTGTTTAGGTACACACATATTTACCATTGTGTTATAGTTGCCTACAGTATTCAGTATAGTAACATGCTATACACGTTTGTATCCTAGGGACAGCCGGCTATATAGCATATAGCCTAAGTGTGTAGTAGGCTATACCATCTAAGTTTGTGTAAGTACACTCTATGATGTTCACACAATGATAAAATTACTCAATGATTAAATTCTTAGAATGTATCCCAATTGTTAAGTGACATATGATTGTATTCCATTGTATGGCTATCCTATATTTTATTTATGCATGAATCAGTTGATGAACATTTGTGTTGTTTCCACTTATTGGTTATTAAGAAACATGTTGCTCTGAACATTTGTGTACAAGTTTCTATGCGAGCATATGTTTTCAGTTCTTTGGGAGATATATTTAGCAGTGGAATGGCTGGGTCATATGGTAATTCTATGCTTAACCATTTTGGGAACTGCCAGACTATTTTCCAAAGCAGCTGCACCATTTAACATTCCTATCAACAGTGTATGAGGGTTCCAATTTCTCCATATCCTGGACAACACTTATTATCTGTATATTTTATTTTGGCCATTCTAATGCATGTGAAGTGGTATCTCATTGTGACTTTGATTTGCATTTCCCTGATGGCTAATGATATTGACCATCTTGTCATGTTTATTGGCCATTTGTATATCTTCTTTGGAGACATGTCTAATCAAATCCTTTGCCCATTTTTAAATTGGCTTATTTGTTTTTGTTAATTATTGAGTTGTAAGAGTTCTCAGAAGTCTTATGTTTAAGACTTGCAATTAATATATTTAAGATATAATCCCCTTAGATACATAATTTGCAAGCCTTTTTTTCCCCATTCTTTGGGTTGGAGAGGTTTTTTTTTTAATTGAAGTTCTCTGAGTTACAGAGAAAAGTCACAGAAGTAAAATATAATGGGACTTTTGAAGTACAGAAATATAAAGCCTCCTATTCATCCATTTAAGTCGCAGTAGAAACATGACATTTTAGTAAATAAGACATACAAAATACAGTGCAATTTATAACAGGACCAGTTGTGGAAGTGGACAGAGAAAAAAAGGAAACAGATGAGAGAGGTGGAAAGTTAAGAGGAGAGATAAATGCATAGTTCTGCCTTTTTGCTCAAACCAAGGATGGCATCATTATATAACACTGGGTGGAAGCCAGGATACCCAGGAAGAGCAAGACTGAAAATAAATGGTAGGAGAGATTCAAGGAATGCCTTGCTTTATATGCCTTTGGAGAGGCAAGGGTCTGGCCCAATGAGGTGGAAAGGGAGTCTACAAGGGAAGTGATCAACCAGAGAAGAGTGTGAGAGGGTTCAGAGGAAAGTATAGTGGTGGGATATTCGGAGCATTAACCAATGATCCAAAGTCTAGCCTCTTATGTTGACAATAATAAAACAGCTTGGGTGGTAGGAGCTAGGTTTCCCAACCCCAAACTGGAAATGGATTTCCTGTGCTGGGAAAGTTGGAGGGAACAGGTGAGCACCAATGTATTATCAAGTCTCTGAGGCCTATATCCCCATTGGTTCTTTGTGTCCTAACACCATATGCTGAGCTCTGGGATGGTGGCAGCAAACCACCATCGATTTGTGGAATTTAAAAGCTGACAAAATCTGTTCCCCATCTTTTGGATAGAGCTTACAGTCACAAGACCCCAGGAAAGACACAGCTGAGTGGTGTTTCTAAGCAAACATAGGGCTTTGGAAAGTTAGAGAGACTTTACCATGTTTGGTGAGCATTAAAAGAAGAAATTGCTGCCTGAAGTATCCAGGGGAATAGGTCTCTAAACAGCCTCACAATTTTCCACCACCCATGGTAGTGGAAAAACAGTATAATGACTTTCAAGCTCCCAAGGGCAGCATGGAGGTAGGGAAGGAAACCTGCATGGCAGTAAAGCTCAATCAGGCTGAGACATGCTTAGGAAATCAAGAATCTGTGGTTGCAGAATAGAACATGAATATTATAAACTGAGGCAATTTTAAAAAGGCGGATGGGGAGTGGTGATGAGAGGAAGAGACACTATTCTTTTATTCTCTTTTTATATCAAATAGTCAATCAATACTGTACCTAATGATTGATTTCAACCTTAATGCTCTTCCTAATTGTTTCCCTTCAAGTTAGACACCTGTGTTCACTGCTGTATTCTTAGCATCCAGAACAGAACTGGCTGGCTCAATAAATATTTAATGAATGAACGAATCCATAGGATTCCCACATCTTAGAGTTTTTGTCCACTTTTTTAAAAAAATTAATGTTGCAGGCTTGATTCCCTGGGAAGCAGACTCTAATAGGGAGGGTAGTGTGCTTAGCATTTATTTAGGATCAATATCTATGGAAGAAAGAAGAAGGAAGCAGGTTTGGGTAGAGGTGGAGGTTGAGCTACAATGCAGGTTCAAGCAGAGTCTCCCCACAGAGAGCACTGAAGTGAGGGAGCCCTTCACAGTTGTCCTAATATTGCCAGGCTTTCGTATTCATGCATCGATTAGTCATTGACATGGGCTGCCACAGAAAGGGGCAGGTCTTGGATCAGGTGACCCTCTGCAATGAAACAGTCTTGAGGAGCCTGACAGCTGGAGGGAGTCTACCAACAGCACTCCCAAAAGCTTGGGCAAGACATCTTTCATTGAAGAGGGACCTTGGCAGCATACCATGGTGTCCACCCCATGAAGCAACTATATCTTAGAAAACTTAAGTCCTTTGTCTTACACCTTGGATCCAAACTTAGTTTTGTCTGACTCCAGAGCCCATAATCAGAATAGAGTTTCTCTATTGTACATGGTGATGTAAACTCAGTCCTAAACTGGCGAGGGTGCTGGTTGGACTTGGGAAGAGTTATTCTCAGTGTTCTGGGTTAATGCAAAATGCAGGCCAAGGTGAAGGACCTTTGTGTGGCACTGACCCAATCCATCAAGATGAGTTCATGTCCTTTGTAGGGACACGGATGAAGCTGGAAACCATCATTCTGAGCAAACTATCGCAAGGACAAAAAACCAAACACCGCATATTCTCACTCATAGGTGGGAATTGAACAATGAGAACACATGGACACAGGAAGGGGAACATCTCACACTGGGGCCTGTTGTGGGGTGGGGGAAGGGGGGAGGGATAGCATTTGGAGATATACCTAATGTTAAATGATGAGTTACTGGGTGCAGCACACCAATATGGCACATGTATACATATGTAACTAACCTGCACGTTGTGCACCTGTACCCTAAAACTTAAAGTATAATAAAACAAAACAAAACAAAAGAAACACCCTATGCTCCACTCAGCTGGGAGGCCTGCACAGCAGTGATCTGTATTGAATGATATGATTAACTGATAATTGCTACTGTAACTAAGATTACAGTTTGACATTGCTGCCCACCTGCCTTTCTACCAGGGTGGTAGTTCACTAAAATATTATACAATCAGATAAAATGAATTAAACTCAGCTTGAATTGTAGAGTATATTAAAGTGATTCAAATTATGGCCATAAGATATTGATTAGATCAGTAGTTTGCAGAATGTGGCCCCCACCCAATAGAAACAACATCATCTAGGTACTTTATCAAAATTGAAATTTCCTGGTCCACCATATACTTACTGAATCAGAAACGGTGGTGGTGGTAGGGCCCAGGTGATTCTAATGTATGGTAGAGTTTGAGGAATACTGGACTACATGAAAATTAGTAGGAAAAAATAAAAATTGGGTTTATAATTAGCAAATAAATGTTAAATAAATGATTCTTTTAAAAACTATTTGTAAAATGACTACTCAAGTCAAGAAATAGTACATTGCCAGCACCTTGGATGCCTGTTTATCCCTTCTCACTCACACCCCAAAGCAAACACTTCGTTTTATTTTATGCTTTTAATATCTAGGAATACATCCCTGAGTACAAGTTTTTGAAGTTTGTGTTAATAAGCAAAATAGTAATAAATATTAAAAAATGATTGAGGCCACACGCAGTGGCTCACACCTGCAATCCCAGCACTTTGGGAGGCAGAGACGGGCATATCACCTGAGGTCAGGACTTCGAGACCAGCCTGGCCAACATGATGAAACCCCGTCTCTACTTAAAATACAAAAAAACTAGCCAGGCTTGGTGGCAGGTGCCTGTACTCCCAGCTACTCGGGAGGCTGAGGCAAAAGAATCGCTTGAACCTGGGAGGCGGAGGTTGCAGTGAGCCGAGATCAATCGCGCCACTGCACTCCAGCCTGGCCAACAAGAGCAAAACTCCATCACACACACACACACACACACACACACACACACACACACACACACACACACGATTGGACTATTTCCTTTACTTTGTTCATAGAACTTGTTTTACATAACGGACCTCAGGCTATCCAAATGATCACAACTTCCTAATTAGGAAGGTCTGAATTAATGAAGGTTCAAGATTGCCTCCTTGGGGGCTAATGTGTATGCAAGCTGCGACCCACTGGTAACAGCTTTACTATTTACTCTTCCCTGCCAGGGGATTAGTGGAATCTAAATTGAACAGTTAGGTATTTAAAACCACTCATGTGGTTTTAACCACTAAAAGGGTTGTTAAGCAAGTCTTCTTTAATTTTTTTTTTTGTTGAAAATATTATAAAATTGGTGTCTAAATGCTGACAGTCAATGGGCAACTTGGGAAATTACTCAATGTCTGTTTTGGGAAAACAGTAACTGGCACTTACATATCACATGTGATCTGAGTAGCGTTAACTCCTTCTCTAGAGTACAGGATTGTATGAAGTTGAGGTCCTACCCTTAATTCTTTCACGTTGAAATATATAGTTACAGGAAAGTGAGTTTAAATTGATTGCATGTTACTGTCTCCCTTTTAGAGTCATTTATTTTAAGAAGCACTGAAAGGCCGGGCGCGGTGGCTCACGCCTGTAATCCCAGCACTTTGGGAGGCCAAGACGGGTGGATCAGGAGGTCAGGAGATCGAGATCATCCTGGCTAACACGGTGAAACCTCGTCTCTACTAAAAATACAAAAAATTAGCCGGGCGTGGTGGCAGGCGCCTGTAGTCCCAGCTACTCGGGAGGCTGAGGCAGGAGAATGGTGTCAACCCGGGAGGCGGAGCTTGCAGTGAGCTGAGATCGCGCCACTGCACTCCAACCTGGGCGACAGAGCAAGACTCCGTCTCAAAAAAAAAAAAAAAAAAAGCACTGAAAAAACTTGCGTAAAGGCATCACACTCTGTTGGGCAATGGGGAAGGGGAAGGTGGGTTTCTCGCCCTCTGTCACTGATATGGTTTGGTTGTGTCCCCACCCAAATCTCACCCTGAATTGTGATAATCCCCACGTGTCAAGGGCACGGCCAGGTGGAGATAACTGAATCATGGGGGCGGTTTCCCCCGTATTGTTCTCATGGTAGTGAATTAGTCTCACGAAATCTAATGGTTTTATAAAGGGCAGTTCCCCTGCACAAGCTCTCTTGCCTGTCATCATGTAAGATGTGACTTTGCTCCTCATTTGCCTTCTGCCATGATCATGAGGCCTCCCCAGCCATGTGGACCTGTGAGTCAATTAAACCTCTTTCCTTTATAAATTACCCAGTTTCGGGTATGTCTTTATTAGCAGCATGAGAACAGACTAATACAGTCATTTACAAGCTATCTGGGGCTATAAGAAGGATATGCATGTCCTAGGTGAGGAATACTGCACAGGGGAAAGAGTCTGAGTGAGTAGGGCAGATTGTGCAATGTGAGGCTTTAGGGGATCCCAGGGGACAAGACTTGGGAGACACATTTGTAGAAAGGTTGGAGTTTTACAGTGATGCCACTGAATTATCAATGGAAGGATATGATTTCCTTCGTACAAGAAATCTGGAAAGTATATGGCATTTATAGACAGGTTTCCACTTCAAAAAATCAAGCAGCATATTATTTTGCCAGTTTAAAAGTTAACCCTGCTTGCTTTTTGTTTTGTCTTGTTTTGTTTTGAGACAGTCTCACTCTGTCACCCATGCAGGAGTACAATGGCGCGATCTCGGCTCACTGCAACCTCCAACTCCTGGGTTCAAGTGATTCTCCTGCCTCAGCCTCCCAAGTAGCTGAGACTACAGGTACCTGCCACCACACCTGGCTAATTTTTGTATTTTTAGTAGAGGCAGGGTTTCACCATGTTGGGCAGGCCAGTCTCGAACTCCTGACCTCAAATCACCCACCTTGGCCTCCCAAAGTGCTGGGATTACAGGCATGAGCCACCAAGCCCAGCCTGGTTGCTAACTATTTGGATAACTGTTTGGAATCACTACATTCCTGAGTGAGTGATTCAGACAACAGAGGTTTTTTAAAAAAACTTTAAAAAAATTTTTATCTTAATAGTTTTTTTGGGTACAGGTGGTTTTTGGTTACATAGGTAAGTTCATTAATGGTGATTTCTGAGATTCTGGTGCACCTGTTACCCACACAGTGTATACTGTGCCCAATATGCAGTCTTTTTTCACTCACCCTCCTTCCACCGTTTCCCCTGGAGTCTGCAAAGTCCATTATATTATTCTTATACCTTTGCATCCTCATAGCTTAGCTCCCACTTATAAGTGAGACCATATGATATTTGGTTTTCCATTCCTGAGTTACTTCACTTACTTACAATAATGGCCTCCAGCTCCAACCAAATTGCTGCAAAAGACATTACTTTGTTCCTGTTTATGGCTAAGTAGTATTCCATGGTATATATACTATTTTCTTTCTTTTTCTTTTTTTTTTTTTTTTTTGAGACAGAGTCTCGCTCTGTTGCCCAGGCTGGAGTGCAGCAGCGCGATCTCCGCTCACTGCAAGCTCCACCACCCGGGTTCATGCCATTCTCCTGACTCAGCCTCCCTAGTAGCTGGGACTACAGGCACCCACCACCACGCCCAGCTAATTTTTTTGTATTTTTAGTAGAGACAGGGTTTCACCGTGTTAGCCAGGATCGTCTCAATCTCCTGACTTCGTGATCCACCCGCCTCGGCCTCCCAAAGTGCTGGAATTATAGGCGTGAGCCACCGTGCCCGGCTATATACTACATTTTCTTTATCCACTCCTTGGTTGATGGGCACTTAGGTTGGTTCTGTATTTTTGCAATTGTTAATTGCAGACAACTGAGGTTTTAATGAAGATTATAGTGTTGAAGTAGGATATTTCTAATATTCTAGTCTTATGAGGACTTATAAAATTGGGTAGATTATCAAATCCTCAAATTACGGCATATTCATTTTGGCTTATATTTAAAATATTCCACCATCAAGACTGGGGAAAAAAGTTCATCAGAAACATACGCTGATATTTGGCTATATTGTTTGTTTTTGCATGCATTTATGCAATAAACAAACATCTGATTTCTTGCACAGTCCCTCAGATATTCTCCTCACATTAAAGATTCCACTTACTTATTCTGTGATTTCTCTTATTCTATGAGACAAAAATACAACAGAATGTCAGAAGAGCCAGCTGAAAATATTCCATGTGCAGAAATTTATTTTAAATTTTATTGCATCACATTATACAAGCATTAATCATGGCTTCATATTGATGACTATTTAAATGTGAAAATTCACTCATGTCAGTACTTTTTGGCTATTTACAAGTAAGGAATTTCTATGTACTTTATATATCTCTGTATTTGTATGTACATATGCAGGAATACATGACTATACATATGTACACACAGAAATACATCTATGGCCATACACATAGCTATAGATATGTCATATATAATAATCTTCTCAGAAAGGTCTAAAATTAAAAAAAAGGAAAGAAAAAGTTGTAAACAGGGTCTTGTCTGTGTTGTTGGTGACATGGAATTAGGACCATATGATGACATTCTAGGAATGTGTGTCCATGTGTCTGAATACCCTTTTTAGCCCAGTGTCTGTAAAATTCACATGGGATAGAATGCAAAAAAGGTAGCAAACAGGCTGAAAAACAGGCCCAGTATACAAGTTCCCCTTGATTTTAAAAACTTGAGAATGTAACTGCCCATAATGTGCATGCTTGCTTGGTCAAGAATGGTCTATGGATAGATAGCAATTGTGCGCTGGACTGCAACGTGATTTCACAGCAGTGTGACTCCAACGCCAGTCCTCTACTGGATGCTGCCCCTCCTGCGGCCGCCGGTATCTGCAACATGCACTGTGGTTGCATTTTTAGTCATTCACTTGAGTGTGCTTTTGCACAGCCAGAAGAAGTAAACAGAATTCAGGTCCTTGGCCTGGAAAGGGACTATTTTCTGGAAAGAGAAAAGAAGGCATAAAGATCTTATGCATACACAATTGCTTTAAAACATGAGGTGCAATAGTTTGTACTTACCATGCACCAAAGGCATTCAAAGAATTTGTAACCCCAAATGGAGTCAGGGATGGTATAAACATTTTTATGCTTGCTTTATGGGTGAACAGACTGAGTCAGAAGGGCAGTCTAAAGCAACATCACATCCTGCCAACTATTGGGGAAATAGAAACAGGCAGGCAGATACTATGCTTTCAAGCAAAAATTAGAAATGGCCTTTTTGGGAAGAAAGCAGCCAGTAGTGGTGGGGCCAGAAGAAATTCTTCATCAGTTACTGGTCCTGCAGCCCAGGACAGCCCTGTTGCACCTTGGTCTCTGGCCGCTGAGGCTTTCAGGAAGAATTCTCTTTGCTAATGTCTGCCTCCCACCCACCTAGAAAGAAGGGGCATGTTTCCCTGGGGATATTAAAGAAAACAGCCCGGCTGGAGGAAAAGAGAGAGGACGCTTTGTTTCAGGGAACTCCTAGGCCAATTCATGAAGACCTTGACTGATAGGCCAGAGTCTGGCAAGAAGGCAGAGAAGTGTTGCAGAAGGTATGTGGGAGGGGAAGATCAAGCAAAATTTGCAACGATTAAAGTAAAAAACAAGCTTCTTTTGGATTGGGAAGCTTCTAAGGAGTTTATTTTGATCCCTGTTACTGCAACAATGGTAAGCTTTGCTTCAGGGAGTTTAAAGCACCCATTCAACCTCGGAATGGCCTCAGACGCTGAGCACACCTCTCACCTACATGGTCACGGCCACTCGTTGTGGTGTGCTTTTCCATTCTTCTTCCTCTCCTTTCGTTCCTTCTGGAGACGTTCCAGTTCTGCTTCATACATCATCTCCTGAATCAAGTACTTCTCTCTTCTCATTCGATCCCTTAGGTCTTTTGGGAGGTCTGGGATCAGATATGAAATGAGGTGCTTTATACAAAACACGAGGTGCTAAAACAGAGGAGAATGTAACAGCGTCAGGTCTACTGTGCATCCTGAATGAGGTTAGAGAGTTGGCTGAAGAAGGATGTGGACCCTCTGGGGTATGTGGAGAGTGCAAAGTGACCAGGGGAGGCGTGTGTAATGCAAGATGATAGGACAGGTGAGGCCTGAACTGGTCTGATGGCACCACCTAAGGAATAGAAAGAGGAGTCTGGAAGGAAGGTGGGAAAAGAATGGTCAGATAATTAATTCAAAGGAGAGCCAGAAGAATGTATTCTGTGGAGTCAGAAAACCCAGGTTGAAGCTGGTAGCTTTCACTGCTTAAGGGCTGTCTGTCTACCTGAGGATGAATTATTTAATTTATCTGAGCCTCATTCCCCTCATCTATAAAGTGAGTATTGTGAGAATTATGAGAAAATGTTTAAAAATGCCTTGTAGACTGTCAAGTGCTTTACAAATCTTGGTTATAAGAATTATCAGTGGGCCTAGGGAAATGATCATTTCAGGAAGAAGCTTTTTTCTTTTTGGTAAACAGTCACAAATTCTTTACTTGAAATACTAATAGCTGGAATTCTAGAGTCACTGTCACTTCTGCTCATCTATATAATGGTGACCAAGGAAGTACTAGATGACAATTTAAGGGCTATTACAATTCTAAAGTATTAAATAGAGACTAAATCATGTTCAAATGATACTGCTAAGTATTCTTCGTTTTATTTAAAACTTGATAAATTTGGTGATGCATGGATGGCACAAAATTAAGAAGCTTTTCTGCATAGTTCTCATATTTTCAAATAGTTAATAACAAAATATTAAAAGAAAATGGAAAATTCTATTTGAAAAGCCAAATAAGGCAGCCTTTTAAAAAGTTTTGTCTGACAGATTTACAGCAGAATTCTACCAGAGGTACAATGAAGAGCTGATACCATTTCTATGGAAACTATTCCAAAAAATTAAAAAGGAGGGACTCCTCCTTAACTCATTTATGAGGCCAGTGTCATCCTGATACCAAAACCTGGCAGAGAGACAACAAAAAAACTTCAGGCCAATATCCCCGATGAACATTGATGCAAAAAGCCTCAATACAATACTGGCAAACCAAATCCAGCAGCACATCAAAAAGCTTATCTACCATGATCAAGTTGGCTTCATCCCTGGGATAAAAAGTTGGTTCAACATATGCAAATCAGTAAACATCACATAAGCATAAGTAATTCATCACATAAGCAGAACTAAAGACAAAAACCACATGATTATCTCAATAGCTGCAGAAAAGGTCTTTGATAACAATCCAACATCCCTTCATGTTAAAAATTCTCAATAAGCATTCCCCTTAAAAACCGGCACAAGACAAGGATGCCCTCTCTTACCACTCCTTTTCAACGCAGTATTGGAAGTTCTGGCCCAGGCAGTCAGGCAAGAGAAATAAATAAAGGGTATTCAAATAGGAAGAGAGGAAGTCAAATTATCTTTTTTTTGCAGATGACCTGATCCCGTGTCTAGAAAATCCCATCATCTTGGCCCAAAAGCTTCTTAAGCTGATAAGCAACTTCAGCAGAGTCTCAGGATACAAAATCAATGTGCAAAAATCATTAGTATTCCTAACCACTAACAACAGGCAAGCAGAAAGCCAAATCATGGATGAACTCCCATTCACAACTGCTGCAAAAGAATAAAATACCTAGGAATACAGCTAACAAGAAAAGTGAATGACTTCTTCAAGAACTACAGACCACTGCTCAAGGAAATCAGAAAGGACACAAGCAGATGGAAAAATGTTCCATGCTCATGGATAGAAAGAATCAATATTGTGAAAACGGCCATCTGCCCAAAGTAATTTATAGATTCAATGCTATTCCCATTAAACTACCATTGACACTCTTCACAGAATTAGAAGAAACTCTTTTAAAATTCATGTGGAACCAAAAAAGAGTCCAAATAGCCAAGACAAGACTAAGCAAAAAGAACAAAGCTGGAAGCATCACACTACCCAACTTCAAATTATACTAAAAGGCTACAGTAACCAAAACAGCATGGTACTAGTACAAAAACAGACACATAGACCAATGGAACAGATTAGAGATCTCAGATATAAGACCACACATCTACAACCATCTGATCTTTGAAAAACCTGACAAAAACAAGCAATGGGGGAAAGGATTCCCTACTTAATAAATGGTTTTGGGAGAACTGGCTAGCCATATGCAGAAAATCGAAACTGAACCCCTTCCTTACACCTTATATAAAAATTAACTCAAGATGGATTAAAGACTTAAATGTAAAGCCCCAAACTATAAAAATCCTAGAAGAAAATCTAGGCAATGCCATTCAGGATGTAGGCATGGGCAAAAATTTCATGATGAAAACACCAAAAGCAATTGCAACAAAAGAAAAAATTGACAAATGGGATCTAATTAAATGAAAGTACTTCTGCACAGCACAAAAAAACTATCATCAGAGCAAACAGTAACCTATAGAATGGGAGAACATTTTTGTAATCTATCCATCTAACAAAGGTCTGATATCCAGAGTCTACAAGGAACTTAAACACATCTACAAAAAAAATACCAAGCAACCCCATTAAAAAGTGGGCAAAAGACATAAACAGACATTCTTCAAAAGAAGACATTCATGCAGCCAACAAACATATGAAAAAAAGCTCAACATTATTGATAATTAAAGAACTGCAAATAAAAATCACAATGAGATACCATCTTACACCAGTCAGAATGTTGATTATTTAAAAGTCCAGAAACAACAGATGCTGGCAAGGTTTCAGAGAAAAAGGAACACTTTTACACTGTTGGTGGGAGTATAAATTAGTTCAACCATTGTGGAAGACAGTGTGGCAATTCCTCAGTGATTTACAAGCAGAAATACCATTTTACCCAGCAATTCTATAACTTGTATGGCAAAGGACACAAACAGATACCTCTCAAAAGAAGATATACAAGCAGCCAAAAATAATATGAAAAGATGCTCAGAATCTCTAAGGAGATTAGAGAAATGCAAATCAAAACCACAATGAAATATTATCTCATACCAGTCAGTATGGCGCTTATTAGAAAGGAATATAAATCATTCTATTATAAACATACATGCATGCATATGTTCATTGCAGCACTATTCACAATAGCAAAGGCATAGAATCAACCCAAATGCCCATCAATGATAGGCTGGATAAAAAAATGTGGTACATATACACCATGAAATACTATGCAACCATAAAAAGGGATGAGATAATGTCCTTTGCAGGGACATGGACAGAACTGGAAGCTGTTATCCTCAGCAAACTGACAAAGGAACAGAAAACCAAATACCACATGTTCTCACTTATAAGTGGGAGCTGAATGATGAGAACACATGGACACATGGTGGGAAACAACACACAAAGGGGCCTGTTGGGGGTGGGGGTGGGGGAAGGGAGAGCATCAGAAAGAATAGCTAAGGGATGCTGAGCTTAATACCTGGGTGACGGGTTGATCTGTGCAGCAGATGACCGTGGCACACATTTACCTGTGTAACAAACCTGTATGTCCTGCACATGTACCCTGGAACTTAAAATAAAAAAATCCCAAACAAACAACAAGAAGTTTTGTCTGAAAAATTTTAAGACAGTGATGGGTTAAAAATATCTTCTTTAAAGAGAGAGTGTGCCATTGGTAAGATAATTTCCAGGGAAGAGCAGCTTAATATTTTCTTCTTTTGGTTCCCTGGACTGAAGGAAAAAGCAGTGATAGAATAGTCTTGAAGAGGTCTAGGAAACTTTAGATCCAAGCCGAGAGGCAACCTTGGCTTTTATTAATCTGGCTTTAATATATGTGACAAGAGATGAAATTTCCACTTATGACTAGAGTCATAGAAATGCAAACTATTTTTACAGCAATTTTCTTAAACCCTGAAAGAAAATAGATAATATATTTTTATTGACATATAATATAGACAATTGCTAGACAGATTTTACTTTATAATTCCATTTTGAGTCTTAGCTAATAAATACTTACTTGGATGCTTGAATATAAATAATTCCGTGATGATACACAACCAGAAATACCACTTGTAATACCCAGTCCTATTGGAAAATGCTTATGATCATGTTGGGAAATCCTGATAACTATTTGAAAATCATAAATTAACTATATGAATCAGTATATTTCAATATGTGTGGTAATGATGATGGCAATAATTGGAGACATTTAGAAAGAGTGAATCTCCAACTTGACAAAAACAAGCAGTGGGGGAAGGATTCCTTGTTCAATAAATGGTGCTGAGATAACTGGCTATCCATATGCAGAAGAATGAAACTGGACTTCTACCTATCATCATAAACAAAATTTAACTCAAGATGAATTAAAGACTTACATGTAAGACCTCAACTATAAAAATGCTAGAAGAAAACCTAGGAAATACCCTTCTCAATACTGGCCTGGGCAAAGAATTTATGGTGAAGTCCTGAAAAGCAATTGCAACAAAAACAAAAATTGCTAAGTCAAATCTAATTAAAGAGCTTCTGCACAGCAAGAGAAACTGTCAAAGAAGTAAACAGACACCGTACAGAATGGGAGAAAATATTTGCAAACTATGCACCCAATAAAGGTCTAATACCCAGAATCTGTAAGGAACTTAAACAAATCAACATGTAAAAAACAAATAACCCCATTAAAAAGTGGTCAAAGGACACAAACAGATACTTCTCAAAAGAAGATATAGAAGCAGACAACAATAATATGAAAAAATGCTCAGAATCTCTAAGGAAATTAGAGAAATGCAAATCAAAACCACAATGAGACACCATCTCACACCAGTCAGTACGGCTTTTATTAGAAAGTCAGGCCAAGTGCAGTGGCTCACGCCTGTAATCCCAGCACTTTGGGAGGCCAAGGCGGATGGATCATGAGGTCAGGTTAAGACCAGCCTGGCCAAGACAGTGAAACCCCGTCTCCACTAAAAATACAAAAATTAGCCAGGTGTGGTAGCGGGTGCCTGTAATCCCACCTACTCAGGAGGCTGAGGCAGAGAATTACTTGAACCTGGGAGGCAGAGGTTGCAGTGAGCCGAGATTGTGCCATTGCACTCCAGCCTGGGCGACAGAGAGAGAATCAGTCTTAAAAAAAAAAAAAAAAAAAAAAAAAAAGTAAACAAATTAACAGATGCTGGCGAGGCTTCAGAGAAAAGGGGACACCTGCACACTGTTGGTGGAAAGGTAAATTAGTCCAACTACTGTGTAGTCTGGAGATTTCTCAAAGAACAAAGGGCTTAACTACCATTCAACCCAGCAATCCCATTTCTGGGTATATACTCAAAAGAAAATAAAGCATTCTACCAAAAAGACACATGTACTCATATGTCAATCACAGGACTATTCACAATAGCAAAGACATGGAATCAACCTGGGTGCCCATCAATGGTGGACCAGATAGAGAAAATGTGGTATGTATACACCATGGAATACTATGTGGCCATAAAAAAGAATGAAACCATGTCCTTTGCAGCAACATGGATGTAGCTGGAGGCCATTATCTTAAGTGAAATAATGTAGAAACTGAAAACTAAACACTGCAAGTTCTTATTGTACGTACTTAGAGTGGAAGCTAAACACTGGGTACACATGGACATAAAGATGAGAACAACAGACACTGGGGACTACTATAGAGGGGAGAGGGGGAGGGGACAAGGGCTGAATAACTACCTATTGAATACTATGCTCGCTACCTGGGTGGTGGGTTCAGTCGCACCCCAAACCTCAACATCATGCAATGTAACTTTGTAACAAACTTGCACATGTACCCACTGTATCTAAAATAAAAGTTGAAAAAGAAAAAGAAAAAAAGAATGAATCTTACTGGGCTGATGTTTTCCAAATGTTTCCAAATTATGGTCCCAGAATGCCTATAGTCAGAATCATTACAACGAGCTCATGAAAAACAAGCCACAGACATGGTATGTCAGAATATCTGGGAGTGAGGATGGAAAAACTGCATTTTTGCTAAAGTTTAAGAACTATGGCCCCAGAAAATTACATTTAGGAGCAACGAGTTCAGATTTGTCCATTAAAAACCAACTATGGACTTTCAAATATGTCTTGGAAAAATCAAATACTTCAATTAAGAAAAAAGATCAAAAAGAGGTTACATAATATGACACTACTACTTCTGGAAATATAGATAATCACATTCAAAATCCCCATCACTTATTTTTATTCATTACTCCTACTGACTTCATTATGTCAAAGGAAATAAAGAATTTGGCTGAGGAAACTTACCTCAAAGACAATGATAAAAGCTAATCGAGCAGCTAGGACATGCCAAAACTGCAGTGTGTAGCCATAGGGCACCAGTGAATGAGGCGGGTCACGGTAGTCCCGGTATCTATAAAGACACAGAAAAATGTTGCATTCAAACTATGATTTTTCTGATTCTCAAATCTCTTCCATTCTCATTATATAGTCCTCATTCAATAGGAGGGAAATTTGAAGTTTCTCTATACTAGATATCTGTTGTTTTGCTTGTCCAGCATTTTTCTTCTGATAAAATAATATCTCTTCTCTGGGGAATCATCTGTGTGGGTTGACTAGGACTTCCCCCTCCACCTGCCTGATCTCAGCTCAAAAGATGAGCCAGACCTGATCAGTGACATCATCAAGATGTCTGCCAGAACTATCACTTAGTGAATGATCACTAAGCCCACAGAAGGCAAAAGCCTGGGACTCCTGGTGGCCTTGTATGGAGAGAGAGAGCCTGCTTGAGAAGGAAGTCAAGAAAACAAAGCAGAGACAGCAGAGAGGCAGCATCCTGCTGACACTGCTTGAGGCCTGGGATCCGGCCATTACTGAAGCTCATATCACCCCTTGACTCTCCCAGCTAACTGAACAATTTTTTGTTGTTTAAGTCAGTTTACCCTGGATTTCTGCCACTTGCCACTAGAAGAGTCCTTCCTAATGTATCCTCCAGCTATCACTTTTGAGTCGGCATAAAATGCCACAAATGTTTGCCGAATACCTGTTGGGGACCAGGCACTATTCAGAGAACTTTAATCCATGTGACTCCATTAAAGTAATACTTTAATAATACAACAAGCTCTCATAAATCCACTATGAAGCCCAAGAACTAAAACATTACCAGGAACTTACATCAATTGCTTCCCTTACCCTGAATTTCATTTTTATTTTTAACTTATATGTATATGCATTTGTCTGAATATTGTACTATTTAGTTTGTTTTTGAACTTTATAGAAAGGGTACTATACTATATGTAGTTTGCTGGGGCTTGCTTTTTTTACTATTATGTCACTAAGATTCATTCACATTATTGCATGTGGTTTATTTTTATTGCTGTATAATAGACTCTAGTGTGACTATATTATGGTTGTTTTATATAGCATATAAGTATACACTTACAGGCTGGTCATTCCTATATTTTCTTTTCTTTTATGTTGAGACAGAATCTCGCTCTGTCACCCAGGCTGGAGTGCAGTGGTGCGATCTTGGCTCACTGCAATCTCTGCCTCCCAGACTCAAGTGATACTCCTACCTCCCAAGTAGCTGGGACTACAGGTGTGCACAAAAATGCCTGGCTAATTTTTTTGTATTTTTGGTAGAGACAGGGTTTTACCATGTTGCCCAGGCTGGTCTCAAACTCTTGACCTTAAGCTATCTACTCACCTCAGCCTCCCAAAGTGCTGGGATTACAGGGTGAGCCACTGCACCTGGCCTCTATATTTTCTTTCACTTTCCCTAACCATGGAAAGCTTTGAAAAAGAAAGCTCCATCAATGATAGACTGGATTAAGAAAATGTGGCACAGATACACCATGGAATACTATGCAGCCATAAAAAAGGATGAGTTCATGTCCTTTGTAGGGACATGGATGAAGCTGGAAACCATCATTCTCAGCAAACTATCTCAAGGACAAAAAACCAAACACCGCATGTTCTCATTCATAGGTGGGAACTGAACAATGAGAACACTTGGACACAGGAAGGGGAACATCACACACCGGGGCCTGTCGTGGGGTGGGGGGAGGGGGGAGGGATAGCATTAGGAGATATACCTAATGTAAATGATGAGTTAATGGGTGCAGCACACCAACATGGCACATGTATACATATGTAACAAACCTGCATGCTGTGCACATGTACTCTAGAACTTAAAGTATAAAAAGATAAATAAATAAATAAAAAGAAAGCTCCAGTCCACTCACTTCAGCAAATTCCCTTTGGGTAAAAGTTGGCTGCAATGCTCTGTGTACCACTTCTTTCTGCCTTAGAATACCAAATATTCTTCCCAGGTCATTAATGTATTTGAGAAGGTGTTTTTAAATTTTTCTCTACATGTTTAGATATTTTCAGCCCGCAAGCTGATCTGGGTGCCTCACCTGCTATATGACTGAAAACAAACCTGAAAATATTATTTTACATGATTTTAATTAGAAATTTTAAAATGTTTTCTTTGGGGGACTTTTAAGAAAAATGCTAAACAAAACAATCATAATTTAACTTAATGGTGCCAGCATTAATACCTCCATTCACATTAATAATTTCTGGAATATACTTTTATGATACTATGTGAGACAGGCAGGAAGAATTATGAGCCAGGAAGCAGAAGAGGAGAAAGACTCTGTATTTTTATCTTATTTTCAAATGATTACAAAGTTTTTAACTCCAAATAATAGTTGGCATTTTATTTTGAAGCATTTCATACTTAGGATCCTGTATATGTCTAACAATGCTTGCTAAATAATTTCATGTACGAAATGGTCTGGACAAGCAAGTGGGAAATCTACTGAAGAAAGTATCAATTGTTGCTTAATTGCTTGCTTCTCCACTAGACCCCAACAGAGAGCGGCACTAGATTATATTCCAGCCAGTCTTTCTCCCCATCTTACTTGTTACTCCATGTGGGAAAGGAAATAAGCCATCTGATGAGATGTGACAGCCAATGAGACCTGGGAACTTGGCATGAGTGTTTAAAGGGGTGGAGGGTATGCTGTCACTGCACAGAAATGGGGAGCCCCTGGCTTCTCTCACCTTCACCTTCTGTAAGATGAGGGACTGAAGTGGATCATTACAAAAGTCCCTATGTCAAAGCATCTAGGACTCCATGGCTGTTCTTCCTTGTGGCTTTGATTACAGGGAGAACATAGAATGTCATGATAGGGAATCTCCAAAATTCTTTGTTTTGTTTTTGAGACAAGGTCTTGCTCCATAGTTTGAATGCAGTGGTGCTATCATAGCTCACTGCAGCCTTGACTGCCTGGACTTAAGTGATCCTCCCAACTTGGCCTCCTCAAGTGCTGGGATTACAGGTGTGAGCCCACAAAATTCTTATAACGTCAAAGTATTAAGAGAAAAAGGTGCCATCTGGACTCTTCAAGAACTGTGCACAAGTAATCTCATTGAGCTTTTAGTGAATGGTTTTATCATTTGTCAGATGAGATAATATTGCCTAACTTAGAAGGCTGATGTGACGATTAAATGGAGTAACAGTTTCTGGCACAGAGTAGGTGCTCAACAAATTCTCCTTCATGTACGTTTGTATAGATACACATCAAGAGGCACAGTTTAATTCATTTCCTTTTAGAGGGAGAGAAAGAAAGAGAGAATGAGCACATGTTGCAGAGGCTACTGTGGTGGAACCTGAAATGAACTGGGCCTCTTTCCACAGGCTTCTGAGTTGTTTAACATTTAGAAATGTGATGTGATATACTCTGGGCAAGAGAGAGAAGCAGAACAAAGACAAGTGCCCTCAACAGCTGTCGCTCAACCCGCCTGGGGATTGTCTGTCCCTGAGTCCCTGGAGCAGCGGTATAACCTTCACTACTATATTTTTAGTTTTTCCCTTTAAGCTAGCAGTTCTCAATTCTGACTGCACCTGGTTTCTGAGTTCCACTCCCTGACATTCTGTTTTAATTGGTTTGGGTTGTATCCCGGGCAAGAGAAGGCTTGAAAATTCTTCATGTGCTTTTAATGCACTGTTGAGATTGACAGTCACTGCTTTAAACACACTCAGCCAGAAGGGGCCTTCAGAGTAAAACCTCCCCACGGTGGAGCCAGCCCAGCTCAGGCAGAGCCACGCTGGGTGCCACACTCACCTGCAGTACTTAAGAGGAGTCCCCGAGAACTCACTGCCATCAGATTCAGGCTCAGATCGGTTCTCAAAGTCAGAAATTCGAAATACAGACAAGCTGGCATTCACATAGCCAACCATGCACCTATAAGAGGAGGCACATTCTACCATTAGAACACTCATCACCTTCTCTGTATCCAGTTCCCTGAAGACCCTGCTTCCCAGACGTCACTGCAATTGTAAATGCCTTTAACTGGCCCTTCCTTGTCAACCAGGACTCAGGTTGGGATACGCTGGAAAGCCCTGGGCATGTTGAATCAGGAACAAGTTGCTTGTTTTGGTTCTCATCCTTTTTCTGCAGAATCATCATATAGAACATCTCTACCCCAATTAATGTTTCAGTGAAATAGGTAAAAAGCAGCATTACATGATGGGCATAAATTGTATGTAAGCCACAGCTTCTTTTGTTGATGATACACATAAACACAGTTCCTCATTAATGGTTTCATATATATTTATAGATATTCTCAAAATGTTCCAAATATGATTGGTGTGCATATGATCCCCCCAACTCATATCCCATGCTACAGTCCTGTTAGACTATATTCCCTGAAAGCTTCTGATGTTTTCATGCCTCTGCTTGTTATCTTTTCTGTTAGAATTCCCTACCTCTTCCTTTACAAGTGGAAATAGTATTTATCCTTCAGCGGCCAACTGAAACACCACTCCTACTAGGAAGACAACCTAATCACTCCAGTCACAACATCTCACTCCTTTCCCTCTCTCTGTAGTGCCACCATACTTACTTAGTTCACCATTACCAGATCGCTTGTACTAGAGTTGGCAGCATATATGTATGCCCTCTCCTTTGGACTGCAATTTTTTGGGAGCAGAGCAGGTATCTTAGGTATTTGTGTATCCTATGACTTAGGACAGTCTTGTGCAGTGTAGGAATCCCATAAATATTGAATCGATCTGATTGGAGGAAACTAAAGTATGAGATTCTATTGATCATTCTAGATTGAATGGGTAGATAAAATCAAGATTTAATCATTCTGTCAATAATTCCATTCAAGAAAAAGCCCATTTTAAAAGTATCATAGCAAGTAGCACTCTTAGAAACATCTTTTCTCCAAGTCTCTAAACAGTTTTACATATTGAACATTGTGGTTAACACATGCACTTACTGAAATAACAATGTTTGAAACTTTGGGTGAAATTAGCACTTAGATACATCCTGTATACATTTTTCTTTAAATAGTGTTTTACATACAAAAGCTTGGGTTTTGGGGTCAAATCTTAGTTCTGCTGGTTTCTAGTCATGTAATATTGGCACGTTATATAACTTCTTACTTCTTCTTTTTTTTTCTGAGACAGGGCCTTGCTCTGTTGCTCATTGCTGGAGTGCAGTGGTATGATCATGGCTCACTGCAGCTTTGACCTCCCAGGCTCAAACGATCCTCCCACCTCAGACTCCTGAATAGCTGGGACTACAGGCATGTGTCACCACACCCGATTTACGTAACTTCTTAAAGTGACAGAAGTTCCCACCTCATAGGGTCCTTGAGGGGATTATATTAAACAATGAATGTATAGCATGTGATAAGATCTTAGCCTATAAGTAAGATAAACATGAGTGGTGATTATTCATTTTATTTATTTCTTGCATCTAGCAGGGGGTCAATAAGTAATTACTGATTGAATGAATAAATCATGATCTTCAGATTCTCTTCATTAACAAGTCTGGCATGATTATTCCAAGCTGCTGAACACTAAACCAAAATGATGACATGAACACAGTTCTGAGAACACATGGGTTCTGCATGTTATCGTGCTCAAGACAAATCACTGGCTTTATCATGGCCTTAAAAAAAATGAACCAAGCTGAAGGACCCATTTGTCAAGTCACTCGTGGGTGAAAACAAATGGTCAGGGAGTGTGTAACATGCCTTAATCCAACTGGCAGCAGGACTCCCCTACTGAAAGGGTAATTTGGAATGATGTCTCCCTTACCTAGGAACTGTCTAGACCTGGACATGAAAATAAATTAGTGCCTTGAGGATGATTAGCTGTCACAGAGAGGGAGTAAGTTTTAGCAGAGTCTTTCTAGAGATCTGAGCTGTGGGAAGGGAAAGGTGTTCTGGGAACTGGTGAAAAAAAAAGGCCCAGCACTGAAATGGAATATTCATAACCCCTCCTGCACTCTTATCTCACAGACCAGCCCCGAGGCTTTATCAAGACTAACGCTACTGTCCATTGGTTGTTCTGCTCAAAAACTCCATTAAGAAAATTTAAATTTAAATAAAACACCTGTTTCATGGACCTAATGCATGAATGACAGTCATAAATCCAAGTTGAAAATGTGTCTTTAGAGGGTGGTTACTCCTGAGTGCAAAGCATTAAATGTGTACCTAGTACAGGAACACACAGTTATCAGCTGTGTACATCTTCCTTCCATATCATTTCCATAATGGGGGAAAAGATGCACGGACAGCTAGACGTTTCACTAATTCCTTTCACCTTTTGTAGACTGTTAGCTATTGTCAATATCAAATAGTGAAAGTTGTCATCAATTCAGGCAAGTGAGATTTATCACATTTTGCTGTATAAAATTCAGCTAGTGGCATGCAAGTGTCAACTCACTGACCCATTGTTATAGCAGGAAGGTCACAGGTAGTAGAGAGCCCATGTCTATCACTGGGTTTACTGGCAGGAATGCTATATACCCTCACTGTGACCCACCACCAGCTCTCAATGAGACAGAGGGAGATGAGGCTACACTGATGATCAGGGAGAATTGAGAAGTACCAAGAAAAAAGTAACAGACGAAGGGTTTCCTGTGAATATAAAGTCAGTTTTCTTAAAGGAATGGTAGATGGCCTCTGTAGGCACTTCCAAGAAAGATCTAGAAAATGTCTTCTACAGGGTAGTGCCATTTGGATTAGGATGCATATCTCTTCCATGTAACTTCTGAGAAGACCACACACTCATTTAAATGTGAGAATTCTACCGTGAAAGCCACTCACCACTTATAATTTTCAATCCTTTAATACATAAGAAAGGGATGAGCCAGCAATCACTGTACTACCCTAAAGGCTTATGACTTTCTATACCTTGACAATTCTGCTACTCTTATGAGTTCAATAATTTCTAAAGCATTTCTAAATTGGAAAAATAAAAAAAATCTGAAAAGTAATAGAGTGGCCAGTGAGGCAGAAAATAAGATTCATGAAGAAACATACATAAATTTAACTACTTGAAAACATGAAAAATGACTAATGGATTAGAAAACAAAAGGCAGATCCATAAATTGAAAGTGGCAGAAGGCTCCTAAGTCAAAGAGAAAGGTTAAAAAAGAAAGAAAGAAAAGAAAAGCTCCAAAGAGCCCAGTAAAATTGATACAAGGAGGCTATGAGATACACTTTAATCACTGTGGACATTGTCTTAAATCTACCAGGTTGTTAAAATTCTAAATCTTTGATTCACTATCAATTGTGCATAAAGGTTCCCATTTTGTTTTTGGTTCCCCCTAAAACAAGATAGATTTCACCATATTTGAATTTGGGAAAGAACTGAAACACCATTACGACGGAAAATCCAGGGGGTTTACTGTTAAGGGACAGCCTCAAGGGCTGTGAGGTGCGGGATGGAGAGTGAGTCGAGGCTCCACCTTCACATGGGCTCCCAGAGTTACTATGCCTTGTGATTCTGGACTTAACCTCTTTTAATCTCTTCCTGCTCCTCAAAGTGAAGATTATAATGCACATCCCACTCCCAGGGCTGTTTTGAGAATCAACTAAAAACACATGTGAAAGTGGTTTGAGTGAAAGTAAGCTTTTTCAGGCTAAGCCAAGCAGAGAATGTCAACGATAGTTGCAATTAGAAAGAAATGCCTGGGCAAAATAACATGTCTTTACATTTCTCTTAAAATGGGATGGTATGCTCACTAAAAGTTGCTAGATAATTAGTGTGTCATGGCCACATGCTTATAGTAGTCAAGAACTTTACAGAAGCCTTTTCAAATAACTGGATTGTGAGCTTTATGACATTCCTCAATCATCCACACCTTAGCCCATTTATGTAGGATTCATAATGAATTGGACCCAGGCCAGGTTTGCATGAGTTCAGTTGATTTGCTTTGGTGGCACTTAACTCCTTGGGGTCGATCAGCTACAATGGCTGTAGAGGATGAATCAATCTGGCTCAGGCTAGTAAACCAGGGCTGCTTGTATAAGTAGACAGCAGCCCATGTAGGGTGATTTCTGGGTTATTAAGAAGACCCTGTGATCCCCAAACACACCTCACTCTGACCTATAGACATCAAAATCCCATAATAAGAGTTTAACTATTTTGGCTTTAACCAAACAGGGATTTTTAAAGCATGTTAAGACTTCTTGCCCTTTCTCCAAGGTACAGGAATGAAACTAGGGGATGTTATAATTTTGACTTATCTTTATCTGACCATATATAGCGTGCCCTGGCTTTGCAAACCATTGAGGCAATGCCATAGAATTGATCCTCCCAAGGAGTTTAGTCCACTCAGCTTGCTTGGGGTAATATAGGCATTGGTCAGGTCAATACCCATGAAAAAGTCATTCACTTACTTATTCCACGAATACTTATTGAGGACCTACTGGGTACTCAGTACCTAGTTCCGTATTTCCTATGTAAGATCTGCAGAGTTTACACATAATGACACAATGTAAATCAGATTGTAACTGTCCTTTTGCAAACTCATAAAATGATATAACTATATATACATCATATGCTACTGTTTTGGTATACACATTAGCATATCACACATTTCTAAATTCATAGTGGGCAGAGGTCAGGGGTGGGGAAAATGATTAATTGCCACTCTTACATTGGATTCCATCTAAAACCTGTCTGACTTGTATGTCCTCCAACTCTTTGGTAGATGAGGACATGTTTTCTTTGGCTGACAGTGTTATTATTATTATTTATAATAAATCATAATTCCACCTCCCCTATCACAGGCCTCTCCTTCTGGGCATGTATTCCATATTCTCCAGTGCAGTCTTCTGTCTGAGTGTCCAACCTCAAAAAATGGCTAGGAAATAGAAACTGTATAGTGGTTTTATAGCAAACTTACTTTTGCCCAGCTTCTCCTTGGCCTGCACAAGGTCCATACTTATAAGCATACACCAAGCGAGGGATAAAGTCAGATGTTATCGCTATGACAAATGCATTTGTGATAACAGAGAGAATTCCAATGCCTTCAAGAATTCCATACCAAATTCCTATTCAAATAGAAGTGTTGTGTTAGTTCCATACACAAAACAGAGGTGATAATTATGAAAAAATGGAATTAATTTTTAAAAGTCCTTTTCATGGGTCCTTTCTTCATCTTTCCAAATACTGACAGTTGCAACCAGGAGGAAAGATTTGTGCAAACAACTTGGCATTGAGGGAGTTTCTATGGGAGTGTCTATATGCTTGTGACTTAATAGTCAGGATCAGACATGAGGCAGAGAATTCTGGTTAATGATAAGGCACCAAAATACCATCTGATAGGATCAGCACACATAATGTCAAGCCCCACCAGACTGGGAGCTCCTTAAGGGTATGGATTTGGTCCCTTCTGTTCATCTTTGTGGGCCCTGCCAATAACACACTGACCCAGGGTAGGTGCTCACAGAATGTGTGCTTGTTTCATGTGGAGGTTAAAAGACGTCATTAACAATAACATCCACATGCAATTCTCTTCCACACATATTGGCTGGGTGACTGCCTGCTCTGTGCTAAGCACTGAATGCAGAAATGAATAAAAGACAGTCTTTGATCTCAGGCAGCTCTCATGCGAGCTGCATCTGATTCAACTTAGCATCTCTAGTCAAAGACCAAAGTTCATCTCTGCCGTTAGAAAAACTGGATTATACTTCATGTAAATCAGGCAAACATTTAGGAAAGAACAAATCAAGGTTAAGCAAATGGAAGATCTATTTTAAAAAGGATATAAGTGATAATAAATCTAAATTTTAGATTCTAGAATCTTAAGATAGAAATAATCAAATTGAGACTCTATTTAAGCACAAATTCTCTAGCACTGGAAATTATAAACTTCCAAATAGGTAGCTTTACTTCTTGTCTAATATTATTTAAAACTAATATAATTATTCTTTGCAAAAATTAGGTGAATTATATTAAATGGAAAACATAATTAAAAATCTAAAGTTTGTGGCTTTTAAAATTTTATCCACCAGATGTTTAATATGTTTTTTAAAAACATACCCAAATCCAACTTACCTATGTCTTTGGCCCTTGAAGCTAAAGGTCTCCTCCACTGTGTGACAAATTTGTAAGCATCAAGTCGAATTTCAATTATGTTATTCAGTAAGGCCAGAAGTGGTGCTAGGGGAAAAGCTGCCACAAAGATAGTTGTGAATCCAAACTGAAGAACTAGAAAAGAAAAAAGGAAAAAGAGCAGAGAGTATTGGTTTTCCATTACTATTTTCAAAGGGATCATAATCTGAATATGTTATTGTCTTAAGTCCCATTTTTCCCAATACAGACGCACAGGGGATATCTCTTCCAGAAAGATGGCCAGGAGACTGGAAAAAGAGGCACTTCCTGGGCCTGGAAGCAACGGAATCCTGGGAGCTATGAGCACACCTAGGATCCAGATCTTGTTTCCTAAATATCATTCTCTAACCAAAGGAATCAGTGTTCCTTGGAGGATGGTTTGATTCCAGAGCTACGGTAGGGACAATACAAGAGAAGCCTGGGACATCTTGTGATGCCAGAAAGGAAGGAAATGCTCAACAAATGATGGGGACATGCCAATAGGACACAGAACAAACTTGAAGGCACCCCTAACGGCCAAATCTGGAACAATTTGTATGAAAGAATATTAATAATGAAAGCATGGGATTATGACCCAAAGACTAAGTATCTAAGTCCAGACTGATGTAAATATATACTTACGTAAATAAGTGATTAAATAAATAAATGGGAGATAAGGGGTGGCTCTTCCTTATGGTAGAATTCTAATTAATCAACATAGGAGGAACTATGAAAATTAAAAAATCACCATTAGTCAAACATCACAGTAATAATTTTTGTAGGCAAGAAATATCAAAGAATGCTAAAATTAGTAGGGGGAAGTGTATTGAAGAAACTAGGATATTTGTAGATTCTCAGAGTATCTCCTCACATAACTTTTACTAATTACAAAACAGAAACTTTTTAGCAGAGGAACCTGGAAAACATCTTTTTTGTTTGTTTTGTTTTTTGTTTTTTTTTGAGACAGAGTCTAGCTCTGTCCCCCAGGCTGGAGTGTAGCAGCACGATCTCGGCTCACTGCAACCTCCGCCTCCTGGGTTCAAGTGATTCTCCTGCCTCAGCCTCCTGAGTAGCTGGGATTACAGGCGCCCGCCATCACAACCAGCTAATGTTTGTATTTTTAGTAGAGACAGAGTTTCACTGTGTTGACCAGGCTGGTATCAAACTCCTGACCTTGTGATCCGCCTGCCTTGGCCTCCCAAAATGCTGGGATTACAAGTGTGAGTCACCGTGCCCAGCCGAAAACATAATTTTAACCAAGTGATCAAAGTAAATATCACCAGTAACAAGACATAATGATGTTACACACCCCGATATGATGCACTGAGGAGGGTATAACATCACTTAAGTGGTATTCTTGCCAAAAATGAATAACCCCAACCCAATTGTGCAAACGCACGAGACAAACCTGAATTGAAGGAGCTTTTCCAAAACTACTGACAAATACTCTGCAAATATGTCAAGATCATGAAAAACAAAGACAGACTGAGGAATTGTCATTGATTAAAAGAAACTAAGGAGACAACATATCTAAATGCAATGCTGGATCTTGGAAGTATTGTGAACAAGAAAAAAGTTATTACTGGGAAAATGCAAAATTCAAATAAGGTCTGTGGATTAGACAATAGCATTGTATTCTTAACTTTTCTTGTTTTAATAAATATGTAAGATGTTAACATTAGCAAAAGTAAGGTATAGAAACTACTCTTTTTGCAACTTGCAAAATAAAAATTTTTTCAAAAGGAGGTGGTTTCTGATGCAAAACAACCAGTCATCATAATGGAAAATAAAAAAATAAAATTTACTGGGCATCATGGACAAAAAGTATTTGGCTGTTTGAATGACTATGTATATATACATATATGACTGTAAAAATAGTAAAAAATATATTTACAAACTTTATTTTAGAAAGTAACAACAACAAAACAATGACTACACATATATAGCATTTTCTATGTAAAAACAGGCATTGTTCTAATTACTTCATATACACTAACTCATTTAATTTTCATGACAACCTTAGGTGGTGGGTACTACTATTATCCTCATTTTACAGGTAAGGAAACCGACGCACAAAGAGGTCAGGTAACTTGCCCAAAACAAGTTAAGTAAGAAAGGACTCTAATCCCAGCGTTGTAGCTCCAGAGTTCTGCAGAGTCCATCTACCTCATCTTGGTTACACTGCCACCTCCAGGTGTCCCCTGTCTTTGGTCACATTCACACTTAGTGCTTGTGCTAGGTGGCTCTTTACCCACAAATAGATGTGGGCGTTCCCTTCTGTTTCAACCTTGGTTTTATTTTTCTCCTGCCTTCTCTCTTTCCTTGGTAAGTCCATCTACTCCTATGACTTCATTATTATCTCTCTGATAAGGGTTCTCAATTCTCTATCGCTAACCCTGACTCTTTTCAGGGAATTTCCAGTTGTCTGTAATGCTACAGAAACAGCACTCCCCAAACCAATCTCTGAACCTCATCCTTGAACGTATTTATCCTTTTATGTCCCTTCTCGTTTCCTCCCTTCTGAATCAACTTGCATAAAAACCAGGTCTCTGCTAGCTTAGCCTTCAGAACCATTAGCCTCCTAGTCCTGACAATTACTCTTCAAAAATGTCTCTCATTTCTCCCTCCTCTCCACTGTCCCCACTTGAGTTCAGACTCTGATTTTCTAACTGACTTTTTTGCCTCCAAACTTTCAGCTCCCTTCCCTATCATTCTGCTGTCAGTGTGCCTAAAATGTTGGTTCAACCCCATCACTCATCTCCCTACACAAAATGTTTCAGTAGGTTCTCACTGGCTGCAGAATAAATCCGAAACTTCACCATGCCATTCAAGGATCTCAATAAATTGACTCCAAGCAAACTTCCAAGCCTCATGTCCAAATACACCCCACACAGAAAACAGGTTTCCCAAACAATCCTCTACTCTGGCCACACTAGTCTTCTGATTTTATGGGGATACAGCATATATGCAGTGTTGCTATGACTACTTTGATGAAGTAGTCATTCTACCTTCAAGAGTACTCAAATATACCCTCTTGAGTCTTTCATAATTGTAATTAACTACTACCTCCTCTGTAGCTGCCACAACTCTGCTCACCACCATAAAACTTACTTTGTCTTGATTTTACGGCGTTTTGCCTTTTTCCCCTTTTGCAGTGAGCTTCATGAAAGTAGAAACAGCAACTTCTTTATGTTTCTTTTTCCTACATACTCACTACAGGGGTTTTGTGTATGGGAAGGACTTGTCAGGTACCAAATAATGCTGGTTCAATGACTGACATGTAATTACAACGAAGGCCAGAACACAAAGAAAACCTATCAGGTAGAAATAAAACTGACAGAGATAATTCTTACAATCACTAACAGTAATGGATGTTATGGACAGAAAAAGCAACTAGAGTTTAGTTCTTTCAGGTTATATTTATAATGAAAATAACTGCAAGTTTAAAAAGAAAATGTGTTTAATTCATTGGTAGTTTTTGTTTATCTGACACCTAATGAGTTTCATTATCTAGTTAAATATTATGGCCTAAAACCAAACCAACCAATCATTTTTACATAGCACAAAGGTGACCCACATGATATTGGTCTTGAAGTGATTAATGCCCATTAACTGCTGCTTTTTTTTTTCAAGGGAAGAGACTTGTAGCATAGAGGTAGATTAATTTTTAAAAATTCTTTGGGAAAAAACTTTTAAATATTGGAAAGCATAAAGAATGATATAACAAACTTCCATATACCCATGGAAGAGTTAGTATTAACTCTTGGTAACATTTTGTCATACCTGCTTAATATCTTTTTATAAATAAAATAAATACTATATAGATAAAACTGAATTCTCCTCTATTTTTGCTCTTGAGTGGTTTCCTCTCCCTTCATAGAGACAATTGCTGACATGAGTTTTGCATGCATCCTTCCAGTTCATTTATATATATATATATATATATACACACACACACACATGAATATCCATATATCAATAAATTATACATAGTGCATATATCATGTAAATAATTTTTGTGCCTAAACTTTACATAATATCATTATTTACAATTTTTTTGCCCTGTTCATATCACATGATAATTTTGAGATATTATCTTGATCTATATAGACCTAGTTCAACTTTTAACTGTTTTATATTCTAATATATAAGTTTACCTCCTTTTAATTTACCCTTTCTCAGACATTACATCTTCAAATATCACTTTTTCTCATTCTTTAATTCTTTCTAGGACTTCTCTTACAAATATTTCAGCCTTTTTGGCTGTTTTGCATGTTTCTTATGTTTTCTGCTCTGTTTTTCTGTTCTTTTCTCTGGGCTTGTTTGGATTTTCTTTTTATTGACTTGTCTTCAAGTTCACTAATTTACTGTCTTACGCTAAGTCAATCTGCTCATTTTTCTTTTTCTTTTTTTTGAGACAGAGTTTCGCTCTTGTCGCCCAGGCTGGAGTGCAGTGGCATGATCTCAGCTCACTGCAACCTCCACTTCCTCAGTTCAACTGATTCTCTGCATCAGCCTCCAGAGCAGCTAGGATTACAGGCACGCACCACCAAGCTAATTTTTGTATTTTTAGTACAGACAGGATTTCGCCATGTTGGTCTCGAACTCCTGACCTCAGGTGATCCACCAACCTTGGCCTCCCAAAGTGCTGGGATGACAGGCGTGGGCCACCGTACCCAGCCTCAATCTGCTATTAAACATATCAAATGAGTTCTTAATTCCAGATTTATATTTTGCAATTCTAGAGTTATTTTATAGATTTTAATTCTCTTTCAAAAGTCTTAATTTTTCAATCATTTTTGTCAGTATTTTCTTCTATTTTTATACGTAAATCATAGCTATTTGAAAGTCTCTGTGTGCTAAACCCAATTTCTGAATCATCTTTGGGTCTCCTTTTTCCTCTTGATTATTAGTCACATTTTCTTGCCTTTTTGCATACCTAGTAATCTTTTTATTGTATGCCACACATGTAGAGGCTCTAGATCAAGGGTCAGCAAACTATGGCCTGTGGCCAAATTTGACCAACCATCTGATTTTCTTTTTTAACCATCTGTGAGCTAAGAATAGTTTTTACATTTTAAATGGCTATATTTTAAATGGCTGTAAAAGTGTCTACAAAATAGCCTTGATTTTGCCATTGGCTCAAAAAGCCAAAATTATTTACTATCTAGTTCTTTAGGAACAAATTTGTGATACTCCGCTTTCAGTGATGTTCTTTTCTACCATAAAGAAAGAATTCCTCCTGGTGATGTTAGGCAGATAAGAGAAATCACTTAAAGCTGGTCACAGATTAAGCTGGGCTAGTGCTGGCATAGAGTGTTTGTAAAGCTTACTCCACCTTTGATTTGTTCTTGTTCCTTTGCTGTGATTGAGAAACTGCTGGGTCCCTATCTCCTTAGCTCTGAGAGGCAATAAGAGGCTCACTTCTGCCCTTTGAAAGGTTTTAAGGTTAGCTCTTCAGCCTCCTGCCCATCATATCCTCAAAGTGTTGCATTATTCAATAATTACTTTACATAATGATAAAAACACCAATTCAACAGTAAGTCAGAATAATCCAACTTGTATGTACATAATAACCCAGTTTCAAAATACATAAAGCAAAAGTTGACTGAACTAAAAATAGAATAAGACAAATCCACAATCATACTTGGGGATTTCAAGTATGTAACTAGTAGATAAGAGGCACAATATTTAACAAGGACTTAGAAGATTTGAAAAACACAATTAACCAATCTTGCCTAATTGACATAAAAATGTAGACCATTATACCAAACAACTAAATGCAGAACATACTTGAAACATATATCAACATAGATGGTATAAAGGAGCATAAGGTAAATCTTTTTATTTATATATATATATATATATATATATATATATATATATATATATACACACATACATACACACACACACACACACACACATATATATATTATCAAAAGCCTGAAATAACGTAGAGAATATACTCTGATAACAGTGTAATTAAATTAGAATCAATGACAGAGCAATATATCAAAACTCTTTAGATGTTTTGATACTAATGCATTCCTTCAAAATGCATAGTCGAAAATAAATTACAAGGGAAATGGAAAATGTTTTGCTAATAAAATCAATATATAAAAACTTGTGGGATACAGCCAAAGCAGTATTTATAGAGAACATTATAGCTCTGAATGCCTATATTAGAAAAAAAGAAAATCTGAAAATCAGCATCTTGAGATGCTGAGAAAAAAAGTGAAATTAAGCCCAAAGGAAGTAAAGGAGGGAAATAAAGATAAGAGCAGAAATGAATGAACCAAAAGGCAAATGTGTAGTAGAGAAAAATCAACAAAGACCAAAGTTAGTTTTTCTTTTGAAAAGATTAATAAACCTCTAAGGTACTGTTTTAAAAAAGGGAGAAAAGCACAAACTATGAAATTATAAGTGAAAGAAAGGGCATCACTATACACCCTAGATACATAAAAAGTTAATAAGGAGATATATAAACAATTTTACGCTGCTAAGTTTGAAAATTTAGATGAAATGAACAAGTTTCTTGAAAAAATACATGACTAAAACACAGCTTATGAAAACAGATGCTAGAAGAAACAAAAAAATGAAATAGTCCTATATCTATTAAGTAAAATAAATCTATAATTAAAGTTCTTCCTGTGAAGAAAATTTCAAGTCCTGCTACTTCATTGTAAATTCTTCCAAGTATGTAAGAAAGAAATAATAGTAATCTTATGTAAACTGCTTAAGAGAAAAATAATTACCCAATCATTTTAAAGGGCTATCATAAAAATGATACCCAAATCTAAATGAAACGTTACAAGAAAGAAAAACTACACTATAATATCTTCCATGAATGTATATATAAATATCATAAGCAAAATATCAGCAAATTGAACTTAGTAATTAAAAAAATGCATGGTGACCCAAGTGGGCATTTTTTCCAAGTTTGCTAGGTTAGTTTAACAACTTTTTAACAACAAAAAATAATCAATGAAATCCACCACATTAGTAAAATTTTTTAAAAAATCACATAATCATTTCAATAGATTCAGAAAAATGACATGATATAATGTAATACTAGTCATGATAATAACTCTCAGCAACCTAGGGATATATGAAAACTTCTTTAAGGAAATAATAAAAAGTATGTACAAAACAATACAGCTAGCACCACACTTAATGGTAACATATTGAACACTTTCACCCTCAGGTCAGAAACAATGATGTCCAGTATCATCAATTTTATCCAGCATTATATAAAAGGTCTTAGTGCATTTAGGCAAGAACAAAAAGATATATATATATATATATATATATATATATATATATATATATATATAAAATGACTAAAAAGGAAAATGTAAAGTTATCATTATATGTGGATGATACAATTATGTATATATGGTAGAAAATCTCAAAAAATATATAAGCAACTCTAATTGACATTAGATGCTAGCAAGTTTGCATAAGCAAACATACAAAACAACAATATTTCTGTATATTATTAGTAACAAAACATTAGAAAATAAAACAATAAAAACATCATTTGCAGTTGCACAAAGATTCCTAAGGTGCCTAGAAACAACTCTAATCTAAATTTTACAAAACCTATATACTAAAATCTACAAAAAGTATTGCTGAGAAAAATGTAAAAAGACATAAATAAATGCAAAGGTATACCATTTTCATGGACTGGGGAAACATCAAATATCTTCAAATTGATGTAGGAGTTCAATTTAATCCCAACTAATATTTCAGTAAGATTTTTATAGAAATTAGAAATCTGGTTCTAAAACTTATATGGCAACAATTTTGAAGAAGAATGAAGCTGAAATTTCTTTTCATTTAAACACACCATTAGAATGAGAAGTCAAGCCAACCACTGAGAAGTGATATTTAATTTTCAACATATATATCTGACAAATAATTGATATCCAGAATATATAAATAACAAATCCCTAAGGAAAAGACAGATACCCACAAAAAAAACATGGGCTTGAATATAAATTCACAAGTTTATCCAAATAACTATAAGCATATGAAAAGGTGCTCAGCATTATTAGTTATCATAAAATTTCAAGTTAAAATCATGATGAGATACTGCTGCATACCAACCCAAATGGCTAAAATACGAACGCAAGTTTTAGTAAGTTTGTGGAATAACTGGAACTGTTCTACTATTAGCCAGAGTATAAACTGGCACAGCCCAGTTTTGAAGACTGTTTTCAAGTGTTTATTAAAGACAAACAAATGCATATCTATGGCCTCCTAACTCCACTCTTATGTAAATTCTTAATAAAAACATCTACGTATGTTAATCAAAATACATGTACAAAAATGCCGTAAAGGTATTATTTATAAGAGCCTAAATTTGGAAACAACACAAGTGTCTATCAGCAGTAGAATGGATGGATAAATAATAGTACATTCTTTTTTTTTTGAGACGGAGTTTTGCTCTCTCTCCCAGGCTGGAGTGCAATGGTGCAATCTTGGCTCACTGCAACCTCTGCCTCCCAGGTTCAGGCAATTCTCCTGCCTCAGCTTCCCAAGTAGCTGGGATTACACACGCCTGCCACTGCGCCCAGCTAATTTTTGTATCTTTCAGTACAGACGGCGTTTCACCACATTGGCCAGGCTGGTCTTGAACTCGTGACCTCAGGTGATCCACCTGCCTTGGCCTCCCAAAGTGCTAGGATTACAGGTGTGAGCCACCACGCCTGGTCAATAACAGTACATTATTATTCAGGAGCCTAGAAGATCTGCAAACTCACAAAATAGCTCATCTTTTGGCTCACTGATGTCTTCACTTCTACAAGTGAATTTGCCTTTTTTTTTTTCCTGACTCAAGCTTGGCAGAGGCTTTGCTTTTGTTAAAATGCAGTTACCTAGCATATTATTATTTAGAGTGCTCAGGAGTACATTTCATGATATGTGGAGGGTTGAGGGATTGATGGTGGTATAGGGGTCTGTGTGCTGTGTCAGGGCAGCAGGGGACAAAGTTGGGGCTCATCTGGGAGTGGAAATGCAAACAAAACAAAACAAACAAACAGAAAAACCCACATGACTAAGGAAAGATGAGGGTGGGTGTCAAAGACAAACTCCTGTTTCATAATTTGGCTCCTGGTCTACATTCTAGGAATACTATACAGCAATAAAATGAAGTTCTACTACCTGTAGCAAAATGGGAGAATGTTAGAAAGATGATGTTGAATGAAACAAGCCAACTACAAAGGGTATGTACTCTACAATTACATTTAAATGGAGAATAACAAAGGTAAAGTTAATCTATGGTGTTAGAAGTCAGGAAAGTGGTTAGAGAGGGTGTTATAAATGGAAGAGGGGACAAAGAAGTCTTCTTTGATATTGATAATATTCTATTTCTTGATCTAGCTCACTGGGTAGCAACATTTTCTAGAAATAAAGAAGGCTTTGCAGACCAGCCACTTTCTGACACAACTACCCAACTCTACTGTTGCAGTGCCAAAGCAGCCACAAATAATATGTAAATAAATGGGAGTTGCTGTGTTCCAATAAAACTTTATTTACAAAAACAGGCAGTGGGCTGAATCTGACCTGCAGGCAATAGTTTGCCAACCTCTCATCTACATATATTTGGTTACATTTGTGTGTAAATTTGCAAAAACTCATTGGTCTCTACACTTATATACACTTTTCCACTATTATACTTCAGTGAATACATTTTAAAGTACATAACAAAGTGGGGAAGTTATTAAGAAAATAGCAAAAACAAAAGAACAGAAGTGAGCAGTTAGAACTCATCAGTCTGCTTGTGATACTTCTGAGATTTGTTTTGTGTTGCAAAGATACTTCAGGATTTGGAGCACTACCAAATTCTAGCCACATAAAAGGTTCTTTTTAAGCACTCAATATACCAACATTATTGTTCATTGTCTTCTTTATGGGAGAAGAATCCATTAAGGATCTCAAAGTGGTTAGTTCTCTTAATGAATTCTCTTTATTAAGTTTTATTTTTAATGTCCAAATTGATTTCTTCCCTAGGTTATATCATTCTTCCATTCTATAATTGAAACTCTAAAGACATAAGTAGATACTTAGAACATAAGCAATTTAAGAAACATTAAGCATCAATTCTACTATTCCTTTAAATTTCTAATTTGACCAGAAAGAACTGCTACCTTTAGAAGAAATGGTTCTTGCCCAGCCCTTCCCTCATTTCCACTCCTATGTTAGAGCTTAAAATGAAAGGAAATATATACATATTCAATTTAATAATGAAAGAAAATATATTCATACTTAATTTATCTAAGATATTTTATTTGCCTTTCCCTCCAGAAGACAAAAAGAATAAGAGAATAATAATGATATAAGTAACATGTACCAAGTACATAGTGAGCTAGGCATTGCTCTAAGTCATGTTCATGCATTAACTCATTTAATCCACACAAAGACTTTATGAAATGGTTCCTCTTATTATTATTCCCACTTTAGAGATGAGGAAACTGAGACAAAGAGAGATTAAGTAATTGCCCAAAGTTTCACCGTTAATAAATGATAGGGCTGGGATTTGAACCCAGATAATTTACTTCCAAAGCCCATGGTCTTAGATACGTGCTAAGAGAAATAGCTTCGGTTTGATTCCAGAGAAATCTGATTCCTTAAATGTAAGTGTAGCACAGTTTAAGCAGGACATGCCTTCCTCTCTGTTTGCCTTAGGAATCCCTACGCACTGAGGACCTTGATGATAACGGGTATATGTTTAGTTGAATATACCTGGAGATCTAAAATTTATAATTAATAAGATAAAGTAGAATATTTCCATACTCATTTCTAAGTATTCATCGAAGAGTCCATAGGCATTCATCGGCTGAAGGTTATAGTCCTTTTCCCATTGTGGGAAACTTATTTTCCTTTCAGGTCCATGTTCTTGTCGTACTTTTCTTCTAGTCCACCAATTCTGAATTAACCTGGGCAAAAAGATCAATTTCTTACAAAAAATGTAACTGATCATATGACTTAGGTAATAAGAAAAAGGAGAGTTTGAATACAGAAACAATAGTTTGAAAAAATTCAGGACAGGCTATCAAAGAAATAAAGCCTCAGGTTAGGAAGAAAATAACAATGGAGTCTATACTTCAAGTATTTATATTTGCAAGTAAACAGAATGATTGATGAACTTGTTTTAATCATTCATGAAACTGTCTCATGTTGGGCATTGCCTATGAGGGTTGAATAGAGGACTGAGAATATCTATAAATGGATACCCCAGTACAAAGGCAACACCAAGATATCTTGAGGAATATCTGGCTTAAGTGGCTTGATTTAGGACCCTTGAGCAGTCTTGCTACATGGGTGCTGAGCTGTATACTCTGACATCAGGGGCCTAAAGATCTGCAAACCCACAAAATGCTTCCTCTCTTGGCACACAAACACCTGCAGTTCTACAACTGGACTTGTTTGCTTTTGGCATGAGCTCTCCACAGGGACTCTGACTCCCAGTAAAATGCACCCGGCATTGGTAAGGTTAGCACAGGAACCCTTAGCAGTGTTCAGGAGTGCATTTTGTAATATGAGAAAGCATTGAGGAAATGACAGATTGGAGGCAGGTCTGTGTTCTGTACAGGACAAGGAAAAAGTTGAAGGATATCCAGGAGTAGAAGGGCCAAAAAACAAAACACATGGGAAATGAAGCAAATAAAGGAATGAACATCAAAGACAAACTGCCTACTTTACAATTTTGCTCTATGTCCTTATTATCAGAAGATAAAATATAATTCTCTTGATGTCTATGACATTTTAATTGTGATTTATATCTTAAAGTAGAATACAACACTGATAATTTTTGTTTAATGTTTTATTTTTTAAAAGTTTTATAGAAAACATCAAATACTTGGAACAAGATTTCTAAAAATAAATCTAAGAACAGAAAATTACTGGCTTTGGTTCTGACAGAGAGCTAAGAAAAGATTTTCTGAAGTGAACCAAGTTCCCACTAATCGTTCTGGCTGAGTGGTCCTCCCTGAAACCTTGAGTTTTCTTTGTCTCTACAGAGACATTGAGCTGACATGGAAACCAATAGGTGTGGAATTAAAGCAGAATAGAAGCATTGTTGATTTATGTCCCCATTAAAACTTAACTGACCATAACTGAGCAAACACAGCAGAATTCAAGGTCATCCTTACCAAGTTGATGCAAGGTTTTGCTCATTGTTGTCAACATCTTATCACCAGCCTTACCATGAGGATGGGAGAGTGGAGATGTAGTTAATGTGTCATACATAGCTAAGGACTTGCAATGCTGGAGCCCGAAAGGTCAGAGGTATTTAAAGTGGCTCACAAGCAAGTATCCAATATTTAGGGGCCTAAAGAGTCTCCTTAAAGAATATTCACGTTTGTTCATGTGAATTGTGCTAAATCTCCCAGAAGAGCCAATGTTTATGATTTTCATGGCTGCCTTTGGATGTCTAAATGTGAGCACTTAGTTCCAGGTGCACGCACTGGCTTAACTGCTGAGTCTGCATTGCTTATCTTACTTGCCACACCTAGAAAAGCCAATAATGAGCAATGCTGCCTCTCAATTATTGATACTAAGGTACTTACGGGTAGCCAAGTTCCATGAAATTATTCCAGGTCTGCTTTAGCACCATTATAATACCCATTTGCATACACAGATCAATAAGGCATCCACTAGGGTGGCACTGCAAGGTAAGCAAACACAGAAATTCCAGAATCAATGGAGAGGAAGAAAGGGTGTCTGGTTTATAATCTACACAAAGTTGCCCTAAGGCTGTTTAATGCAAGTCTGTCGGAAACAAGGAATGATGGGAGAATACAGACCTCTTCTAGTCTCCACCTGTTTATCAGCCTCAAGTAGGCACCTGGGTGTCCTGTAAATCTTCAACACACAGAGAAAAACAAGCCATTAGTGCTCTAGGTCCAAGCTTTCAGCGAATATTACATTTAGTTTAGCACATTCTCCAATGTGAATGACTGCTACTATAAGTAGTAGGTCTGGGGGAATTAGGAAACCCTCCAGATCTGTCATAACCATAGCTTCTGGAATTCTCCAGGGCACATGTCTCTTCTGGCCTTTCTGTCAGGCTGCCTAAAGCAGAAGCCAGTTCTTGCTGCTTGCTGTGGACTTTCAACATTTTCTGCTGCATATCAATTGCTCTGACCTGTGTAAGCAGAAGTTTTACTCCTGGATTTAAACACATTTGATTTTTCTGAGTAATAGTCATGCTGTTAAAAAAATTATTGAACTATTTGCCTAGAATTTTGTGCTGCTGGAATAGCTAGAAATGAAGGAGAGACTGCTGTGTTGATCTCACCAAAACCCTATACCTGGTCCTTCCCAGGTTCCCATCTCCTCTGAAATGCCTCCAGATGTAAGGGAATTCATGCGACATTACCACTACCCAGGGAATCTTTCCCAAATCCTCATAACTGCTGGATTTAAAAGTTACCCAGCATCCTCTGTATCCCATTTTTGCCCCCTTTCCTGTCAGGATGTCCTTCCCTTTTAAGTGAAGTCAGGAATCCAGGACATGCTACAGCCCCCTCCCCGTTGTACCACCTGCCGTCATAGGTGGGAAAGCCAGGGGCCTGATTCAGGTGCAGACAGAGGCCAGAAGTTTTCAATGCATCACTCACATGCACAAACTATTTTCCTCTGCTTATCTTAGCAACAAAAGGTGCACAGACAGTTTTGAGTGGAGATGATTTCCCTGGGATGCCAGGTGGTTTTGAGATTTGGGAAGAGAAGGGAGGAGGATGCTCTTCCCTTTTTACACTTTGTATAAATCACCCTAAGGGAGGGCTTCTCTGTCCCCACGAGTCAGTGCCTTCTAAGTGTTCTGTCCTCAGCTTGGGGAGGTGTGCAGGGGTCAGGTTCTTACCTTCCGAGGAAGAATGCGATGTAAAATGTGGAGCTGTTCAGATTGACAAACTGAAAAAGAAACATTTTCAGGGTGAAGCTGTTCTCCCACTCAGACTCTGTGCGAGGCTGTTCTGTGGACAAAAGGTGAGCAGAGTTTGAAAGGCTGAATCTCATC